>NC_000002.12:149610830-149913860 GCF_000001405.40 Homo sapiens
GGGAGAACCAAGGAAGAGGAGGAGAAGAACTCTGCTCACATCCTTCATTGGCTCAGCACTCGAGCTGCTCTTTAATAGGCCTCAGGCTGCCCTTGAAACCCTAGGATGAGAAGTACTTTGCTTTGCCAGATTATCCTGTGTATCAGTCAGGGTCCAGCCAGAAAAATAAGGCACTCTAGGTCTTTCAGCAAATGAAATTTAGTCCAGGAAATAGATTTCACAGATGATGGAGAGGGAGTTTAGGGACCAGAGAGAGGGCTTTTGGATGGGAACCAGAACTGTGGAAGTAAAGATAACCTGGAAGGAGGTGCAGCTTCTGGAGACATCAAAGGAGAGAGAGAGAGAAGGGAGAAAATTCATTTGTCATGCCCTTCCTTGTGCCCTTCATCTTCTAGCTGTGCCTCCAATATGCTGAAGCCAGAGGGCGAAAGAGCCTGGAAGAGTCGTTCCCTGAGATGGAGAGCAGAGCAGGGCAAGGCAGGGAAGAGCACAGACTGGCAGGGACAGGCGCATTGAGTACATTTTATAAAGTTGAGATTGTATGAATTAACTTACTGCCCCTGCACCTCTGACATGTTTTTACATGCCCACATGCACTGAGGCATTTTCAGTGTGCATGTGTACCTGTGTTTGTGTATGCGTATCTCTGAGATCTTGGTTGGGCTAATGTCCTACTTATGAGAAAAGTGCAAGTGCTCATTCTAAGATTGTATGCAAAATGACAGCGAACACTCCTGTTTTCAAGTGGCACTTAGCATTTACATAATGCTGAAACATCTGGTCTTTCCCATCAACCCAGGCATGAAGTTAGTCCAGTTGATTGCTTGGCATTATGTACAGACAACAGCTGGCTGGTTAACTGGAGTTTTGATTACGGC
Source organism: Homo sapiens (assembly GCF_000001405.40). Classification (NCBI taxonomy): domain Eukaryota; kingdom Metazoa; phylum Chordata; class Mammalia; order Primates; family Hominidae; genus Homo; species Homo sapiens. The sequence goes on from NC_000002.12 coordinate 149,611,709, forward strand.
TGAATTGGCTGGATGTTTGGTGTCACATAGACTGAAGTTATGACTGGGTAACGATGGAGTAGAGCCAGTTACAGGGAAGATCAATGACAAATTTGTGAAATCAAACTTTTGTATGGAATTTCACTGGAAAAGATAATTATTTATTTCCAAGACTGAGTTTCAGAAACTCACTGGAATTTCACTGGAAAAGATAATTATTTGTTTCCAAGACAGTTTCAGAAACACTGAGACCTGGCTGAGTTTATCTCTGGTGACTTTTCATTCCCATTTCACCTCCTTTCACCCAAGTGTCCCCTGCCCTTGTACCCATATCCTCAGGTGCCCTTGGCCATTCACCCTTAAGGCACCTGGCTCCTGGGCTTATCACCCTGGGAACGACCTCCAGATTCTGAATTTTTTAACCTTTATGTCTCTTTCCCCTTTGTCCCTTTCATCAAATCACATTTGTCCTGTCATTCAGAGATCTGCTATCTGTTGCAGGATCAACTGATCTCAGAATCTAATTTTCATGAAGATGTTTGTAGATGATACTGTGCTAATATTTATCTTTTCATCTTTCCATATGTGGAAGTGGTCTCAACTGAGACTGAAATTCAGGCATACTTGGCACATTTTTATCTTGTGCTTGCCAGAAGCATGTTTGCACAAACACTGAGGAATGTCCTGGGAGAAGAAGGAGCCAGGTTGGATAAGCTCTCAGCATAGGGCCTTGCCTGTCAGGGGGTGCTGAGCCAGCATGTGCCATGGTTTCAGGCACCTAGAGCTGTCTCCCTGCCCTAATGGAACATATCTGAGTTTTGCGGAGAGCAGAGGAACTCTAAAATTTTAAGGGAGGTTAGGGGTGAGAAGAGAGAGAGATAGAGAACTGTGTAAAGTACTGGGACCTAAGTGACCATGCTTGAGAATCTCTCCAAAGCAAAATGGAAGTAAGATTTCTTTCTTGTGACAAATCTTTCTTGCATAGATTTGATTTCTGGAGAGCCCTATGAGGAACTGGGGTACTTGCAGGAATGATGGCTAAGCCAAGCTGAGGTCATCACAGGAGCCAGCAGGAATGGGATTATTTAGCAGCCTGTTTCAGACTCAGAAATATTGGAAAAAAGTTTTTGAAGGGATCAGGGTGAGTAGTGGGGTGGGAAAGGCTGAAGGCCTGAAGGCCTGTCAAACACAAATGGTTATACCGACTATAAACATTTAAATTATTCCATTAAATAAAACTTCATTTTAACCCACATTTTTAAGGTCTAAGGAAATTCAGATGGTACCTGTAACATATTTGCCTTTTACCAGAACCTTTGAATGTTTTGCATCCAATGCATGATTGATGGTGGCAATTTCAGATCATCCAATGGTAAATTGGCGAAGGAAAAATACTTTTAGGCAATCATTTAAGTATTCTTCAAATAATACTTCATAAATTTGCTTCTTAGCCCCCTGGTTTTATTTGTTAGCTTAAGACATGAGGACTTGAAATGTCACTATATGATTATTGACAGAGACTTGGCTGCTACTGGGGAGAGGAGTGTGAAATCCAAACATATTTTTAAAATCTGAGTAGATCTTTATTAGCTTATAACTAGCAATATTACAATGGAAGTTATTTTAGTTTATACAGATAATTAAGGTAAAACTTCAGTTTTAATGATAGGTTTGCTGATTGGTTTTACTATATTAATTCATTTAACAGACATTTGCTTGGTGCCTATTATGTATTAAACACTTTGCTGGGCTCAGGGTAAACTTTGGTGAATTCAGCAGATTTAAAATCTAATATAGCTAAATCAGGCTTAACTTCCTTTGTTTTCTAGCTGAGATACCAACTGAAAAGATTAATGTATCAAAACAACAAATTTTCCCTAAGAAAGATTATGCTTTATATCATCAGAAAGTATGTTCCCTGTCCCAAAATCTGGACATATGAATATACATCAATGTGTGTGTGTGTGTGTGTGTGTGTGTGTGTGTGCGTGTGCGTGCGCGTATAGTATAACTTGTGTTCATATCACCAGAACCTTATATGGCTAAAGAAAAATTACAGAAATTTAAACATCAAACATATAAGTTTCATCTGTAGAAAAAAAATCCAGATTTTATTTAAACCACCAAAATTGCAGTCAGCTGCTGAGAGAAAAATAAAGGCAAAGATCCTGTTTACAAGGCACCTAGAGTTCAGCCATCAGATGGTTTTGGTTAAGATGTAGTTTCTCTTCATGCTGATGTTTCTATAAGACATTTTTGTGAGTCAGTCATCACCCAACTTCCTAGTGTCTTTCTTTCCCTTGTATGTGTGTGTGTGTGTTTTTTTTTACAATACCTTTATAGCGTTGCTTTTAATTTTTGACAACGTTTACTGAAAACTTACTCCTTTGCAGCTTTTATGTGATTTGTAGAATTGCATTCTGTAGTAGGCAAAATTCTGATGTGTGTGTGTGTGTGTGTGTGTGTGTGTGTGTGTGTGTGTGGTGGGGGTAGCGGGGGTTCCTGTTGTTTCTTTGTGGCTCTTTCTGTCCATTTTTAACTTCTGCTGGCAAGATGCTGGTATTAAATCTTTACCCCACTAAGTTATTAAGTATTTAAGCTTATAATAGACTTGTCCTCTTTACCTTGTCTATGCGTTCCTGGAAAGAGAGTACATTAGAAGGTTTACTGGTTGTGACTACCCCACCATGCCTAGAATAACTAGGTGATAAGCCATCTCATGCCAAGCTAATATTCTGCCCTATGGGAAGTTTGCTATAGGTAGTAGGGTGTGCCCCACTACACCAAAGGTGAGGGAGTTAAGCTGTCTGTTTGCAAGAGGGTCATAGCTTTCCCATATACGTGTGCCAGGATTTGCTGACAGGGAATCTGTCTTGATGAGCTGCACTGCATTCTCAATGCCTCCAGTGCTAAAGCATTCAATGAAAATATTTTTGATTGACTTCTCCCACTGTGGCAGTTTTTGATTCTGCAGTGGGTTTGGATTTAAAACTATTGTGCTTATTGTCTGATAATGGGAACCCCCTAGCTGCTCATTGCCTTAAAAGGAACCCAGTAGACACACCTGTGAATTATGTTTCGCACATTTTCTACCAACTGGTAAAGCCACTTAAAATACTTAGATTCATTTGTTTTAGATGTAGGAAAAAAATCTCTCTGTGTGACTACAATTGCATGTCTACTATATGTGTATTTGTTTTTAACCATTCTTTCTGAAATGGAAACTGATCATTCTGGGTCATCGCTGAAGAAGTACTTACCCCCTTTTCAGCTGGAAAAAATATGTACCTGAATTATGGGAGAATACAAGGAACCTTCAGTTCACCATTTGTCTTGGCTCCTTTCCTTTGGTAGAGAGGTAGGGGAGAAAGGAAGAAAAAACACACACACACACCAAAACCTCATGGACTATTCCCTTAACTTCTTTCCCTGGAGTCATTGACTACTAACTGAAATAAACCTATCTATTCATTAAAGAAAATTATATTTGCCTATTTAAAAAGGCCTATTTTTCTGTATCTCTTATTTTTCTTTAATTCTGAAGAGTATTGAATGGAAAATATGCATTTTCTTTTTTTTTTACATAGTTTGTGAACAATTTAAAGAAAACTGTGTAAAACGTCATTATGCTTTAGCTTGTGACTTTGTACAGATCTGAGTGTTGTGTGTTCTTCATGATGTATTGTGTAAATGATTAGCTACAATCACAACCTACTCTTTTGGCTCTGACAGCAGATATTTTTGTTAGATTTGAATTAGGCAACAAATAGAATGCTAACTCTTAACAAGTATTTTTGCTATAAGTGCTTTTTTTTTTTTTTTTTGAGACGAAGTCTTGTTCTTGTCACCCAGGCTGGAGTACAATGGCACAATCTCGGCTCACTGCAACCTCCACCTCCCAGGTTCAAGTGATTCTTCTGCCTCAGCCTCCCGAGTAACTGGGATTACAGGCACCTGCCACCATGCCCAGCTAATTTTTGTATTTTTAGTAGAGACGCCATTTCACCATGTTGGCCAGGCTGGTCTCAAACTCCTGACCTCCAGGTGATCCGCCCGCCTCGGCCTCCCAAAGTTCTGGGATTACAGGCGTGAGCCACCATGCTTGGCCGCTATAAGTGTTTTCTAATATTTGTAATAAGACATTTTATTTATATAACACTTTATAAAACTTCATTGTCTTCTTTGAATCTCAGCTCCCTAAAACAGGTGCCATTGTCTCCAAATTGGGAGCCAGAAAGTATTCATGACTTGTTTGAGGTCACAAGTTAGGTTAGTGACAGAGCCAGAACCCAAATTGAAATTCTTTCTACAAAGGCTGGACACCTTGACCAAGTATATCAGTTTAGCTAGAGCTTTGGCATAGCTAGAGCTTGTCTGTTGTTCAAAATGCAGTTTTTCTCTCTTCTCTGCTTCTATATGAAGACAACAGTCTTATCTATCTTGTTCACAATTTCAGCCCTAGCAGCTTGCACAGAACTTTGAATGGAATAGTTAATACATATATGTGAATACATATATGTGAATGAATGAAGTACAGAAGATGCTGAGGGTTTGCTTTGAATAACAATGCAGTATGCCTCCCATCCCCTTTCTGCATGCTTCTCTTATTATGCTAGAAACAATATTTGAAGTTTGAAATAATGGAGTTAGACACTGCCTTATTATTTAAGGATTTGATATGGTAGTCAGGCAAAAATAATTTCATTTAAATTCCCTATTTCTTGACTTACTCTGCTATCTTAGAAAATTAAATTAATCTCTCTGCTGGGTCTTGAGATCCATCTAGAACTTGGCTATAACCTGAGAATGTTTTGTGTTCTGGTTTTTTCTTCACTGTTGGAGTCTGCTTGAGAAGGCTGGAAATGTATTTTCATTCCATTTTTCAGTATAACACATTGTGAGTCCTCACTGAATTAGATTCTTCCCCCTGAAAAAGCTACCCCTGGAAAGATGTTTGGCACTTTTGGATATTGCTCTTTTGTGTTTTTTTTTTGGACCCCCAGGGAACCATTTAGTGAAAATGAACCATTATACTTGAATTCCCGTTCAGCCACTAGAAGAACCATTGCCCATGACTTCCCATTCACAAAAGCCATGCTCCAGCATAAGTTTCTGTCTGAAGCACTTTCTAGTTCCAATCCCATGTCTTTGGAATATTTCAGGCATGCAGGAGATCTTTTCTGGAGGTTTTACTGGAATGATTAGTTTGTGCTTGAAACAGGAGAAGCAGCTAAGGATGAGGCCTACTGGGACTCTAGATGCCATGGAGACAAGCAGATATTAGTTATGATTTCCATCATTTTTTTCACTACCTCTCTGAAAGTAGTAGATATTGTGATAAGACCTCTCAAGGAAGGGAGGACAATTATCCTCTTTCTCCCCTACCTCACCTTTCCACCCTATAAAAGTGTGGCAGACTCAAACCAAACTTGTTGGCTGGAAGCCTAAAGGGATTCCTCCTCATGTGGCAGGCTGTCGTAGCATTTTTATGATAGCTAGTGTTTCTTTTGGTCTGAAACTCTGGTATGTGAAATATAGGTCAGGGGTTGGAAATTAATGCCTGCTTTTCATGTGAGAAGGAATAATTGGCATGAAATGTAGTAAAGAATGCCTGCAAGCCTGGCGGTGTTGGGTCATTTTTTTTTTTTTTTTTTTGTTATTGGTTTTGGCTGCTATTCCCAGAAAAATAATGGGCAGGTTCACATTTCTTAGAACATATCTTTATCAACTCTGACAACTTACTGTGTCTTGGACCCCCAAGAGACAGTCAGCCTGGAAGTCTTTGCTTGTGCCATTTCTGTGCTGGATCCTTGGCTGTACACACCATGACAAATTAATACAGATGGAATAATGAATTTCTCTTATCCCTGAGACCAGACCTGCTGGGGAAAACATCTATATCCTTTGAGAGATTTGAAATTAGTATAACAAGTTCTATACAGAGATGATCATGTTGAATAAAGGTTTTATTTTACTCTTACATGTACAGTCATCACTGGAGTATGCACATATTACAGGGAAGCTTAGTCTACAAATGGGTTGGGTTCTAACCATTAATTTTGGAATGTTGCAGACATTTTCCTTTATGAAGAATGTTATAGGTCTATCTGACTTAAAAATCAATAGGGGAGTAAAAGTACAGTGCATTTTCAATGAAAAACAATAGAAAACACATAGTTTTAATACTATTAATTAGGCAAAACAGAGGAACAACACAATCGAAGAAGAAATAGTTTTTGCTTTTCTCAAATGTGGGTGCTTGCAGTTTGATTAGGGGCAGATGAATCAATGCCTTTTGGTGTTTTAAAGTGGTTTTGAAAACATTCAAGGACTTGAAGGGTTGGAGGCCAATCTTTTTCTATTAAGTCTGTGACCATTATAGTTAAAAAAGCTCATTAGAAAAAAGAAACCTGAAGCAACTTTTTTTTTTTCTCATTGTCTCTTTAACACATTGGGTTGAATAGCTTTTTTCCCGATTCTTGGATGAAATTTTGAGCAGATCTCAGAGTTTTAAAAATTGCTCTCTATTTTCTGGCAATTAGTAATCTTCCAGTTACTTTAAAGCTTTAAGCAGTTCAGTTCAGCATAATAATAGAAACCCATTGTCCTCTTTAAATTTTCTCCCATTTCCCAGCCAGGGCCTGACCAAGAATTGGAAGCCTGGTGTGTGTGTGGTGTTTGTGTGTATGCATGTGTGTGAATGCATGTGAATGTGTGTATAAATGCATGTGTATGAGAGTGTATGTATGTGAATGTAAAGTGTGTGTGTGTGTGTGTGTGTGTGTGTGTGTGTGTGTGTGTATGAGACATGGCATCTCCTCTTCCATCACTAACTATGGCTTCTAGTGCCTTCAGCACTGGAGGGGGATAAGGGAGAAGAGTTAAGGGGACATCAAAGAGCTTACTGATGTGATTTGGATTTGCCATCATGGAGGCTCAAACCTGACTTTATCACAGGGGTGTTTTTGGAGTGATTTTGCCTGTGGGAGCCTCAACTGCAACTATAATTACTGTAAGATAGGTGATACCTCATACAGTTTGTTACTTTTGACACTGTCCTCGATTCCTGGCAGTTTGCTATGTCTTTCCAGGCAGTCCTTCCAAGAACTCTAGGTTTGTTCCTTCCTGTGTGGCACACAGTTGGTGTGCAGAAAGTTTGATTCCTGCCTTGTTCTCTGCATTGCTCCTTCAGGCCGGTCTAGCCACAATGTCTTATACCTGCACTAACATTCTTTTAAAACTCTGGGAGATATTTATCAAACTCTTCAAGTGTCTCCTCCCCTTGAAGTTCCTCTCACTTGGCTTAAAGCAAAGAAGTAGGTTTTCTCCCTTGGGAGAGCCATGCTGCCAATAACTCTCTCAACAGGATTCTTCTCCAGTTCTTCAAACTGTAGAGGTTTTTTTTTTTTCTTTTCTTTTTTTTTTAATTAGGGTTCATTGATGCTGATAAAAACGGTTTTACAATCATCTTAGCAGTTCTGCACAGGGCTCTGTTCTTACCTCACTGTCATATGATATTTAGGCCTTAGGAGCCTAGAAAAAGCTGAAGTAGAAATAATTTTATTTATTATTCTGTCGAATGTCCAATTTACTTCAATACATGAAGTCTTCTTGGCTTTTGCTGTTGAGTATTATTAATACTGCTCCAATCAGCCCGAATTCAGGTTTTTTATGCTCACAAGTAGCATTATGAGAAAAACTAAAAGAAAGGTATTGGTAAAAAAGACATTGCTTACTCTGAGATAAATCTGACAGTGATATATGACAGGAAGAAATGCAAATGGCAAAGAAATATTAAAAACATAGTCTAGCGTGAACTTGAATGTGGAAAAATGGTGGTGGGGAAGGGAAGTTTCTACTAGGGGACAAGGTCAAATGGAGGACATCTTGGTGCATATTTAGGGTAGACACTGAAGGGGAGAAAAGGAGCAGAAATGGTGTACAAATGGCACCATTCAATTTTCCTATTACCAACCTGGAAATTATCATTATTCATAGAGAAAACTATTCTTCAAATTAATCACTTGATTCTCCTTGTTCTAATGCAATCTCATATCCTATTCTATACCACTAACCCATCATATGCCCAGGCTTCTGCCAGTGTTACCCAGGTGAATCATTTATTCAGCAAAACAGCTATTTAGGAGGCACCTGTTAAGTACAAGGGCCTGTGCCTGGTGTGTTGAGGATATACTATGTTATGGCATAGCCCACTCTCAAGGAGATTTCAGTTGAGGTGGGAATGCATGATTGTATGAAGGATGACGTAGACTCATAGGCCTGTTAGCATTAGAACATTATTTCATGTGCTCCTGTTATTGTATAGATGAGAAAACCGAGATCTAGAAAGATTCAGTGGCCTTAGAATCAACTAGTTAAGGAATGACAGAACGAGGGCTAGAACTTGGTTCTTTTTACTTTTGCTCACTGCTGCTTCTACAACCTCTTTTAAAAATACAATACCTTGATACAATCTTACAAAGCTATGGGCCATTTGTTCCTAAAAAACAACTGTGTGCTGGAGCCAGCTTTCACCAGCTCTTACCAGCAGATTGTGAGCACCTTTTCAACTGGCCATGGTAAAAAAATTTACACCACAGAAATGGACAAACACCACAAACCTGAGATCTTCTTCCTTCCAGGGAGAGCCAGTTATTAAACATTTACCAGCATACCACTGCTTATACATAACAAATGTGATAAGCTCAGACACTCCTTCATGAAGTGATCGTCACATGAATGCATTTTATGGAGAAATGAACTTTAAGACAGGGAAAGGGGAAATGACGGAGTCTATTTGAGACTGGAATTATGGAGTGAACATAATTCTGGGATATCAAATAGAGAAATTTGGCGGGGTGGGGTTACATAGGACAGGAGTCCCTAAATCACATGCCTGCAAAGACCAGGCTGAAAAAATAAAGGTGTAAATCAGGGTGGAGTTATGAATATTAGGGCATGAGGAGTCTGTGGTAAAGTGAAAAGTAAAAGCCTCCCTAAAGGTATTAAAAAAAAAAACAAAACTTCCTGTATTCTACCCACTTTGAATTTACCGTAAAGAACTAACAAGGGTAAGCTTAGACAGCAGTTCACATCAAATAGGACCCTGAGAAGGGATTATCATTTTCCTTCTTAAATGAACATTAGTTTCCTTGACACAGTGAAGGCAACATTTAGCATCCTAATTTATTTCTCTTTTCTTTCTTACTTCTTCCATGTTTTCACTGGGAAATGTCTGTAAATTATTGCTTTTTGTTGTGTGTAAAAAGTCGTTCAACCAGCATTTTCCTTTGTTAGTGTGGGTTATTTATAGTTGAGTTTATGGTACTATTCTCAGCTTTATCATCCTGTTTCAAGGGTAATGATACTCCCAAAGAAATAAAGACTCAGTTTTGTTTCTAAGGATGTTCATTCATATCTCTATGTATCTGAAAAAAATGTCACTATGCAAAATGGAAAGTTCATATATTTTAAGGAAGGATCTAGAAACACATTATTTAATTGATTTTTTCTTTCAAAATGTCCCCAAGTTAATTTCAAATAGCCTTTTAAACATGTTTCTTTTTTACATTAATCTGTAAGGATAACTCCACATTGATCAACAGCCATTTTTAAAAAATGAGAATTGCCTTCTGCAGAGATATCTTTATTCTAACATGTTAAATCCACAGGGCTTTATACAAAATGAAAAAAATCAATAAAACGAATGATGTGATTCCTAGTGAAAAGTTGTTCTGTATAAACAAAATACTGTAATTTTTATCTGAAAAAGTCCTAAATTCTTAAAATTCCCTAATTATAATTGCAACTGCAAGAAGCCTAACAACAAAAAATATTGCTCTTTGAAAATGTTCTGCAAGCCCCTCTAATGACAATGACTACCATTGTGTTTGACAAGGATCCCACTGATGTTTGCTGCCAGGGGTACATGTCTCTAGCCTCAAAGATGGACTTAACTGAGGCATCCCCTGGGATGAGCTGGTCAGAAGAAGAGCAAGGGTGGGATGGACATGGATTTTGGCATTCAGTCGTCAGAAAATAAGAGACAATCTAATCATCACAATCTATTCTACAACTTTAGCCTCCTTAGCACAGATGGACTAACTGGCAGAGCGTATTAGAGGGGTTTTTGGGATGGCCTGCTTGCCCCTGTAACTCTGCTAGAGATATAAATGAAAAAAAAGTAGATGCTTAATAATTGTTTGCTGAAGGAGTCAGGAACTGAGAGGTCAAGTATTGCAAGTTCTCTCACAATTTTCAGTCTACTTCAGCCTAGAATCTGGGCCTCAGCCCGTAGCCACAGGTTTCTCTCTGGCTCTCTGCTGCAGAGGAGGATGGCACCCAACCAATTCTGTGCAGAAAGCCAGGAGAGTGCAGAAAATGTCATGCTCATGAGCAAAGTTCTGGGTACAAAGGACTTGTGGAGTCTGGAAATACCTGAATTTTCCTTGGAGAGGAAAGATTAGGCCTGAGAAGTTGTTCAAAATTGGACCCCTCCTTCCAAAGTGTGTCTGAAAAGTGTGTTTGGGATAGGCTTGTTATGTATGGCCTTTATCATGTTGATGTATGTTACTTCTAATCCAGTTTGTTGAGAGTTTTTATCATGAAGGGGTGCTGAATTTTATTGAATGCTTTTTCAGCATCTGTTGAAATTATCATATGGATTTTGTCCTTGATTCTGTTGATCATATATCATGTTTATTGATTTGCATGTATTGAACCATTACTGCATGGATGTGCTTTGAGAAGTGCTGCATGTTCAACAATAGCCAGTCAGATTAAAAGGTGCGCCTATAGGCCCAGAGCTGCCCATGTGCCATGGGAGAAGGACCAATAGCACTATGAGCTTCCTGCTAGGGCACACCAAAATGAAAGTGTTTGGTGTGAGATGTGTACCACATCCTCCAAGCCAAAATTCTGGCTTTCTTCTGGGCTGCCAGCTTTTTCATTTCACAAAAATTTCAGCCTTTCACTTCCCTTGCTCAGATTCTTTTTACCCTGGGATTTACCCTGAGATTTTTTATCCTGTAAAAAAACTACCCTGTAATTTTTTTTACCCTGAAATATTACTCTGTAATATTTTTACCCTGGGATTTACCCTGTCACAATCCATAACTTGGTTTTAGCTCCTGTTCTTCTGGTTTCATTTAGTCCTCAGTGCCCTGAAGCACGTGCCATCAGTGTCCCCTTTCTCCCTTTCTGTCATCATCCAGTGGGCTTTTCCCTGACTTCCAACTCCCAGTATTTTCATCTCAGTATCTCATTTCTTTTTCAGCAGAAGCACAGAAAACAGCTTTGCCTATGATCCATGATCAGTGAGCCAGAAGTGCCTGGGAATTAACAAACCCTGGGAGCAGCTTTCAACAATGACCTCAGGACAACTCCTGAGATATAAATACCCCAGCTCCCCTGCCTCTTGGATGCAGTAATTTGAAGGGGTATGTTCCCTGGCTCTCAGAGTTTCCTCAGTGAGATTAAACTCAAGTTGCATACAATACTAGTGGGACTGGTAAAGCACCCTTTTTCTTTTTTTGTATTCCTTCCCTTCTTCTTTACCCTTACACCCAGCATTTCCTAAAATTGCTATTTGCACTCAAATCCTTGTCTCAGGGTGCTCTGGAACAATACAAACTCCAGCACATGTCTAACATTAGGGGCTCTACCTCTACTCCCTTGCCATTTCTGTCTTTTTAAAAAACCTCTTGCTGAATCATCTAGATTCTATTTCTACAAAAGGATGGGCAATGGTTTAGAGATAAAAAAGGAAATTATATAAATGTCCAAATAATTTATACTTATGCTAGATATTCGGTGCTTTTAATCATTAGAAACCAAGGTTGTTGGCTTAGCACATCAAGTGAAAGAATTCAGTGAAACCAGGTAGAAAAGGGTACCAATATTTTTTTAGGAATGGTAATAGCTAATCATTTATTGAACACTAGTGACAATGTTTAAACTATGTGTGTGTTACTTAAGTTTATCTCTATGTTTAAACTATGTGTGTGTTACTTAAGTTTATCTCTACAATATTATTATATCTCTATAATATTATATAGATATATATGTAATATAATTATTATATCTCTATAATAAACCTAAGAGGTAGATATACTTATTCCATTTTTACTGATGATGAATATGAATGGACCAAAGTAATTTGCCTTAAATCAGTCAGCTCATAATGGTCAAAATCCACATTTAAAGATCTTACTCATGTCAAAGTCCATTCTCTTAATTAGTCTACAGTCTTCCTTATAAGTTTTCTTTGAAGTAGATGGGAGATATATAATCAGTCCTACTTACTGATTCTGAAATGCAATTGATCAAATCATCATTCTGAAGGTGTAAGATTACAGCTTTTCTTTAAAAGGGATTGAGCTGGCTATAAATTGCAGTATAAATTCAGATTTATTCTGTTTCACCGTTTAATTCTTGGAAAAGACTACTCATAAAAATTCTCTAATGGCATTATTGGTATTATGCATTAAGAGCTAGAAAAATAGGTCAACATTTTAGACGTATTTCTGGTGGCGCATTTTGCTATTAGTCTACAAGGATTATAGCAGATCACTATCTTTAAATGACATTGCAACTTGAGGCTCAAATTCGATGATCCTGGGAAAGTTGAAATTTAGTGCCCTGTTTTGAGGTTAAACTATGGCTGCAAGTAATTTCTAGAAAACTGACATCCTGATAGACTTGAAAAATAAAAAAAAAAGAAAGAGGAAACAAATTAAAATTGTTCTATCAGGCTTTGCCAGGGTCTAGAAATCCTAATTTATAATGAAATTGGAGGTGAGCTAAGATAGCAATAGAATGAGAAGTTAGGAAAGGGAAGAAATTGACCAGGAACAGTGAATATACTGCTTACATTATCTTACATCAGAATTCAGGAGTCTCCAACATTCATTAACTAAATTCTCTCTTTTGTGTTTACTCTGATAGTTTTGTAGTTGTGATAATATTATAGATATAGTCTAGTTGTTGACATTTGGAGGTAAGAGTATCTCCAACCTGGGTCAGGTAGCAGTTTAGTAAAGTATTTTCTCTTCATTAAGACGAGAGGTGTTACCAAATGGAATAAGTATTTGACTTTTCTGTGTGACCACATGATATAGGTGTTAAATAGGTTTGTCTTCAGATGCAAACATCAGAAAACCTGACTAAAATCCCTCAGGATTGATGGGGTTTACTTTTTCTAAATAGTGCTAAGTCTGAAGGTAGGTGGCTCTGAGCATTTAGGGGTTTAGACATGTGAACTCTCCTTCCTGGTTGCAAGTAGCAATCCTGGCTTAATCAAGTTTATACTCAAGGCAGAAAGAAGAGAGAATGGATGACAAAAGCTTCCCCAGAACCCACATGTGGAGTTTTCCTATGTCTCATTAGCCAGAACTGGGTTATGTTGGCAAGCCCTTGCTGAAGCAGAGACCAGGAAGGTGAAGATTTAGTTTTTCTGCTCATACTGTGGAAGGTGAAAGGAATGGAGGTTAGGGAGGGTATAGAATTAGCAAGCCAAGAGTTCCTATGTAATGCCAACGTGTAAGTAGGATCTATAAATATTAAATCTAAGAAAACAAACTTTAGTAGAACATACCAAGAAGGACTAACTAATCATCACGGCTGCCCAGAACTGCAATGGGCTCCCCAGTAGGTAATTCATTCCCTATCAGAGCATATGTTTAAACACTGGGTGAATGAGCATTTGACCGATTTACTGTGGAGAAGATTTAAACATTAGATAGATAAGTGGTTGAACTTTATGTCTTCAAAGTTGTCTTCAAATCCTCAGGATTTTATGATACTCTGTAAGCATTCCAATTGCTTGCAATTTGAAAATTGTTTTTTCTTTGTGGTTCGCTTTTCTGTCATGGCCACTGGCACAAATCTGCTTTACTTTTATCTTAACATTAATATCCAACAGTGAGATATCTAGTCTCTACAAAGAAAATGTATTTATCTCTGACTGTGTTCTTATCTTAAATAAAAACCTTTTACCTCCTTCCAGAAATATTGACAGAATAGATGCTGAAAGAATTTTTTTCTAATGGATATGGTTTTTAATTTGATGCATTTTAAACTTTCAAAGGCTTCGTTAAAGCTCACACACATTGTCTTTTAGATGCCCAGTAGGATGTACATTTCTGTAGCAATCTCGAAGCACTTCCCCTATTTTTGTACAAACTTATGAGATAATCCCTATTTGGATTTGAGTCTATGTTCATGAAAGTCAGAAGTTGTTTAAAGAGAAAAATCATGTAAGTAGTGAGTTGAAATTTTGAACTGGGTAATACTGAAAGTTTTGAATTTTTGCCAAATACAGGCCAAACTAAAATGTACCCTAATCCCAGTACTTTATGTGAAATAAGATTGATTTCTGCTTTGTATGAGAAAAAGCTAAACCAAAGATGTTCGAAAAAATGCTGGAATTAATAGTCTACCCAAGAGCAATGAATTATATTTGCCAATCCCTGGAATCAAATGAGTATTTAAAATATACCTGTAAGTCTCAAGACAGAAAACTTTTATTATTATTATTTTCCTTTTCACAAATAGTATCAGGAAAGACTAATTAAACAAGGATGTGGAGAATACAGAACTAACTTAAAAAGAAAAATCCCCAACTTTGATTTTTTAAAAATAATCCAAATTGAATAAAAGTTGAGATATGTTCTTCTCTGGTCAGGCATTATTAAAATAATTGATAGCACTCGGTGATGGTAAGGATATAGGAAAACAGGCCTTGTCATTTATTTCTGGTGGAAATGTAAATTGACTCAAGTGATTTGGAAGGTAATTTTTAAAGTATCTGTAAAAAGCCCTAAAAATGTAATGATCATTGACTCAGAAATTTCACCTTTAGCAATTTATCCTCAGGAAATTCTTACATGAGTTCCAAAATATAACCAAATAATATTGCTGTGGTATTATTTGTAATAGTGAAAAATTGCATATAACCTAAATAAATCATCACTGATACAGTGGTGGTTGAGAAAACTATGGGACATTTGTAGAGTGGCAAATTATGTGGATTTAAAAATATAATAAAGCCTGAAGATGAAAATATCTATAATATATTGAAAAAAGAAAAATGTAGAATATTATGTATAGCCCAATCTCACTTTGATTTTAAAAATTGTATGACTGTATCCATCTTATAAAAAGTTTTGAAGGATATATCATTAACTGTTTAATAGTAGTCACATTTTGGGGCTGGAGTTCAGCATGATTTTACAAAACAATGTCTTAAAAGTTGAACTCAGCCTGAGCAACATGGCGAAACCACTTCTCTACAAAAAATACAAAAATTGCGCCACTGCATTCCAGCCTGGGCAACACAGGGAGACCTTGTCTCAAAAGAAAAAAAAAAAGAACTCAATTTGGGAACCATCTATCCAGTAAAGGCTCTGTTAAGTGTATTTCTTTCATGTTAGGTATCTTAAAAGTATTCATGTGGTCCTAGGAATAGCAAGTCTTACAGCCAGGATGTGTTGAGAAGAAATTGCCTGAGAAATTAGTAAAAAAGGCAATTGGAGATAAATTTACTTCTAGTTCTGGTCTTTACACAGGCTATTTATAATTTGGGCCACATCAACTAAAATTCAGTGCTTCAGTTTGTCTGTCTTGGAAAATGGGAAGCTTAAAGATGAACTGAAACTGAGTAATTCTAAGTGCATCTGTATATGAATGTCAAGCAATATTTATTTACCTCTTTGTTTCCTTCTTTGTGAGTTTTTTTTTTAAGATGGGTATCTTTAAGATTAAGTTATTCTAAGCACACTATCTCTGCATTGTTAAATCCATGGAATGGTTTCTTCTTATTAAATTTCTTCGTATTTGAAGCTTGTCTTGGAGAAAAATAATTTTCTCCTTTTCTGAATATCCTGTCACAACTATAAGGTACACTTCCTTAGGGAAGGGTAGGAAAATTATGCAGAACAATTTTCCTAATGCAGCTATTCTCTTGTTGAGTCTTTATCAACTCCCTTTCTTGCATGCTCTCTGTCTTTTTGCAGGTTTCTATTTCCTTTGCCCAAATGGGATCATCTTGGGATTGTAGGTCCTTTGGACTCAATGATATTTAATAAAGGTCTTACTGTATATTCCAGATCAGAAGGACAGTTCTTTTCTATGGTTAAATTTTTTTTTTAATAATTCTTACTATTCAATGCAATGAATGGAATAAATGGCCATTGAGGGTTGGTTGGTGAACTGAATTTTGTTGTTATTGTTTTTTTACACTTGGCTTTTTCATCTCTCATTTTTTCCCTTAGTTTCATTATGAGAATTTTCTCTTTTTTTTTTTGTATACCACAATTATAGTGGTCGCTCATTTTAAAAATACCTCTCACATATGTAGGTGGTTGGTCATACACCATACATTATATTACATATATAATGAAAGCTGAATTTAAGAATAGATCACAAGTACTAGGATCAAATCTGCTTTCCAAATGTCTTATATTCTATTTCATGATGCAGTTTTGAAGAAAGTGCTATGACATTTGCCAAACACATCTATCAATGCATGGAATATAATGCATCACTTGCTGTCTTTTATGCTCAGTGAAGCTCCAAGCTGAGGTGGTTGCCTCTAGACAAGAACAGCATTAGAGCATTTCTGGTTCAGTATCATTTGGCATGATACAGAGCCATTAATGCAGGTGTCTAAAGGGCTTTGAAAGCACTTGGCAGGTCAGTGCCTTTTAAACATGATTAATAGCCATTAATTAGTTTTATTTAATTTACTATTATATTATAGTCAATTCTAGAGGTAAGATAATACACAAATTTTAAATAACCCAGTAAGAAAGAATACATTAGAATTAAATAACCAAGACTAACCCAAGTCATTAAGAATAAAAATCTTCAAAAAACTTCTGAATATCTAGATCAAAGTTGTCCAGTAGAAATATAATGCAAGCCACATTCATAATTTAAAATTTTCCAGTCACATTAAAAATAAATGGCATTAATTTTAATAATATATTTAATTTTACTCAATATAATAAAAATATTATCATCTCAACATGCAATCAGTTTTAAAAATTAGAGATGTTTTATATTCTTTTTTAATAATAACTTTTTGAAATCTGGTGTGTATTTTATGCTTACAGCATCTCTGAATTCAGATTAGTCATATTTCAAATGCTTAATGGCCATATGTAGAGGCTACCATATTGGACAGTGCAGGTCTAGGTTTTTAAAGTTGAAGCTGGAGCACAAGTTCCTTTTTATTTTATCTTAATGAAAGAAATAGAATGGCTAGTAGGTTACAATTAGAGTAACTAATAAATGCTTAAAATGGCAACCAAGTCTAAGGACATACAGCAAACCACCACTTAATCTTAATAAAGGAAGTGCAATGGATCCATTGCTGATTCAATGCCAAGGTGTAAAGAAACATACAAGCTGCTAGTGACTTCTATTATGCAACAAATAAAACTGTAACCCACAAATCCAAAGGGAAAAGTAAAACTAATGAGCTTTGGTTGGAATGAGACCAATGGTGGAACCAGTTTGACCACACAAGCATTTCTTTTAGGCTCTTGGGGAGATGGATTTAAGGGCCACACTCTAGGCCTGAGGGCAGAGAGCCAAAGGGCAAAAGTGAGATCTTCCAAATATAAGCTTTTATATGTTGCCCATCTGTTAGTCTCCTAAAGAAGCTTGGTGAACTGACAGGCAGACTGACTGGTAGATGTATGGTGTGCTGTTTTAGTATCATATTCCAGTTAATAGTAGGAATAGCTTGCATTTATGCAGCATTCAGTCTTTTAAAGAGCACTTCCATTTATTCCTTTGCAACTTTTTAAAGCAAGTTTTACAAATTATGGCACACTAAGCAAACTAAGGCCCAAAACTTTCATTTTAACAAATGATATTGAGCAATTAATAAGCAAGGAATTATGCTCGGCTTCCAGAGATAATGGTAATTGTTACTTGAGAACATAGATATATAAGATCTCACATATCTAGGTCCCAAATATGACCATTTGAATCATTTGGTTTCAAGGTAATGTGTTCAGGTCTCCTTCAGGCAAATGCCCAAATCTTGCTGTGTAGCTAATCTGTATACTTCTTTATCCTGGTGAACTGGATTTACTATGCATAAGCCTCAAGGAATCCTTTTCTCAGACTGAGGTAGAGCCACCAAAACTCTTTCTTTTTTTCTTTTTATGGGTTCTTTTTAGCCTTTCCATCAGCTTTCCAAGGGGAAGATAAAAGATAATTAAGAATGAGTTGCTTTTGGACTCTTCATTTTTCCAGCCAAAGCTGTACTTAATCTTTAAGACTCTTGGACCTATGTCAGAGCTCTGCTTGCAAGAAGTACACATATTCTATGTAGGTGATGGTGACAGTGTTTGTGAAAAGATGGGTACCACCTCAAATTCTCCCTAGAGGTTAACATGAGATAGAACAGAGTATGTGACTAAAGCATTCCCAATCTTGTATTTTTCTTCCCTTAAATCAATTGACTTAACTTTCAGATCCAATGAACCAGAGATGTTGCTACCTCTTTCAAGAGAGATGAGTGGAGGTTTTTTGTCAGTTTTTTGTATGTGTGTGTGTGTGTGTGTGTGTGTGTGTGCATGTGTGTGTGACTTCTGCAGTCCTTGGCATTGCTTCTATTTATCTTGAAAAAAAATGATAAGCATTTTTATCCATATGGCTATTTGTAAGTGTGCTACTTTTATTGCCCCCAGAAACCACTAAACTATATGACGTAGTTACTTAAATTGGCAGCAAATTCATTCTAAAGCCATATTATAAAATGGGCAAGAATTTCACCTTAATTATTCTCTCAAATTGTTCCTAGCTATTGTTGAACCAAATGTACAAGCTTGATCTATACAGTTATGTGTCACTTAACAATGAGGATATGTTCTGAGAAATATAACCTTAGGTGATTTCATTGTTTGAACACTACAGAGTATACTTCACAAACCTAGATTATACAGCCTACTACACACCTAGGCTATACGGTACAGCCTATTGCCCCTAGAATACAAACCTATAGAGTATGTTACTGTACTGAACATTGTAGGCAATTATAACATGGTGGTAAATATTTGTATATCTAAACACAATTAAACATGGAAAAGGTAGAGTACAGTACAAATATGGCATAAAAGATTTTTTTTAAAAGCACACCTGTACAGTGCACTTACCATGAATGAAGCTTGCAGGACTGGAAGTTGCTCTGGGTGTCAGTGAGTGACTGGTAAGTGAATGTGAAAGCCTAGCACACTACTGTATAATACTGTAGACATTACAAACACTATACTTAGGCAACACTAAATTTATTAAAAATATATTTATTTCTTTCATAATAAATTAACCTTGGCTTTTTGTAACCTTTTTACTTTATAAACTTTTTAATTATTTTTCGCTTTTTGACTGTTTTGTAAAAACTCTTAGTTTAAAGCATGAACACATTGTACAGCTATACAAAAGTATTTTCTTTATATCCTTATTCTATGTTTTTTCTATTTTAAACATTTTATTTTATTTTATTTTATTTTACTTTTAAAGGGTCTTTGTTAAAAAATAAGACACAAGCACACAATGAGCCCAGGCCTACACAGGGTCAGGATCATCAATATCACTGTCTTCCACCTCCACATTTTATCCCATCGGATGGTCTTCAAGGGCAATAACAAGCATGGAGCTGTCATCTCCTATGATAATAGTGCTTTCTTCTGGAATAGTTCCTGAAGGACCTGCCTGAGGCTGTTTTACAGTTAACTATTTTATATAAGTAGAAGGAGTACACTGTAAAACAATGATTAAAAGTATAGTGCAGTAAATACATAAACTAGTAACACAGTCATTTATTATCAAGTATAACATACTATACATAATTGTATGTGTTATGCATGTATACAACTGGCAACGCAGTACAATTGTTTACACCAGCATCACCACAAACACATGAGTGATACATTGTGCTATGACACTAGATAGCTATGACATCACTAGGCAATATGAATTTTTCAGCTCCATTTTAATCTTAGGGAGCCACCATAGTACATGATGTCTGTCCTTCAAAATGTTTTGAGGTGCAGGACTATGTATTTTGTGCTAGACTTATTACAAGTTTAAACAAATAGTACAGTATTAGTAGTATAAAGGTGCCTGAAATTTGTTCTATCATCTTTTACATATGTATTTAATATTACAAGAATTTGTCATCTTTTCAGTGAATTGTTTATTCTTACATAATATGCGAAAGCCCCTCCTTTGGTATAAAAATACTGGATTTCCCTCTCTGACTCTAATGGGAATGAGATCCTTCTTCTGCGGCCTGACTAGAGTTGCTGGAACAGGTTATCTCTCTTTGGCTTTTTCTACTTTCCCAAGTTATTAGAGACAATCAGGAATCACTGCAGCAATCCTGGCCCCCCAAAGACCTTATTATCCAAGAAGTTTGTTGTTGAAGGGTAGGAAATTGATATGGTTTGGCTGTGTCCCCACCTAAATCTCATCTTGAAATGTAGCTCCCACAATTCCCACGTGTTGTGGGAGGGACCAGGTGGGAGGTAATTGAATCATCAGGGTGGGTCTTCCAGGTGCTATTCTCGTGGTAGTGAATAAGTCTCACAAGATCTGATGGTGTTATAATCACCTGCTTCCTCTTTTGCTTGGCTCTCTTTCTCTCTCTCGCCTGCTGTGATGTAAGACATACCTTTCACCTTCTGCCATGATTGTGAAGCTTCCTCAGCCATATGGAACTGTAAGTCCATTAAACCTCTTTTTCTTTATAAGTTATCCAGTCTCAGTTATGTCTTTATCAGCAGCATGAAAACAGACTAATGCAGAAATCAATGGAGAGTTACCTCTAGGGTTAACAAGGTTCTTGGAAGGTCCTTTTGTTTTGGGAGGTCTTCTGTTTTTGTTTTTATGGTGAGAGAGACTTTACATGGTTGTGATCAGAAAGAAAAGTCCACTAAGAAGGAGATGGTTTTATCAGCATTATCTTCAGTAACCCAGGTGAGAATGATGGTGAGGTTGTGATGATAGAGATGTTTCTTGATCAAAAATCAAAGTGATAGCAGAGAAAAAGAAAAAGATGATAGAGCTTATATCACACTCTCATAATCTATGTCAGGTAAAAGACATGGTTATAATTAAGAGTGGGTTTGAGGCCAGGCACGGTGGCTCATGCCTGTAATCCCTGCACTTTGGGAGGCTGAGGCGGGTGGATCACAAGGTCAGGAGATAGAGACCATCCTGGCTAACGTGGTGAAAACCCGTCTCTACTAAAAATACAAAAAATTAGCCAGGCATGGTGGGACACGCCTGTAGTCTCAGCTATTTGGAAGTCTGAGGCAGGAGAATTGCTTGAACCTGGGAGGCAGAGGTTGCAGTGAGCCGAGATTGTGCCACTGCGCTGCAGGCTGGGCAACAGACCAAGACTCCACCTTAAAAAAGAAACAAAACAAAAAAAAAAAAAAAAAAAACAAAAAAAAAACAGTGAGTTTGGAGAAGTAATTTTGAAACAAATGGAAAAAATAGAGAACCTCTCTGTTTTGGAGGATCGGCAGTGGTTTTGAACTCTGGCAATCACCTGTGACCTTTTAAAAACACCAGATGTCAGGACCCCACCTTGGACTAAATGAATTTCTGGGAGGTGGGACTAAGGCCTGGTGTTTTTAGAAGCTTCAGAAGTTTCTAATGTGTAGCCAGGGTTGAGAATCTACTAGTGTGGTGTTGTCATGGAATGTACTGGCAAAAACTGTAATTACTTTTGCACCAACCTAAAACTAAGGTGGTAGTTTCCCACTCAAGACCAGTTAAATTAGAAGTTTGGAGTGTGGGGTCAGGATCAGTGTTTTTCAAAAGCTTTCCAGGTGGTTCCAATGAGTATCTCTGAGAATCACTGCACTGGAGAACCTGGGTGAAAGAATACAAAAGCAGGAAGGGTGGGAGATGGAGGGATTTGCCTCTAAAACTGAGGATGCTCCTTTATATTTTCCAGGAGGTTCTCTTACTTGATCTCTACTTCCTTGGTGTTGATGTTTAACCTCTATTGTGGATTTCCATCACATTCACCCATATTTGGACCCAGAACAAATATATCTGCTATTGTAGCACATCTATTGATGTAAGCATGCCCCACATAGTTTCATTTCCAAGTCTGCCTTAAAACTTCAGACGGCCGGGCACGGTGGCTCACGCCTGTAATCCCAACACTTTGGGAGGCCGAGGCAGGCGGATCATCTGAGGTCAGGAGTTTCAGACCAGCCTGGCCAATATGGTGAAATCGTGTCTCTACTAAAAATATGGAACTAGCTGGGTGTGGTGGTGCATGCCTGTAATCCCAGTTACTCAGAAGGCTGAGGCAGGAGAATTGTTTGAACCTGGGGAGGCAGAGGTTGCAGTAAGCTGAGATTGTGCCATTGCACTCCAGCCTGGGCGAGAGAGCAAAACTCTGTCTCAAAAAAAACAAAACAAAACAAAACTTCAGACTAAACCAGCCTTTGTTCCCCTTGGTCTCCCACAAACCTGGGAAGGGAGATTAAACCATTACTATCTGTATCCTAGGTTTTTACGAGTTTATTCTATGGACTCACGCTAAAGAAAGAAGCCTCAATTTACTTTGACTAAGACTTGACCTGATTCCAATTTACTCTCAGTGTAAAAGGAGACCAGAACTATAAAGGGAACCACAGGCACCGTTTGAATCTGCCTGCTATGCTATATTCCTTATCTAAGTGAATGGCATCGCTATTCCACCTTATGCTGAAGTTTAAACCTTCCAGTTTCATCCTAAGCTTACAAAAGTTGTTGTTATAAGACATAGAACATAGTTACTTAAACTGAAAATAAATTCATTAGTCATGTGTAATTTTTAACTCTTTGGAATTTCTCTTAGAAAACCATTATATCCACTTAATTCTCCAGTTCTATTACTTCGTCCACGTCTCAATTTTTTCATCCTCTTTTCTCTACCTTGACCATCACTGACAAAACTCAAGTCACCATCTCTACTAATGCATTAATTCCCATACTTATCTGCCAACCTCTAGTTCCATTTCAGCTGCCCCTCCCTCCTCCTCCCGCTTAATCCTTCTTTCTCATTGCTGCCAAATTGGCTTATCTCCAATGCAAATGTGATGATTTTACTTCCCTAATCAAATTCTTTTAATGTCTTCCATAGGCTCAAAAGTAACATCTGGGGGTGGCATTCAAAGCCATCATGATGTGGTTCCTGTCTACTTTTCCTGTTTTATTCCTGCTGCTGTCCCTCTTTCCATTCCATAGTGTTCTGTTTTTGCCCACGTGGTACCCTGCCCAGTTAGTTCACCTGACACATTGCTCATCCTTCAGGTCTTAGCTCCATATCTTCTTTCTGAAGCTACCCTTCCTTGCCTAGGCAGCCTGAGGCATCTCTTTGCTTGATAATGCCATCGTTCTTTAGAACATTCTTCCACGAAGTCATTTTCTTCACTCTAATTGCTAATCACATATGTCTCTAATCCCATTAGACTATATGCTTCTTGAAGGTGCAGCTTTTATGTTTGGATTTGAATCTTTAGATAAACTAATAGTATAATTTGAGTCGGCTAAGAGAAAACCAGTGTTGTAACTAATAGCAGAATCTTCACAGTCCATTTAGCACTGAATTATATTAACTCAAAGCTAGTGAGGTCATTATAAGTGATAAATCCAATTTCTTATGACATATATTTTGTAACTAAAGTTTCACTATTATACTACCATTTTTATTTAACAGTAAAAAAGATTTTATTACTGAGTATAGACATTTCAATCTGGAAAATACTCTCTTGTTGCAGCATTCTTGGTCTGTAGTCATGATCTATGATCTATGGTCATCTGTTTCAAAATGCACTTGCTAACATTCTAAAGCTCCCTGACTTGTTTATTAATTCATTTATTTAACACATATTTATTCAATATGCACTAAATATAGAGGACAATGCTAAGGTTGAAGGACTTAAAGACATAAAAACATGGTTTTCCCCTTGTGGAATTAGAAAGTATATAGGCTTTATTTATCTAAATTAATTCTCATAACATCCTGATAGGCAATTATTATCTCTGTCTTATAAATGAGGATATTGCAGAACAGTATTTATAATCTCAAAAGTGTCTTAGAATGCTCATGTTTGTCAAATATAAAATGTGTAAGCCTCTTGTTTTGGAGATTTTCTTATAGTTTACAATGGTGGGTATATTTTTTCCTTTTTTTAATTACACTTTAAGTTCTGGGATACATGCGCAGAACGTGCAGGTTTGTTACGTAGGTATACACGTACCATGGTGGTTTGCTGCACCCATCAACCCCTCATCTACATTAGGTATTTCTCCTAATGCTATCCGTCCCCTAGACCCCCACACCCAACAGGCCCTGGTGTGTGATGTTCCCCTCCCTGTGTCCATGTGTTCTCATTGTTCAATTCCCACTTATGAGTCAGAACATGCAGTGCTTGGTTTTCTGTTCCTGTGTTAGTTTGCTGAGAATGATGATTTCCAGCTTCATCCATGTCCCTACAAAGGATATGAACTCATCCTTTTTTATGGCTGTATAGTATTCCATGGTGTATATGTGCCACATTTTCTTAATCCAGTCTATCATTGATGGACATTTGAGTCGGTTCCAAGTCTTTGCTATCGTGAATAGTGCCACAATAAACATACATGTGCATGTGTCTTTAGTGTAGAATTATTTATAATCCTTTGGGTATATACCCAGTAATGGGATTGCTGGATCAAATGGTATTTCTGGTTCTAGATCCTTGAGGAATTACCACACTGTCTTCCACAATGGTTGAACTAATTTACACTCCCACCAACAGTGTAAAAGCATTCCTATTTCTTCACATCCTCTCCAGCATCTGTTGTTCCCTGACTTTTTAATGATAGCCATTCTAACTGGCATGAGATGTTATCTCACTGTGGATTTGATTTGCATTTCTCTAATGACCAGTGATGATGAGCTTTTTTTCATTATATTTGTTGGCTGCATAAATGTCTGCTTTTGAGAAGTGTCTGTTCATATCCTTTGCCCACTTTTTGATGGGGTTGTTTTTTAAACTTTAATGTTCACATGTCATCCCAGGATCTTGTTAAAATATAGACCTGAGTCAATAGGTCTGGGGGGGGATCTGAGATTCTGCATATCCAATAAACTCTGAGACACCATGCAACTGGTCTATGAACCATGCTTTAATAGCAAAGATTTAGAAATTGTCATTTGTAGAATTCTGTTGCATTGAACATTGTTCTCTTATTCACTGAGTCTTTTATATTGAAGATGGAGTCAGCACTACCTCTAAAAACTTGTTTAAACATGAGGGCTGAGTGTTGAGTTCTCAGATCCTTGATTTTCCTTAGCTCTGAGACCAGTCAATGTGTTTCCACCATAAATCCTCTTTAATGATTCTACCCCACAACAATTGATTTCTCCTTCCAAATATTGCTGTGATTATTAATAGTTACATTTTCATACCTGCTAGCTTTGTTTCCTAACCTGGACTGTAAGCCCCTTAAGGCAGGGACCAGATCTTATTCATTCATTAACCCCCACACTGCTAACATAATGCCGTACATCTGATACCAGTATAGGAGCTTTTATTTACCAAGGAATCTAGTATGTGCCTTGGACTGAACTTCATCTTGTATATGCATTTTCTCATTTAATGTTTCACAAAACATATGAAGTTCTTACCATTTTGCAGATATACAAATTGAGACCCAGATAGTTTGTTAATTAAATAAATTCATGTATTCAGTAGTGGCATGAGAATTTGAATGCAGGTTTAATTCCACAGGCCATGTTCTTTTCTTTCTGACAAACTACACCATTTCCCATTACAGTAGACACTTAATTATACTTGAACTGATGACTAATTCTATGAGCTAATTATTGTTTGAAGCAGAATTGAATTAGAAACTTTATTTGACTTTGTTTTATCCTTCTTTTTTATGGTGAGAACCTCTGTATTAGGAATCAACAAGGGGAATTTCAGGAAATGACTCTGATCTAATTACTGTTATTTTTCAGTCAGGTGAGATTCCTAGACTTTGGCAGATTTCAGGCTGAAAGTGCCATGAGCTTTATTAAATTTTATGAAAGATTGGCAGCCCTGACAAGGCCATTGTCAGTGCTTCTGCCCAGATTAGTGGCTACATGGTTGTCCAATCTTCACCATCACTTCTTCTTTTTTCTTTTTTTTTTTTAATTATGCTTTAAGTTCTAGGGTACATGTGCACAGCGTGCAGGTTTGTTACATATGTATACATGTGCCATGTTGGTGTGCTGCACCCATTAACTTGTCATTTAACATTAGGTATATCTCCTAATGCTATCCCTCACCCCTCCCCCCACCCCACAACAGGCCCCGGTGTGTGATGTTCCCCTTCCTGTGTCCATGTGTTCTCATTGTTCAATTCCCACCTATGAGCGAGAACATGCGGTGTTTGGTTTTTTGTCCTTGCCATAGTTTGCTGAGAATGATGGTTTCCAGCTTCATCCATGTCCCTACAAAGGACATGAACTCATCCTTTTTTATGGCTGCATAGTATTCCATGGTGTATATGTGCCACATTTTCTTAATCCAGTCTATCGTTGGACATTTGGCATGGTTCCAAGTCTTTGCTATTGTGAATAGTGCCACAATAAACATACATGTGCATGTGTCTTTATAGCTGCATGATTTATAATCCTTTGGGTATATACCCAGTAATGGGATTGCTGGGTCAAATGGTATTTCTAGTTCTAGATCCCTGAGGAATCGCCACACTGACTTCCACAATGGTTGAACTAGTTTACAGTCCCACCAACAGTGTAAAAGTGTTCCTATTTCTCCACATCCTCTCCAGTGCCTGTTGTTTCCTGACTTTTCAATGATCGCAATTCTAACTGGTGTGAGATAGTATCTCATTGTGGTTTTGATTTGCATTTCTCTGGCCAGTGATGATGAGCATTTTTTCATGTGTCTTTTGGCTGCATAAATATCTTCTTTTGAGAAGTGACTGTTCATATCCTTCACCTACTTGTTGATGGGGTTGTTTGTTTTTTTCTTGTAAATTTGTTTGAGTTCATTGTAGATTTTGGATATTAGCCCTTTGTCAGATGAGGAGATTGCAAAAATTGTCTCCCATTTTGTAGGTTGCCTGTTCACTCTGATGGTAGTTTCTTTTGCTGTGCAGAAGCTCTTTAGTTTAATTAGATCCCATTTGTCAATTTTGGCTTTTGTTGCCATTGCTTTTGGTGTTTTAGACATGAAGTCCTTGCCCATGCCTATATCCTGAATGGTATTGCCTAGGTTTTCTTCTAGGGTTTTGATGGTTTTAGGTCTAACATTTAAGTCTTTAATCCATCTTGAATTAATTTTTGTATAAGGTGTAAGGAAGGGATCCAGTTTCAGCTTTCTTCATATGCCTAGCCAGTTTTCCCAGCACCATTTATTAAATAGGGAATTGTTTCCCCATTTCTTGTTTTTGTCAGGTTTGTCAAAGATAAGATAGTTGTAGATGTGTAGTATTATTTCTTAGGGCTCTGTTCTGTTCCATTGATCTATATCTCTGTTTTGGTACCAGTACCATGCTGTTATGGTTACTGTAGCCTTGTAGTATAATTTGAAGTCAGGTAGCGTGATGCCTCGAGCTTTGTTCTTTTGGCTTAGGATTGACTTGGCAATGCAGGCTCTTTTTTGGACCCATATAAACTTTAAAGTAGATTTTTCTAATTCTGTGAAGAAAGTCATTAGTAGCTTGATGGGGATGGCCTTGAATCTGTAAATTACCTTGGGCAGTATGGCCATTTTCATGATATTGATTCTTCCTACCCATGAGCATGGAATTGTCTTCCATTTGTGTGTATCCTCTTTTATTTCATTGAGCAGTGGTTTGTAGTTCTCCTTGAAGAGGTCCTTCACATCCCTTGTAAGTTGGATTCCTAGGTATTTTATTCTCTTTGAAGCAACTGTGAATGGGAGTTCACTCATGATTTGGTTGTTTGTCTGTTATTGGTGTATAAGAATGCTTGTGATTTTTGCACATTGATTTTGTATCCTGAGACTTTGCTGAAGTTGCTTATCAGCTTAAGGAGATTTTGGGCTGAGACAGTGGGGTTTTCTAGATATACAATCATGTCATCTGCAAACAGGGACAATTTGACTTCCTCTTTTCCTAATTGAATACCCTTTATTTCCTTCTGCTGCCTGATTGCCCTGGCCAGAACTTCCAACACTATGTTGAATAGGAGTGGTGAGAGAGGGCATCCCTGTCTTGTGCCAGTTTCCAAAGGGAATGCTTCCAGTTTTTGCCCATTCAGTACGATATTGGCTGTGGGTTTGTCATAGATAGCTCTTATTATTTTGAGATACATCCCATCAACAGCTAATTTATTGAGAGTTTTTAGCATGAAGCGTTGTTGAATTTTGTCAAAGGCCTTTTCTGCATCTATTGAGATAATCATCTGGTTTTTGTCGTTGGTTCTATTTATATGCTGGATTATGTTTATTGATTTTCGTATGTTGAACCAGCCTTGCATCCCAGGGATGAAGCCCACTTGATCGTGGTGGATAAGCTTTTTGATGTGCTGCTGGATTTGGTTTGCCAATATTTTATTGAGGATTTTTGCATTGATGTTCATCAGGGATATTGGTCTAAAAATCTTTTTTTTTGTTGTTTCTCTGCCCGGCTTTGGTATCAGGATGATGCTGGCCTCATAAAATGAGTTAGGGAGGATTCCCTCTTTTTCTATTGATTGGAATAGTTTCAGAAGGAATGGTACCAGCTCCTCCTTTTACCTCTTGTAGAATTTGGCTGTGAATCCGTCTGGTCCTGGGCTGTTTTTGGTTGGTAAGCTATTAATTATTGCCTCAGTTTTGGAGCCTGTTATTGGTCTATTCAGAGATTCAACTTCTTCCTGGTTTAGTCTTGGGAAGGGTGTATGTGTTGAGGAATTTATCCATTTCTTCTAGATTTTCTAGTTTATTCGTGTAGAGGTGTTTATAGTATTTTCTGATGGTAGTTTGTATTTCTGTGGGATCAGTGGTGATACCCCTCTGTCATTTTTTATTGCATCTATTTGATTCTTCTCTCTTTTCTTCTTTATTAGTCTTGCTAGTGGTCTATCAATTTTGTTGATCTTTCAAAAAAACGGTTCCTCAATTCACTGATTTTTTTTAAAGGGTTTTTTGTGTCTCTATTTCCTTCTGTTCTACTCTGATCTTAGTTATTTCTTGCCTTCTGCTAGCTTTTGAATGTGTTTGCTCTTGCTTCTCTTGTTCTTTTAATTGTGATGTTAGGGTGTCAATTTAGATCTTTCCTGCTTTCTCTTGTGGGCATTTAATGCTATAAATTTCCCTCTACACACTGCTTTGAATGTGTCCCAGAGATTCTGGTATGTTGTGTCTTTGTTCTCTTTGGTTTCAAAGAACATCTTTATTTCTGCCTTCATTTCGTCATGTACCCAGTAGTCATTCAGGAGCAGGTTGTTCAGTTTCCATGTAGTTGAGTGGTTTTGAGTGAGTTTCTTAATCCTGAGTTCTTGTTTGATTGCACTGTGGTCTGAGAGACAGTTTGTTATAATTTTTGTTCTTTTACATTTGCTGAGGAGAGCTTTACTTCCAAGTATGTGGTCAATTTTGGAATAGGTGTGGTGTGGTGCTGAAAAGAATGTATATTTTGTGGATTTGGGGTGGAGAGTTCTGTAGATGTCTATTAGGTCTGCTTGGTGCAGAGCTGAGTTCAATTCCTGGATATCCTTGTTAACTTTCTGTCTCGTTGATCTGTCTAACTTTGGCAGTGGGGTGTCAAAGTCTGCCATTATTATTGTGTGGGAGTCTAAGTCTCTTTGTAGGTCTCTAAGGACTTGCTTTATGAATCTGGGTGCTCCTGTATTGCATGCATATATATTTAGGGTAGTTAGCTCTTCTTGTTGAATTGATCCCTTTACCATTATGTAATGGCCTTCTTTGTCTCTTTTGATCTTTGTTGGTTTAAAGTCTGTTTTATCAGAGACTAGGATTGCAACCCCTGCCTTTTTTTGTTTTCCATTTGCTTGGTAGATCTTCCTCTCTCCTTTTATTTTTGAGCCTATGTGTGTCTCTGCATGTGAGATGGGTTTTCTGAATACAGCGCACTGATGGGTCTAGAATCTTTATCCAATTTGCCAGTCTATGTCTTTTAATTGGAGCATTTAGCCCGTTTACATTTAAGGTTAACATTGTTATGTATGAATTTGATCCTGTCATTATTATGT
The DNA here is from genome assembly GCF_000001405.40 of Homo sapiens. Classification (NCBI taxonomy): domain Eukaryota; kingdom Metazoa; phylum Chordata; class Mammalia; order Primates; family Hominidae; genus Homo; species Homo sapiens. The sequence continues at coordinate 149,641,926 of NC_000002.12, forward strand.
TAGCTGGTTATTTTGCTCGTCAGTTGATGCAGTTTCCTCCTAGCCTCGATGGTCTTTACAATTTGGCATGTTTTTGCAGTGGCTGGTACCAGTTGTTCCTTTCCATGTTTAGTGCTTCCTTCAGGAGCTCTTTTAAGGCAGGCCTGGTGGTGACAAAATCTCTCAGCATTTGCTTGTGTGTAAAGTATTTTATTTCTCCTTCACTTATGAAGCTTAGTTTGGCTGGATATGAAATTCTGGGTTGAAAATTCTTTTCTCTAATAATATTGAATATTGGCCCCCACTATCTTCTGGCTTTTAGAGTTTCTGCCAAGAGATCAGCTGTTAGTCTGATGGGCTTCCCTTTGTGGGTAACCCGACCTTTCTCTCTGGCTGCTCTTAACATTTTTTCCTTCATTTCAACTTTGGTGAATCTGACAATTATGTGTCTTGGAGTTGCTCTTCTCAAGGAGTATCTTTGTGGTGTTCTCTGTATTTCCTGAATCTGAATGTTGGCCTGCCTTGCTAGATTGGGGAAGTTCTCCTGGATAATATCCTGCAGAGTGTTTTCCAACTTGGTTCCATTCTCCCCGTCACTTTCAAGTACACCAGTCAGATGTAGATTTGGTCTTTTCACATAGTCCCATGTTTCTTGGAGGCTTTGTTCGTTTCTTTCTATCCTTTTTTCTCTTAACTTCTCTTCTTGCTTCATTTCATTCATTTCATCTTCCATCACTGATACCCTTTCTTCCAGTTGATCGAAGTGGCAACTGAGGCTTGTGTATTCGTCACGTTGTTCTTGTGCCATGGTTTTCAGCTCCATCAGGTCCTTTAATGACTTCTCTGCATGGGTTATTCTAGTTAGCCATTCATCTAATCTTTTTTCAATGTTTTTAACTTCTTTGCCATGGGTTCGAACTTCCTCCTTTAGCTCAGAGTAGTTTGATCGTCTGAAGCCTTCTTCTTTCAACTCGTCAAAGTCATTCTCTGTCCAGCTTTGTTCCATTGCTGGTGAGGAGCTGCATTCCTTTGGAGGAGGAGAGGTGCTCTGATTTTTAGAATTTTCAGTTTTTCTGCTATGTTTTTTCCCCATCTTTGTGGTTTTGTCTACCTTTGGTCTTTGATGATGGTGACGTACAGATGGGGTTTTAGTGTGGATGTCCTTTCTGTTTGTTTTCCTTCTAACAGTCAGGACCCTCAGCTGCAGGTCTATTGGAGTTTTCTGGAGGTCCACTCCAGACCCTTTTTGCCTGGGTATCAGCAGCAGAGGCTGCAGAACAGCGGATATTAGTGAAAAGCAAATGTTGCTGTCTGATCGTTCCTGTGGAAGTTTTGTCTCAGAGGAGTACCCGGCCGTGTGAGGTGTCAGTCTGCCCCTACTCGGGGGTGCCTCCCAGTTAGGCTACTCAGGGGTCAGGGACCCACTTGAGGAGGCAGTCTGTCTGTTCTCAGATCTCAAGCTGTGTGCTGGGAGAACCACTACTCTCTTCAAAGCTGTCAGACAGGGACATTTAAGTCTGCAGAGGTTTCTGCTGCCTTTTGTTGGGCTATGCCCTGCCCCCAGAGGTGGAGTCTACAGAGACAGGCAGGCCTTGAGCTGCAGTGGGCTCCACCCAGTTCGAGCTTCCTGGCTGCTTTGTTTACCTACAATGGTGGGCTCCCCTCCCCCAGCCTTGCTGCTGCCTTGCAGTTTGATCTCAGACTGCTGTGCTAGCAATGAGCGAGGCTCCATGGGCGTAGGACCCTCCGAGCCAGGTGGGATACAATCTTCTAGTTTGCTGTTTGCTAGGACCATTGGAAAAGCACAGTATTAGGGTGGGAGTGACCCGATTTTCCAGGTGCTGTCTGTCACCCCTTTCCTTGGCTAGGAAAGGGAATTCCCTGACCCCTTGCGCTTCCTGGGTGAGGTGATGCCTTGCCCTGCTTCGGCTCATGCTCAGTGCACTGCACCCACTGTCTTGCACCCACTGTCCGACAATCCCCAGTGTGATGAACCCGGTACCTCAGTTGGAAATGCAGAAATCATTCATCTTCTGAGTCACTCACGCTGGGAGCTGTAGACTGGAGCTGTTCCTATTCGGCCATCTACATGTTCTTTCTTCCCTCATCATCACTTCTTTACTTCTTTTATTTCACTTCTGGCTTTCTGTCCTCCCACGCTGAGGAAGACTGATTTGGTGGACATGTATTTATTCTGCTGAGTACCAGTTGATGTGGAAGTAGTTGTTTTATAGTCAACATGTTTTTATGACTAATGATCTGTCTTATGACAGTTTCACCTATAAGAGGAAATATACTTATGTCTAGGTGGACTCCAATGTGTCTGTTTACTGATACTTATTTATTCATTATTTTCAAGTAAAATGTAGAAGTGAATAACTTAAGAGAATAACTATTTTTATGAGAGAAAAATACCCACTTTCTTTTTTATTACTTTGTTCCTCTAGAGGTTCATGAATAATATATTGAACATGTGAGGAGTGAGGCCTGTCTAGCTCTTTTCCTAACATCTTCCACTCCTGTGGCCTCTTATTAGGTACCTTTCTCAGTGAAGATATACAATAAGAATTTTGCATGCTTATTGGGAATTTATCTGTGAAAAATCACTCAAATGTCATTAAGTCTTTTCTGATAAACCTTAATCATCCAACAACCAGAGTTTTTCTTAAAATAGCTGTTGCTCTAGAAGAATACCATAGAATGAAGTTGCTTCCTAGCATGGCAGTCAAGGATCCTGGTTCCAAGTATGAGCTCTGAAGAAGATAGACTATGTTCACCGCTTACTATAGCTGAGTGCCCTTGGACAATTCATTTAAACTGCCCCTAATTTTCTTCCATCATCTGTAAAATGAATGTAATAATAGCTCTTAATGAGTATTAAATTAGATAATAAGGGCACTGGCATTTATTAAGAACTTAATAAATGTTAGCTTTTGTTATTTCACATTTTTCCTTGATCACTCCTACCAGGAATAAAATTCTGGGAGGGTATAAGTAGGTAGTGAAGTGCTAACTGGTCTGGTTAATTGTTAGAGTTCTGTTAAAAAAAAGTTATTTGAAAAAAGTATTTTGGAGCTAGGATCTAATTTATTAATATATCTGGATTTTCTTTTTCAATTTTGGTGTCCATTATTCACATAAGTAATTGTGGTTTTGCTATATTTTTTCCTCCTGAAAAATTATGGCTATACAACTAACTTTATTGTATACTGAATTTTGGAATTTTTTAGGATTTGATGTTCTTACTGGGGAGAGGATTTTGAATTATTTAACCACTTTCCCTTTGAGCTTCTTATCCACAGATGGATCCACTTAGAATAAATGAGGACTACACCAACATGAAAAGGGCTAAAATAATGACACTTTTCATAAGAAACTAGTAATAATACTTGGTAGTTTTTTAATACTTTTCTTCCACATAGATTTGGGTTATCTTAGGCTATACTGTATTTGGTTGGAAGCTTAATAAATAACCACCACAGGACATTTATATCTTTCAACATCCATTTTTTTCTTGGACCCAAGATTACCTATATAGCACTTAAGTTAAACTTCTACTCTCTTTATGTGCATACTTAGACATTGAAGCATAGACCATTTATTCTTACAGGTCAAGACCCTGTAAAAATTAATGAGATGTGTCAGAATGGTGCCTTTGGGGATGACAAAACTGGAGTGCAATTCCAGATGGAAGACAAAGCATGTTCTGCCAGTGGGGGGCATTACTGGCCTAGTGCAGTAGGAAAAGTTTTTCAGTCCTGGAGATCCTCTGTTATGGACTATCCATAAGGACAAACTCAGCATATTTTAAACTATAAGCTGGGATAGCTAAAAATACAAGATTATGTTAAAAATATTTTCAGACCCCTTCTATATTGTTCCAAATCTCTTTCTAAGTGGGCTCTGTTTTTCAGAGTATCATCTACAAAATGTACATATAAAGAAGGAGTGATTTGCTTTACCATAAGAGTGTTTATTCACTAGAATATTTTATGTAGGATTCTTTTAAATCAAGACTCACTAACCCAAGTACTTATAGGGGTCAGGTAGAATATATAAGTAAGTAAAGGGGGCTGGATGGAGAACTAGCTAGACAGTTCAATCCACTTGCTAGAACTAGTCTCATATGTTCATTCACCTATCTCTAGCTGGTGTGGTAAAAATAACAATGGCCTCAGAGTTTACAGATTTGAGTTTTGGGTTGAGCTCTTTCACTTATTGGCTCTATAACTTTGGACATCAGTGCTTCATCGACATGAAGACATGTTGAAATACATGCTCTCTAAGGTGACTTCCAGTTTGAGTGATGGAAGTGTGTGGACACCAATCACCTCAGCCCTCTACCCTACAGATTTCTAAATCATAGAGGAAAATCACAAGGAGCCAAATGGAAATAAAATATCGGCTTTATTCAGAAGTCTTTGATAGTGTCCAGATAGAGGGCACTGAAGGGCTTTCGACTTCTCTCTCTGAATGGAGACCTCAAGAACCATTCCTTTAGACTTACTCCCTACTCCTGTGACTGCCCCAGAAATAAAGCCAAAACAAGTTTTTGATGAGGTGAGGAGGCCCTATGTGAAAAGTGTAAGTGCAAAGTCTGTAAAACTTGAATACAGACAGGTGGAAGAAAAATACAGAAAAAATAAATTATGCTGTACTTAGAGACGTGGTGGCTCACACCTGTAATCCCAGCACTTTGGGAGGCCAAGGCGGGTGGATCACGAGGTCAGGAGATTGAGACTATCCTGGCTAACACAGTAAAACCCTGTCTCTACTAAAAATACAAAAAAAAAAAAAAAAAAAAAAAAATTAGCTAGGCGTGGTGGCAGGCACTTGTAGTCCCAGCTACTCCAGAGGCTGAGGCAGGAGAATGGCGTGAACCTGGGAGGCGGAGCTTGAGTGGGCCGAGATCGCCCACTGCACTCCAGCCTGGGTGACAGAGCGAGACTCCATCTCAAAAACGAAACCAAACAAACAAACAAGAATGATATTTTCCTCCTAATCTCACCCAGAAGAGAAACACCAACCACCCAGTGCATGCTAAGCTCACACTGGCCTCACAAAGTAGACATGATGGGGCAATACTTTCCAAATCAAATTGAAGTATTTGACATTAGCCCCACATCATTCACACACACTTATACTAATAAGGATTTTTAGCCACAGAAAATGAATTTTTAGTCTAACTAGTTTAAGCACAAAGGATTTATTGAGTGTGAAGACAGCTTAAAGAATTTTGGGGAAGAGTGAAACAACTTCCAGGTATGATTTCAAAAGTCCCTAGACTGCCCAGGGAGCTGATTCCCCTGCTTGATTAGGAAGTTGCAGCTGCCAACTCCAGAACCTTATTACCTCTTATAATTTACCATGAAGAAGTTACCAAATCAGAGAGCTACTTCTATAACTGTCAGCTCTAGAACATACTTTCCTTTCCATGGTTCTTGCTGGAAAAATGAATGCCTTGCACTCTGCCTCTCTCCCCAGGCAGGTCAGTGTGAACCAAAATTTTGTGTCAGCACATTTGATAGGCAGAGGCCAGATCTCATCCAGAACCTACCTGCAAGGGTTCTGGGAAATGTAGATTTTAGTTTTCCAACACCCAATGTTTTTAGACTGGAAGTTGAATGAATCACTTCATCATCCAGAAAGTCATGTTTCCTATCAGCCTTTTTCCTCACAAGGATACAGGAAGCTTAACATCACAAGCAGGGCAGGAGGAGCTGGTACTTGATGTGTTTAGCAAAGCAATAGTCATAAAGAATTAGAAGTTATTTAAAATTTTAGCATTAGTCAGGCACAGTCCCAGCTACTTGGGAAGCTGAGGCAGGAGGATTGCTTGAGCCCAGGAGTTCAGGGTTGTAGTACACTATGATCATACCTGTGAGTAGCCATTGCACTATAGTCTGGACAACATAGCAAGACCCAGTCTCCTAAAAGGGGGAAAAAAGGAGAAGAAACAGGGGAAGCAGCCAAAATGGCCGAATAGAAACAGCTCAAGTCTGTGGCTTCCACTGAAAAGAATGAAAATGGCAAGTGAACTCTGCATCTTCAACTGAGGTACCCATGTTCTCTCATTGGGCCTGACTAGGCGGTTGGCACTATCCATGGATCTCATTCATGAAATGAAAAATGATATAGAGGATAGCATCACTGATCCCACAGAAATACAAACAACCACCAGGGAATACTATAAATACCTCTATGCAAATGAACTAGAAAATCTAGAAGAAATGGATAAATTCCTGGATACATACACCTTCCCAAGATGGAACCAGGAAGAGGCTGAATCCCTGAATAGGTCAATAACAAGTTCTGAAATTGAGGCAGTAATAAATAGCCTACCAACAAAAAAAGCCCAGGACCAGACGGATTTACAGCTGAATTCTACCAGAGGTACAAGGAGGAGCTGATACCCTTTCTTCTGAAACTATTCCAAACAATTGAAAAGGAAGGACTCCTCACTAACTCATTTTAAGAGGCCAGCATCATCCTGATACCAAAACCTGGCAGAGATACAAGAACAACAACAAAAACTTCAGACCCATTGTAGAAGGCAGATATAATGGAAGGACAGGGAGAGAGGAGTGAGTCACAGAGAGGTAGAGGAAAGTAGATGTCAGGATCATTTTTTTCCTCCACTGTTAGAACCAAACAGGAGAAATCATGGGATTCAGCTTCCTAGCAGGTTCCTCTCTCACCCAATAAACTCAATGGGGCAGCATGGATAAGCTGAGGGACTGCTGGAGTACAGCTTTCCTAAGACATTGCATTTCTGTGTATTGTGTGGTTGTGCAAACCGGATTCCTGTGTGGCCCTGAGTGGAGAGGATATGAAAGGCAGATAAGTTGAATATCAGCAGACACACTAACCAGAGTCACAAGGAGTGAGTCACCCTTCAGCAGAGCTGAGAGCTGACAACCCAGGCCTTGGAACTGGATGGAAACTGTGGAGACATTTAGAGGGATGTGTAGTGTCATGGAAAGCTGAGATGAGGCTGAATCAGAGATGAGGCTGAACAGCTGGTTTCAAACCACTGGGCGGAGAAAAACCAGCTCTTCACCGGAGCCTCCCATTATCTGTGAATTCCAGCAAGATGAATAGCAACTGAGAAGACAAGCAACATTGCTGAAGAGACCAGGGGACATAGAGGACACTGTATGGATATGAGGACTTCTTTATCCCTAAAGCCCTAAAGCTTTAGATAGCAATCTTGGTGCGAAACTGGGGTAGGAGGCTAGGAATCTAATCAACGAAGTGCTTTCTACCTAAAGAGATTACACTTTATTTTTAAAAAGTGCTTAAAATATCATAAGGTTATTGGATTGAACTAAATGTTAACTTCTTCCTGTTACTAACAGGCTTTAAGAAGATGATCCAGGCAGTTGTAACCCAAATAATGATGTAGATTTTCTTTGTACATGTGGGTTTTAGAGTGAGTAACTTTGTGACACTGACAGATATCTCTTTTTCTGACAGAAACATCTTCCCTATCACTTCACTAGGAAGTAGAAGTATTGCTTCCCTGACTTAAAGCAGGGATGTTGCCAGAGTGGGAGATGGGTCTACATCCCCACACTTAGAATCTGTGCATTTATTGAGATAAGCTTTACTCTGCATTGCAAAGGGTTAAACCAAAGAAAACACCACCACCACCACCACCACCACCACCACCAACAACAACAACAATAAGCAAACCCTAGAATACCTTTTTTACTAGTAGAGCAGATGTCAGCAAACTACAGCCTGTGGGCCAAATCTGTCTTGTCACCTAAAGTTTTATTGGAACACAACCATTCTCATTCATTTACATATTATCTATATCTGCTTTGTCAAACTTAAGTAGTTGGAACAGAGATTGTATGTCCCACAAAGCCTAAAATGTTTACTATCTGGCCCTTTATGGAAAAGACAAAGCTTGCCAATGTCTTCCATAAAGTATAAAAAATAAGTACATGCTAGTGAAATGCATTTTATACTAAAGGAACACAGAATTGGAGGGGAATCATCATGGGATAGTGTTCACCAAAAATGATTTTCTAGAAGAGCAGGATGCATCTGGCTGGGCTTGTAAGAGAAGGCAGGATGGTGTTCATTTTTCCTTCAACAGGGGCTGGATGAAAAGTGTCCCAAAACCAAGCCCTAAGATGTCATCATGGCTTAGCTACTTTATAGTTGAGTGGCATGGGAATGAAGTGACTGGGTAGTTACTTTAATAATAAGATTGAATAATTGGCTAATAGTTGTCATGCTCTAAAGCAGACACAGCTGTCTCACAAAGTTGTTCTCACTCATAGAACATTCTTACCCACTCCCTCTTGGTCATCTGCAGACAAGCATGACGAGCTTGGGCCAAAGGTGAAGACCATGGAGCCACAAGATGGGTGGAGCCTATGATGCTAAATCACTGCTTAGAGGAGAGGCTCCTGCTGATAAAGAATACTGATTTTGGACTTCCTGTGAGAAAAAAGAAAACTTTTAATATGTGTGAGCCATTGTATACTTTTAGGTTTGTTATGTCAATTGATACTATTTTAATGCCTGAAATTGTTATTGGAAGTGGAGTGCTGCAAAACAAAACCAAAATAAACTAAACTAAAATGTATTTCAGCAGTGGGGATGGCAAAAGAATTGATATCAAGCCTGGAAAATGAAGATCCACATTATGTAGCTTCAAAACATTTGGAAAATCTATTCCTTTCCATAATCTGAAAATAAGACCCCATCGAACCTACTGAGGCTATAACTTGGAGTGATGAGAAATGCCAGAATAATAGTATATATTAAGTTTTAGTTTTTATGTTTAGTATTGTATTGTGAGATATAGATGAATTCAGGAGAAAATTGGCAAATCTCCAGTATAAATAAAGGGAATAAAGAATATCTAGAAATTTGAGGTCTTGAGAAAGCCAACTACAAGCGGCTACTGGGTTCCTATCAAATTCAATTATTAACCACATGTCAGGCACTGGCTTGTGGCTGACTGTCAGGATTCTAATCCTAGCCCTACCACGCATTGTTTGTGTGACAGTAGATGTGTTATTTGACTTTTCCAATGGAGAGAGGTCAGAGGTGAAGTGGCCCTGAAGGTTAAAGCGGGTCTTTAAGAAGCTGAGACTATGAGGAAGCAGAAACTATCAGTGAGCAGGAATACGAGGCAGAGAGAAAACCTGTGCTTTTGTGGTGAGGACTTCAGTGTGTGTGGTCTGGAGAATGGAGCAGATGAGCACTCGTGGGACAGGCAAATCCCTTCAATGGTAGATAAGAACTTTGTGGACTTTCCCTGCTAAGGTTTTGAGAAATGCCATTGCTCTAGAACTCTAGTCTCTACAAGGCCTCATGCTAGTACACTCTTGCCGAGTCTGTCCTGCAGACTCTGGCTGAGCAACAGGTGAAAGAAGTACACAGACACAGGTATTTTGCCTGAGAGTGCGGCTAGGGGACTGCATGGCCTAGCACTGCCAAGCACTGCCAACTAGAGTGCAGCCCCGATAAGCCGGAGCTGTTTGTACTTATTTAGTACAGCTTTAATGACAAAGGCCTGAAGCCAACACAACCTGTGGATAATTAACATTGTCCTCCCCGCTTGCAGGGAGCAGTCTTGCATGCAGATGATCAAAGGTTGTTTTCCAGACAACATAAGTAAATAAACTTATCTAGATAAACTCCCTTACGTTTGCTTGCACCTACTTCTTGCCCTCTGCTTCAGGGTAATAGAATTAACTGCCTTCAGCTTTTATTCTCTCCTGAAGCTTTGCAAAACCTCCGGGCCTTCCAAGAAGGTTTGCATTTTTCCTTATAACTTTTGCCACCACCCTGACCAATCTCCTACACACTCTTCTTGTATTCTATGAGATTTGCCATTCCTCATTTTTTCTTTTTATTCTAAAATAACTCCACTTCTTACTTAAGATAAACTGAGTGAACCTAGCAAAAACATCTATGATTAAATAAGTATTTAACTTTTATGTATCTATATTGGGATGGAGAATTTGGCTTTGGTAATGGAATAAATTGTCAGGCAAACCTATCAGCCTAGTCTGTAGAGATATTTTTGCAAAATAAGATGCTTGTGCTCAGGTATTCAATTGTAACTTGCTTCTTTCACTCCTCCCTAATTGCTAACTTCTTTGCCTGTTAAATTTGTGATTATATTTTAACAAAAAAGTAAATAGTGAAATTAAAAACACATAGTAAAGAAAATTATATTAGTCATATGGGAAATTTTCACTGTTTTTGAGTGAAGACATGTCAAAGTGTCCCTAAAAAGAAAAATCCTGCTCCACAAAGTATCTAATGATCCTGTTAAATCCACTATTTTGTCCTCATCATTTTTTTTCTGAAATTTGACCCCTTTAATTTATTTTGGGATAGCATTTGGTGTGGAAAGGTAGAAAAGTCAATGAGAGCTTGTTAAAAAAAAATTCCTTTGGGAGAGGGTGGTTGGTGCTGGGCCAACTCCCCTGTTCCTTACCAGCACCAGCCTTGAGTTGCAACTGCAGCAGCAGAATGGTCGCCGGGAGTTTCATGAGCATTGACTTTTCCTACCTTCCCCTCTTCTGCCCTGGTAAAATTAACTTTCTGTGCGTCCAGGTACTTCAGCTACAGCTTTTTAATGTTAGCTGAATCACCAAGGGTCTGAAAGGAAGAACATTTATTACGTACCCACTCGGTTCCAGATGCTTTTAAATATGCTCTCTCAGCCAATACACATTGTTGTTATCATCTCTATTTTACAGATAAGGAAGTTTAGAAAGACTTAGTGGCTTGTGCAAGATCATCAGTTTTTCAAGTATCAAGATGTTCTGATTCCAAAGCTCATTTTTCTTCCACTTGCTCATGTTACCTCTTGAGCAAATTCTTTAGGAGGCAGGAACATTATTGGGAAAGTTACAGGAGGCAGTTCTTTCTATAGCCTCATGATACACAGGATGTAACAACTTACTCCACTAGACCAGAGTGTATCCTATCTGAAGCACAAAGACACTATACATGTAACTAGAAATCTTAGATAGCACGGATTTTTAGTTCAGAAGGGGAAACAGGGAGGAGGGTTGCAATCTCTTTCTTCTGTGCATTTTGACTTCATTTCATTTCTCTTCATGCTCCTTGGCATGCTTTATTCAAAAGAAGCTCCTAACCACATTTGCCTGTAGTATGCCTCATAATAGCTAGGGCCCCAGCAAGCCCGGAATGCTCAGAGTTGAGGCAAATGTGCTGATGACAATGTTCATTTTGTAAGCAGCCACCAGAGCCTCATCAGCCACACATCATCAGGTCTGCATCAGTCCTGGCTTCATAGCAATTTAGCTGTGCCAGTTCCTCCTTGCTCTTCCTCCACTCCAATAACTTACAAAAATAAAAACATTCTTCACATTTAAAATCGCATTTTTATAATCATGGAAAGAAGACAAAGGAACAGGGATTTTTCCGTTTGGAATAACTGGGGGACATACTGGACCACAAGTGAGAATTCTAACTTGAACTCTTCCAGTAGAACTCTTCTACCTTGCTCTATACAAGGAAGTTGCTGAATAGATTATTCATTGGTGCCTCAGCTGATTTTATAATTCTATGACTATGGGCTAGTGAGAGCCCAGATATCTCAGTCATGGGCTAACATCATAATGTGAAGTAGCACCACCAAATGCACCATGTTATTCTTTGAATAACTCATTCATTTGTTCACCAAATACTTGCTGAATGCCAGTTGCATGCCAGGTACTGTTGTAGGCACTTGAATTACAGGAGAAAGCAAGCTAGCCAACCTCCCTTCCCTCATTGAGCTTTTTTTCCCTACCGGGGAGGGAGAAAATAGACAAGTAGGGACATACAAGGAATAATTTATGGTAGTAATGACTGTTCTGAAAGCTATAACACTAGCAATGTGATAGAGATGGGAAATAGATAGGGAGGATAGGCTGACAAAGGGGTATAGAGATCTCACTGAAATCTAAGGAGTAAGATTTGACCTGAGACCTGAGTGTCATGAAGGGGTCTTCTCTCTGGCCAGCATCATCTCCCACCTGGATTGCTGTGACACCATCTTCATGGCCAGCCTGCCTCCAGTCTTCCCCACCTCCAACCCACCTCACTCACTGCTGTCAGATTGTCTGCTAAATTTCTATGTGACGACATCACAGCCTGACTTTAGCCTTTCCAGAATTCTCCTGGACCTGCGGGATAATGTGAAAACCTTATGGCAGAATTTATGTGAGCCTTTATGATCTGTCCTCTAGGTATTTTTTAGCCTAATTTTTAGTCAATGGAGATAAAGCAGACATTCAGCCAATCTTTGGCCATGCCCTGAATCTGGCTGTTTCTGGCTGGGTTGTGCCATTACCTCTGCCTCAGCCCTCTAACCGTACTTGGCTCCTGCTGCATTCCTACCCATTCCTTATCTTTTGAAATCCCAGGTCAGACAGCCCCTCCCCCATGAATTCTTTTTGAATCACCTCTTTCACCATTATCACCTGGCACTTCAGATATAAATATTTTCTCTCTGTCAAGTTCCTGTAGCCTATTGTGCACATTTCTGTGATACCACATTATATGACATTGTGGTAATTTGTTTGCATGTGGGTCTTTTTCAATAGATTATGAACTCTCCAATAGGTAGGGGTTTAAATACCAATATTCCTAGTGCTCTGCACATTTGCTTGCATATAGTAAGGGTGCAAATAACATTCATTTAATGCATTAAGATATATTCTTCATCCTATGTGCTAAAGTCAAGGTGTTGGTAGAGATGTATGTGCAGTTAAGTTTGGTCTAATTGTGCCATGATCCATATTGTGTAATACTTTTAGGGGAAGATACGAGGTATGAACTTTTAGTATAGGCATAGAATCTTGTAATATAGATGCAGAACCAGGAAATAAGGAGAGGGAATGGAGAGAATAGGAGCTTGAAGGGGCAGGAAAAAAAAATGAAATTTCTGTAGAAAGTAACACTTTTTTCTGTTCTTCTGACCACCTCAAATATTTTCAAAAGTGAGAAATACGATTATTATTATTATCATGATTATTTTTTAGACTTTTGCTGTGTTGCCCAGGCTGGAATGCAGTGGTGCAATCTTGGCTCACTGCAACCTCCGTCTCCTGGATTCAAGTGATTCTCCTGCCTCAGCCTCCCAAGTAGCTGGGATTACAGGCACACACCACCATGCCCAGCTAACTTTTGCATTTTCATTACAGATGGGGTGTCACCATGTTGGCCAGGCTGGTCTTGAACTCTTGACCTCAAGTGATCTGCCCACCTCGGCCTCCCAAAGTTCTGGGATTACAGGCATGAACCACGGCACCCAGTCTATCTTTTTGTTTTCTATTTTAAATTGTGTAAATTGTATAATTAATATATAAATGCATTCCAATTATACAACTCAAGCACTATTCAAGAGAGCTAAAGTCCTCTGTGATATGCTGAATAATGGCCTCCCTAAAGATGTTCATATCCTAATCCCTGGGTCTTGTGGATGTTACTTTACTTGATAAAGGGAGTTAAAGATTTTGAGATGAAGAAATACTGTTGGATTATACAGGCAGGTTCAAGGTAATGACAAGTGTCCTTCTGAAAAGAGGCAGGAGGATCTAAGTCAGAAGTGGAAGTTGTGACCATGGAAGCAGGTGGTGGGAGTGAAGCAAGGAAGGGGCTGCAAGGTAGCCTCTAGAAGCTGAAAAAGGCAAAGAAATGGATTCTGCCTTAGAGCCCCAGAAAGAATCATCTCTGCCAACACCATGACTTTAGCTCAGTGAGACTGATTTTGGATTTTGGATTTCTATCCTCTAGAAGTGTAAGATAATCAATTCATGTTTTGTTTTGATTTTTCATTTTCAACTTTTATTTTAGAATCAGTGGGTATCACATGGGTGCAGGTTTGTTACATGAATGTATTGTGTGATTCTCAGGTTTGGGATATGATTGAACCCACCTACATAGTGAGCATAGTACCCAATAGGTAGTTTTTCTGCACTCACCCCCTTACCTGTCTCCCCTTCTAGTAGTCCCCAGTATCTATTGGTCTTGTCTTAATGTCCATGTTACCCAATATTTAGCTTCCACTTATAAGTGAGAACATGCAGTATTTCATTTTCTGTTTCTGCATTAGTTTGCTTAGGATTATGGCCTCCAGCGGCACCTGCGTTGCTGCAAAGGACATGATTTCATTCTTTTTTATGGCTGCGTAGTATTCCAAATTCATTTTTTTTTTAAAGCCACTAAGTTTGTGGCAAATTACAACAGTGGCAATAGGAAACTAATATAGTCTCTCAATTTCACTCCCTCTACCAAATATAACCCAAAATTATTAATGTGGTGTGTATCCTTCCAGGCTTTTAAAAATATATGTATCAATATATATAACTGTGCATGTGTAAATAGTTTGGTTTTTGAATGATTTTTTAAAAAAATTTTGCTGCATATGTATTCTGTAATTTTCTTTTTCACTTACCACTGTTTCTTGGGTATTTTTAAAATCAGTATATTATAACCTATTTCATTCCTTTCAACTACATTTTGATTCTTCCATTCTATGGATCTTCCATAGTTTATATTATATTTCAGTAATTATTTGATATAATTACTGAAATTATAATAAATTGTTGAGATTTACCTTTCTGGTTGAAAAGCATAGTCAGGGTTTTGTTCAGGATATTAAATAAAAACCCAAATTTAACTGTACATGATCATCATTGGAAATACTATATTTCTCTCAAAGGAATGGTTACATCTCAATGTGCCTTGGAGAAAGCAATGTTAACAAATCCTCCCTGATCCAAGATTTTCATTTATGATTTTTTTTTTAAATCTTGAAGTTTTATGAACAACTGTGTATTTCATTCGCAGATAGATTTATATATAGCTTTAACAGATTAAAAATAATAGTAAAAAAAAATCCCACCCTACAAAACAGTCTTTTTTTGAGGCAGACTTGTCAGAGCAGGTTGCAACACATAATGAGATGTCATAGACTGGTGAGATATGCAAAGCAGGTTCAAAAAAACTGTCAATACTGCATAGTGACTTTAATACTGAAGATAGTAAATCTGGGGAAAAAGAAATCCATTGGCTGCCATTCTATTTAAATGACTGGAAATATGTAGTTATCAAAGCTCTGATAAATGTTCCCTGTAGGTCAAGTTCTTTCTTTTAAAAAAAGGACTACGGTTTTATAGAATCGTTTTGGAAACTGAATGCACTTTGCTACCCGAGCCCTACTCAAAGCACTTGCTGTCAATCAGTGGAAAAGATTTGGCCACCACCTTTGTGTTAAACATAAATGTAGTCGAAATGTTTAATGGATTAAAACGGTGCTGTTTAATTTGAAATGGAATTTCCCACCATCCTAGCTTAGGTAGTTAGGATTCTGTAAGTTTGCTTTTCATTCCAGCCTGGTTTATAGACACAATAAAGAAGAGGCAAGCAATGGGTTTAGAATGCAAGTGTGTCAAATTGAGGAGACAGGCCTCCTTTTGGTAGAAGGAGAGGGGGAAAATCACCCCATTAACTGCAACTTGTTAAAATTTACCAAGTCTCTATAGTTTATTAGCCCTTTTTTCCCTCTTCACACCAACAGAGTAGGTAAAAGATAAGCAGCAACAAGGAGAGACATTATATGCAGAGGTGAACACTGATATGACAGAGTCTTCTCTTAATAACAAACAGTGTTAGCTCTCTAGGAGGTAGACAGTATGAAGTGCAACAGAAACTGTAATTATGCTCTCAGCAGGGAACCTATATTTAGAGTGACAGTAAGAGTGTCTCTAAAAACCTTCTAGGTTAAGGCTGCTAGTCTTAATTACATGTATTAGGAGTTTGTGTCTTTACTTTTTCCCTTTTAAAATTCAAAGAAGAAACCTAATTACAACTTGGACCCTAGTAAATTGGGCCACATTTAAACAATGAACATTTGGCAATCTCATCATGCATCATGACGCATCTGACTGGTACAGCTGCTATGGAAGCCAAACTGGCTCCCCCAAATAATTTGTTTTTGCTGCCTCCATGACAGAGGAACAACAAACAAATGCTAAACAAGGGAAATAATGAAATTATGCTTTTTTTCAGTCAATGACACCCAAACCTTCTGGAGGTGGGGATCATTCCTTGGGTAGACTCTTACATACAGAATTACAGGTTGTTCATATGTTGTTAACATGTATTTCAGCTAGATGATGGTTGAATAAATCTTCTTGGTTTGATTTTTGCTGCTATTTTGGTCCTAGATGTAACAATAGCTTACAACTGCTTCTAGTTGACATTAATGGAAGTGTATGAAGCCCAAAATTTTAGGTTTTGCCTGGAGTGCAGCAGAATGTGTTATAGCTGAACAACATGTTTCAGAGTTATAAGGACCAGTCCTGGGCATTCATTATAAAGATGGCTCCTGAACATGGAGCTGACTACATTTGACTTTTCCATGTATGTCTTAACCTTCACTTGGTATATTCCATACTAGCTTCTTATGCTTGTGTACAATGTGCACTGGACTTCAAGAAGGAAGAGCTCAACCATTCTGTTAGGCTTAGATTATAATAATATGGATAAGTGTATGAATAAGGGGGATTATGATGCCCTCTTAGTGGGGTCAGTTATCATTAAGGTGACACTTTGTAATTTTGCTAAGCACTCAACAAATATGTTCATTACTAATTTCTCATTGCACATATGTAGATTAAAAAAGCTGAGTATTACAAAGTTGTGGGATAAACTGAAAAAAATTAATTTGTTGAGTTTTAATAGGCAAAAGTTATGCTGATATGACTGAGCTAATGAATCAAGCTGTATAAAAGTGAATTTAATTTATTTTGATACTATTCTTTTCTATGGCTCTATTTCTGGAAGTTTGATGGGTTCTATGACTCATGTGATTTTAAGATAGTCTGCACAAAATTATGATGACTAAAACATTTTCTTCTCTTTGGAATTTATATATAGCTAAATTGAATTTCTATTATTTGCTTTCAAATAACTATCAAAGTAAAATAATAGTAGTTCTGAAAGGATTTAAATAAATGCTGAAAATTTGGAAACCATTTGCATATTTATTGGTGCCCCCATTGAAGTTTTATCTTGGGTAGCCCAACTTTCAATTTTACTGAAATACTAATTTAGTCTTCATTATTGTTGGCTTGAGGAAAGTAATCACTGGTTCTAAAGTTAATAATAGTTTTATAGTAGAGTCTTGTGGAATTTTACAGTGATAGTGATCTGTAGTCTAAATAATAGCATTTTTTCTAATTAAGCAGCAATTGAACAAACATTAAAAATCAAGGATGAACTATTCATTTATTTTGATATGTTTAGTTCAGTTTAGATTATACTTCATAGAGAAATAACACTTTATTTCTCTGTTGAATAATTTATAAAAGTAATGAGTAACATGAATCACTGGGACAGTTTTCTATATTTCATCAAAATTGTTAGTTAAAAAATGGAGCAAGGTTTACACAGGCCACTTGAAACATTATTGGATGTTACTAAGAATAAGCATTAGGTAGTGAGCACAATAATCTTTCATATAATCCGTCCCTAAAGTGTGATCAGTTCAAGCAAGAAGTTAGTGAATATTATTATTAAAAGATGACCAGTTGCCATAATAGTAGAAATGGTGTCAAAAATACAAGACAACAGGGTCCCATTGAATTAAGAATGACTTTTAAAAACATCACCAAAAATAGATTCTTTGAGCATATTTTAGCCACATAAAGTAGTAATTATCTTAAATGTTCCAAAATTGAGCCATGTAATATTGAAAGTGAACCCACAGATCTTTATAGCAGCTCTTCCCCTTTTTATAGAAAGCAAAATAGTAGAAAAGATAATCACTGGAAAACCTAAATAAATAATTTTCATAGTAGTATCAAGGAGGTCTTAGAACTGACATTCAATGCATATGTTTCCCACTCCCTATGTATGTCCATTATTGAAGATGGTGAATGACTAGCCTTTCTATGGAATCTGAAAATATGTTACCATATGCTTCCACGCCAAAGGAAAACCTGAATGACCATCTCATCAATTTCACACCCTACAAGGAGATTCACGTAAGTTAGTTAATACCAGTGAGATAGTACCCAATTTTAAATTTTCTCTAGCAAAGCTCTGCCTTCTGTAACCCCACTTTGAATGGGTTTAGCTAATCTCACAGTCTGGAAAATCTTCATAAATAACATCCATTTAAGTCAGACCCATTTTTTGGTTCTGTCCTCCACAGAAATAAATGACAATTGATTTAAGCATGTTCACCTGTGATTCTTGGCTTTCTTTTGACCATTTCAACATCTATATTCATTTAGGAGATTTTGTTTTACTCCCTCTGTTTTTTCCTTTCCCTTTCTATCAAAAGCATTAAATGTCATTCTGGCCTTTTATTTTTCTTTAAGTTAAACTCATTAATCTTAGGTGAGATTTGAGAATATTAGGATATTAGGAAAGTGTTTGAGATAAAGTGAGTGTTTGAGATGAATTTAGACCTTCTATGATGTTTCACTGTTTCACACTTGAGCTTGGAAATGATTCTTTTATGTGTAGTAATACTTTGAATTCTTAAAAGTTGTCAGTTATACCTTATAATTTACCAATTTCTTAGTCATATACATTTGTTCTTTCCCAATATTTTCCACAACTGCGTAATACTACAGCTGACCCTTGAACAACTCTAGGGACACCAACCCCAGTGCAGTGGAAAATCCATGCATAACTTTTGACTCTCCAAGAACATTAACTACTAATAGACTGCTGTTGAATGGAAGCCTTACCAATAACATAAGCAGTTAATTAACACATAGTTTATATGTTATATGTATTACATACTGTAGTCTTATAATAGCATAAGAAGGAGAGAAGAAAATGTTAAGAAAATCATAAGGAAGAGAAAATATATTTGCTATTTATTAAGTGGAAGTAGATCATCATAAAGGTCTTCATCCTTGTTATCTTCATGTTGAGTAGGCTGAGGAGGAGGAAGAAAAGGGGCTGGTCTCGCTGTCTCAGGGGTGCAGAGCCAGAATAAAATCTATATGTAAGTAAATCTGTGCCATTTAAACCCATGTTGTTCAAGAGTCAACTGGTCTACATATTATAATTGGAATATATATATTATTAATATGAATAAAAATAGAGTGATATTTATCTCTAAAGACCTGTCGGACTAAATGTATTTGTAGATTCATTGATTCAAGTGATAAATGTAAGAATAGTGATCTTTAATATATAAGAAAATTATATTTGACAGCAGTAAATACTCAGCATAATGTTATTTCATTTATTTATTTTTACTCAGTTTTAGAATCTAAATGACACCAAAAAATTTATTCTTAAAATGTTGTAATTAATCTAGTTGAGGAAAAATTTTTTTGATGTCAAATAAGGAAGTCAAACTTTTAAAAATGATTGTTGTTATACTGTGTTTCACAATTAATATAATTTTTTTTAGCATAACAGAAGTTTAACACTAGCATAAAATGGAGTTGTTTAGACTGGTACTTTGGTTTAGAATGGTAGGTAATACAGTGCTGTTCTCATTTTACTATAAGAAAGGGTACCTAATGTTTTATCTGTGACCCCTGATACCATTGCTTTAAAAAGATTCAGTCCATTTAATTTGTTAATTTGTTGAAGACCAGGTCATAGCTGCTCATTCATTTGAGTCTTACCATGTATCTCAAGTGATCAATTCAATTTGCATGGAAAAGACAAAGGGCAGAGAAGGGTTGTGAAAATTCCCACGAAAGAAGACTGGTGAAGCCAGAATTATAATTTATCCTGATTTAGCTCAGTCTCTTTCAGTATGGGAATATTAATGCTCCTTTTCTCTGTTCACCCCCAAATTATGTTTTAAGCATAAGTCCAAATCTAGATTTAGAATAATTTCTTAGTTTTAAAGAGCAGGTCTGTGTTTTCCATCTCAGACATTATATTCATAAGAAATCTGGGGCAATACCACTTGAAAATAGGAATTTCTTAACTCCAAAATTTATGAGACTTCTGTCTATTAGAAGAAAAATATGGAATTTTCTTTCCTTAAGACATGTTTTTACGGGGACAGCCTGTTTGCCATTGCTGCTTAAAACTGATCCCCAAAGAGAAAATCCTCATGAATCATTGGATTGCTTGCCTTGGAGCAAGGCCAGGAGCAGTAAGTTTTCAAGATAAACAGTGCTCAGGCTGAAAGAATGGCACAGATGATTTCTCAGGTGGAGTGTTTCCACTTCCCTTCTGGCATGTACTGTATTTCATAGTGCCTTACAGATAAGGCTTGAGGGGAATCCAGTATGAAATAAGTTTATTTCATAATACTTATTTCATGGCAGTTTTATCAAACTATATCTTGAATAGCCCAAAGAACATGGTTCTAAATTTATTGGCACTTACGGATTGAAACCTATTTTCATCACATTTTAACCAGGGACCCTGATACCTGTTTTGTTCAGTGTTGTATCCTGACTCCTGGCATAGCATCTTGCCCAGACCAGGTGCTCAATGAACATTGACTAAGTACAAGTTGAATGAATAAATTCAGGTTCACCTCAATTGAAATTTGATTAATAAACTCTAGGATGATGTAAAGGTAGCCAAGTCATACCAGACTGAACATTTGGTCTTCATAATTGGCCATGTTTATGTCTTCTGAAAAACCATACAATGCCATTTGCTCATTTTTGTTCATTCACTCATTCAGTCATACAAAAGATATCTATTAACTATTTTGCCCATGATTGGCATTTCTTAGGAGTTAAGATACAGCAATAAGATAGACTAGGCCTCTGAGCTATATCAGAATGCATGAGGCACTTGCCCTGCCTTGCTTGGTCTTGCCATTCTATATTTGGCTTGAGGCAAGCACAAAAATATTTACAAAATAAAGTGAATAATGTGCAGACTAACATGGTCAGAGTGGGAAGATATGACACATTGCTAAGGGATAAAAAAGCCTTCACAGAGATAGCTAGGGCTCAGGGATAGGTAGGCATTCAGAAGGTAAAGTTGGTGACACAGAGTTTCCTAATATTGCAAGAATTGTCTGTGTGTGTGTGTATTTGCACACTTGACTAGAGAGAAGAGGAAATGGGGCAAAAAAAAGAGACACATGGTCCAAGAGAAATTAAAAAGAAATTTTTTTTTTTTACCATGTTTGCACTCTACTACTCTATTCTATCTACTGAGATAGGAGCCCCGTGGGGTGAATAATTTCATCTTTGCTTTGTACATTGCCTTTCATCAGTACACACTCATGATCAGGTTTCTGGAACTTAATGGCAAACATGTTCTGATTGAGAGTAGAGCTAACTGGTATAATGGTACATTGTCTGAGAGACCAAAGTTAAGGGCATTTAGTTGTTTCTGCACTCTGATATTACCAAAATCAACCATTAATCAGAACCTCATTCAGTTTCTGTAAGTAAGAATGTTACTCCTGGATGTTATTTATGAACCTTATGTCTTAGAGCACAAAAGTATTTAAAACATAGAAATTTATAGAAGGTAATTTTGTGATTCTAAAGAGTTAATGCAGTACCAAGCAAGCATCTTGCATCACCTGAGCTTTCATATGAAAGTAAAATTGATTTCTCCACTTAATTTCTTTCAGATCAATTTTACTAATATGTATTTATTGGTCATTTGTTTTAGGAATTTTGTTGACATTTTCTTTCTTATTCAAAACTATTGCTTATTTTAGAGTTCAAATATTCTCCCAATATTCAGGAAACTATCTGTAAAATGAGGTGATCTAGATCGGGCTTTTTAAAAGGGATGATGAGTGGACTTGGTGCAGTTCATATATCCTCTGGAATTTTATGAAGCCTTGTGTACACATAGTTGATTCTCAGTATTTGCAAATTATGTATATGCAAATTTGCCTACATGTCAAAATTTGTGGGTAATGCCCAAATCAATACTCACAGCAATTTTGCAGGCCTTTATAGACATGTAATGAGCAGTGAAAAATTTGAGTTGCCCGACATACACCTTCCCAGCTGAGATTAAACCAGGCAGTGCTCTGCCCTCGTTTCAGCTCACCTACTGTACACAAGTGTGCTTTCACAGTCCCTTTACTGACATATTTTTCACATGTTTGTACTTTTTATTAGTGATTCCACTGTTTGAAATGAACCCAAATGTGTGTTAAAGTCTTGTCCAGTGTTCCTAACCACAAAAAATATTGCGCTATATCATATAGAGAAAATGTGTGTGTCATGAAAGCTTTGTTCCAGTATGAGTTACAGGGCTGTTGGCCATGAGTTCTATGTTAATGAGTCAACAATGTATATTAAATAAGGTATCTATAAACAGAAACACACATAAAACAAGGTTATATACTGCATTGATGAAAATGTGACCAGTGGCTCACAGGAACTTAACCCTGTATTTCCCCTAGGAGCAGAGGTTCTGCGTCATCTGCCCCAGTGTTCATGGTGACTTTAAAGAACATAACTACCATGAATAACCGGAATTGAAAGTATACGTTTTTCTGGGATAAGGGGGCATAATATGCATCAGATTCTTGGTGGGGACTTCAGTTCTGCCAAGGTTTAAGAAATCTTGTTTATTGGTAAAAGTTGTTTCCACACTAACATTCTTAAACTCCTAGGCCCACAACATAGAAACTGGGGCTAGTGTGCTGGCATTGAAGTGTTAAAGAGAGAAAGCAACACAGATAACTGAAAAATGGGGATTCACATCTTTAACTTGCCATTTACTGAGCCATCTCTTCATTACTGCCTTTGCAGTTAGAGCTAGTTTGAATCCTGTTTTTCAGTTTACTAGCTATGTGATCTTGGGAAAACGTTCTCTTTTTTTCTTTTTCAATTATAATTTTAACTTTCATTTTAGATTTAGTAGTTACATGTGCAGATTTGTTACACAGGTTTATTGCGTGACACAAAATTTGGGATATGAATGATCCTGTCACTCATGTAGTGAGAATAATACACAATAGGTAGTTTTTCAGCTCCTGTCCCCTTTCCCTCTCCCCCGTCTGGTAGTCCCTAGGGTCTATTGTTCCATCTTCTTGTCCATGTGTACCCAATATTTAACTCCCACTTATAGGTGAACACATGCAGTATTTGGTTTTCTGTTCCTGCGTTACTTTGCTAAGGATAGTGGCCTCTAGCTGCGTCTGTGTTGCTGCAAAGGACACGCTTTTGTTCTTTTTTATGGCTGTATAGTATTCCATGGTATATATGTACCACATTTTTCTTATCCAATCTACCATTGATGGGCACCTAGGTTGATTCCATGTCTTTACTATTGTGAATAGTGCTGCAATGAACATATGAAAGCATGTGTCTGTTTGGTAGAATGATTTGTTTTCCTTTGGGTATATAAGCCCAATATGGGTTTCCTTTGGGTATATACCCCATAATGGGATTACTGGGTTGAATGATAGTTTCATTTTATATTCTTTGAGAAATCTCCAAACTACTTTCCGCAGTGGATGAACTAATTTGTATTACCACCAACAGTGTATAAGCATTCCCTTTTCTCTGCAGCCTTGCCACTGTTGTTTTTATTTTTTGACTTTTTAGCAATAGCCATTCTGACTGGCATGAGATGGTATATCATTGTGGTTTTGATTTTGGGAAAAATTCCTAACCTCTCTAAGTTTCAATTTTTTTTTTATATGTACAAAGGCATACAATAATACCTAAGAGAATTATTTTAAAAATTAAATTAGATCGTTCATTTAAAGCACCATGTAAAGTATGTGGGACTAGCCAAAACCGTTTCTATAAATGTTATTGTAGTAGACGCTTGATAGATAACTGTTAATTCCCTTCTTTTTCTCTTTCCCACTTAGAAATAGTATAAGACCCATTTTCCCAGATGAATTAGTAAGTGCACTTTGGCATTGCCTCTTTCCTAACAATAACTAGTGGAGAAAGCAGCACAGGCTCCCAGGGTCTCTGGTTTTCTTCCTCCTGATCCCTCTGGTCTGTGCTCTGTGGCAGGGAAGGATAATTGGAGTGCTGTGGCACTGGTGGGGAGCAGTGTCCTGTCTCTTGGTTACAAGGGGAATCACCTGTCTCGAACTCTGGACCGAGGATGAAGGGCTCATGCATCAGCACTGTCCCAGGTGCTTGTCTCCCGAAGGGAAGATCAGGTTGACTCCAGCCATTCAGAAGCCTGTGAATGACATCTAAGTGCCCGCTTCATATCCACCTCAAGGGGACTCTTAGGATTTCACTTGTCTAATTTGAAAACCTGAAACCCTATTTTCCTCAAGAATTTTAGACTAATCATTTTCCTTAGCCTCTCAGAATTCCCCTGACTTACCTTAAATATGTAAAATAACGTAAGTGCAATGACACATTATTGGAGAATGAGGCATTCTACATTAATGGATTTTCCAGGTGAAATTGGCCCCTTGCTGTGTTTTACTTTAATAATTTCATAGAATTGGCCATAAGTTGTATTAGATGTCCTTTTGAGTTCTTAGATGTGTTTATAGAGGGTGGATAATTTAAACTTTTCTTAATAACTATGAATCAACTGCTGTGCTATGTTGTAGAACACAGCAACTCCCTCAGAGCCTGCTAACACAAGTAGATTAATTGACTCCATATATTAATAGTCCCAGTTTTGTTGCTTTTCATTTCTTGTTGTCCTTGTCATTGGATTTTTTTTCTAGATGACATAAGTATGTGAGGAATGCCATTGTAGCTCACATTGTAGACTGCATTAAAGGATAAACACAACTAATTTCTAATTATTTGCATAACAATACAGATGCAACCATTTGTGTACATATTTGTTTAATAATATATTGACATTATTCACCAGTTATAAATATGAATTGTGGCATTATAGTAGTACATTTTATGTTTATATTGAAGATATTAATATAAAACATATTTGAATGGACTAATATATATACAAACTTCTGTAAATATTTTTCTCTCCCTTCTGTGAATTCTTGCTCTAGATGAGTCAATGTAATAGAACTATTTTTGGGGGGGGGGCCCCAGGATAAACTCCAAAATAACCTCACATTACTAAGAATTCAATGTTTTAGTTACAGTTATGCTTTGTTTCAATGTAGTGTGTATACATCAATTCCTGTATAGTTCTAGGCTCTCTGAAGTTAACATTTAGGCATCACTGTTTCCTGTCTAGAGGTGGCATTTTATCCATGGACTCATAGGATAACCTCAACTCCTTTCAACTCTGGCAAAAATAATCTATTGTTTACAGTATAATCTCACTCTCACTTAAAAAACAAACAGAATGTAAATAAACAACATCAGGCTTTACTCTTCAGTGTCCCTGTTTTGCCCTGTATGGAAATAACCCAAACCAAAGCCTCTGTGTCTATTTATTTACTTTGGTGCTAGTTGAGATGGTTAGTGAAGTGGGTCATACAGTCAGCCTCTCAGTTTCTCTAACGCTACCACCAAAAGTGGCCATCTCTGCCTACTTTGAAAACGACACATTCAGTAAAATAGAGACAAAGAAATGTAGTAGCTATGAAATAAAATGTCTTTCACAGAGAGACAGCAAATGTGAGAGAAGGTGCATTTAATGTAAAAAACACAACTGGGGTGCCATTCTTTTTCAAAGCACCCTAAGTGGAGAGTGCAAATGTAATGCATGATAATGAAGGTGCCCAATTTTGGAAAGTGGTTTTTAAAATGCTGCTGCAGAATGCTATCCAGAGTCTCTTAGGAAAAAGCAAAATCTCATCAGGGACCTTTTCAAGCATCATTTTCTCCTGTTTTAAATGATCTCACGTGAACTTGCTGTTAGTCGACTTGGCACAGTTTCAATTATTCATTATTTTTGACCTCTTGCAAAAGGAACAAAGGGTTTGTTATTAGTGATTTGCCAGTTGGTTGCAAGACTTAATCTAGGTTCTTATGGAGCTCTTTGCCTCATGTTTATTTTGTTGTATACAGTTGTATGATCTAAGGGATTTCATAGCCCCTCGATCCTCATTTTAGAAAATTCTTCTCAAGTGATTAGTGTGGAAGAAACTATAGTCTTTGGGCACCAGGCCTCTGCTCATAATGAAGTTTTGCTGAAATCTTTTCTCCTAGCATGAGAGAGTTTAGTTTGAGATAAAGAAGTGTATTCTCTTTATTTGTGCAAAGATTCCTTTCTTCCATGAGGTGAAAATGCAAATTTTCACGTGCTTCTTTCTTGAAATTTCATTTTTATTATATATATTTAAGGTATACAATAAGATGTTTTGATAATACATATACTTACTTAAATAATTAACTACAGTCAAGGAAATCTTAACATATGTGTCACATCATATAGTTACCTTTTGTGTTTTCATGTTAAGAGCACTTAAAATCTACTCTCTTAGCAAATTTTCAATATACAGTATATTATTAATTATAATCCCCATGCTCTATATAATATCTCTAGACTATATCTCTCTAAGTGTAGGTTTGTATTCTTTGGTACATCTCACTATCCCCACTTCTGTTCCACTACTGGTAACCACCATTCTACTTTGCTTCTATGACTTCAACTTATTTTAGATTCCATATACAATAATGAAATATTTTTCTTTCTGTGTCTGGCTTATTTTACTTAGCATAATGCCCTCAAGGGTCATCCATATTTTCACAAATGGCAGCATCTCCTTCTTTGCTAATGCTGAATTGTGCCCCATTGTGTATATGTACTACAATTTCTTTATCCATTCACCTGTTGATGGACACACGTTGATTCCATACCTTGGCTATTGGGAATAATATTGCAATGAACATGACAACACAGATATCTCAATCAGGTGCTAATTTTATTTCCTTTGGGTATAAACCCACCAGAGAAATTAGTGGGTCATATGGTAGTTCTATTTTTTTTTGAGGAAGTTCCATACTGTTTTCCATAATGGCAGTACCAATTTGCATTTCCCCCAACAGCGTACAAGGGTTCCCCTTTCCCCACACCCTCGCCAACTTTATTAGCTCCTGTCTTTTGGATAACACTCATCTTAACAGGCATGAGGTAATAACTCCTTGTCATTTATTTCCATTTCCCTGATATTAGTGATGCTGAGTACATTTTCATATACTTTGTATATGAAATGTGTATCTTTGGAAAAATGTCTACTCATGTTCTTTGCCCATATCAAAATCAGGTTATTTTGTTTTGGTTTTTGCTATTGAGTTGTGAGTTGGGAAAAGTGGATATTCACATGCAAAATAATGAAACTGGTCCTTTATCTTCCACAATACAAAAATTAACTCAAATGGATTAAAGACCTAAATGTAGGATCTGAAACTGCAAAACTCCTACAAGACAGCAAGAGAAAAGCTTACTGATATTGGCTGTAGCAATGATTTTTTGGATATCACACCAAAAGCTAAATAAAAAGAAACAAGAAACAAGTGGGAATCCATCAAACTAAAAAGCATCTATAAACAAAGGAAACAACTAACAAAATCAGAAGGGAGCCTGCAGATTGGGGGAAAATATTTGTAAACCATATAGCTGATAAGGAGTTAATATTGCATACTTTTAAGTGTACAAATAAGAATGTCTTATTATTTGGGTCATATGTCGCCTACTGCATTGTCTGCAATGCTGTGTAATATACGTAATATATGGTTTATGCTATGTTATTACTTTTATAAAGTACAAAAATTTCCAGCTAAAGAATTTTGGACTTGGAGGGCAAGTAGAATACAGAAAGTCACATAGGAGATAAAAGCTGCTACATGGGTACACAGGAGGAAGAAATCTGATTCATGAGACAACAGCCCAGGCTCCATGGGGGAAAAAAAGTTCTATTGGGAAAAGGATGAGTATTGTTTTACATGCAGGAATCATAAGGGACTGTAGGGTGAGGTTTGCTATGTTTTCAATGTTTACATTCCCCCAAAATTCATATGTTGAAACTTAACCCCCAATGTGATAGTGTTAAGAAGTGGGACTTTTAGGAGGTGATTAGGTCACCTAATGGGATTAGTGCCCCTTCTAAAAGAGGCTTGAAGGATCCTGTTTGTGCAGACACACAGAAGATGCCATTAAGAGAAACAGGCCCTCACCAGACCCTGAATCTGCTGGTGCCTTGATTTTGGACTTTGCAGCCTTCTGAACTGTGAGAAATAAATTTCTGTTGTTTATAAATTCTGCAGTCTAAGGTATTTTGTTATGGCAGCTTGAATAGACCAAGGCAGAGTTTATAGTCAGCATAAAGAGTATGAGTAAAGAAGCAGAGTAAAAATGGCACACATTTCTGTAGGAGAAATCAGAAGCAACCTAACTAGAGAGTGTCCTAAAAAGATTTTAACTGATCTCTTTGGTAATAACACATATTGCTGTGGTTGATGTGATGGTGGGTGTTGAGGGCTGTGAAGAACTGTTTGATAGCACCGTGTTGCCCTGATTGAGTCTTACAATGATGATGCAGTGGCTGTGATCCTAATGGACTGTCGCAGTCATGCTACAGCTGTATTTCATGGTAACATGCTAGTTGTGATTGTTCTTGGTCATTTGTCTGATGTATAATGGCTCCTTTGAAATACTAAATTATGATTATGCATATATGTATTTACACATGATTTATAATTGAAGGAAATTTGATAGGCTACATACAGAATATTTTGGGTCTGAATCAAATCTTTCTTTTAAATTTTGTACTTTTGGAGTTCAAATTTCTTTATCTAGAAGTATTATTTCAGAGCAGATTTGGAATAAATAGTGTTCTACTGTAATATAGCACAGGCTGAATTCAAAGAGAAAGCACATAAAAACCCCAAGAAATTATAGTGTTCGGGTGTCTAAAAAGTTAGTATTTGTAGGGAAATATAGTAGGTATGTGGGTATGAGGATCAGATTAAATCTGCCACAGTGCAACACACACACACACGCACACACACACATACACACACACACACAGAGTAACTTCAGAAAGGGAAAGCTATACAAGAATACACTGGAAATAGCACATATTATCTTTCAGCCATTTTTTCCTTTGGACCTGAATGTTTTTCAAAACTAGCTTGTAGAGTGCAATGGGTTTCACAGAGAATTCAAACAACCCAGCATTTTTCAGGATACAATCTGAGTTCAATTGATCTGCCTCTTTCTTTTCTGGACAGGGCAGGGTGGTGAAGAACGTGGGAGGGTTGGAAGGATTGGTTTGTCTCTATCTCATAAGGAATATCCTTTTTGGGCACTTCATGTCAGTCCCCATCCAGCTCTTTCCAGCCCTCTGGCTTTGGGCAAGTTAATGAAATTTTCTACAACTTGATATTCTCATCTGCAAAATGGAGATAAAATGCCTGTGTGGCAGGTTTGTGATAATGTATGGAAAGCATGTAACTCAGTGTCTAGCACATATTACATGCTCACTGCTGGCCAGTGTTGCACACCCTCTATGAGCAAGGCACTTTGACTCATGCTTCTCATGTAATCCTCACAATAATCCTGTGAGTATTATTATGATTCTTAATTTACAGATAAAAATCTTGAAACCCAAGGGAGTAAAGTGATTTAAACAAGGTTAAGCCAACTCAAGAATAAAAGCCAGGAGTTTAACTTTGACCTTGCAATGCCAAGCCTCCAACATGCGGCTGCATTAAGTTCAATCCCTCCCTGTTTTTTCTCTATCTCCCCCTTTCCTCTTCTCTGCAGTTCTACCTTCTTCAATCTCTTTGGAGATTTTTTTTATACTTTAAGTTCCGGGGTACATGTGAAGAATGTGCAGTTTTGTTACATAGGTATACACATGCCATGGTGGTTTGCTGCACCCATCAACCTGTCACCTACATTAGGTATTTCTTCTAATGTTATCCCTCCTCTAGCCCCCAACCCTGCAACAGGCCGCAGTATGTTATGTTCCCCTCCCTATGTCCATGTGTTCTTATTGTTCAACTCCCACTTATGAATGAGAACATGTGGTGTTTGGTTTTCTGTTCTTGTGAGAGTTTGTTGAGAATGATGGTCTCCAGCTTCATCCATGTCCCTGCAAAGGACATGAACTCATCCATTTTTATGGCTGCATAGTATTCCATGGTATATATGTGCCACATTTTCTTTATCCAGTCTATTAGTGATGGGCATTTGGGTTGGTTCCAAGTCTTTGCTACTGTGAATAGTGCCACAATAAACATATGTGTACATGTGTCTTTATAGTAGAATGATTTATAATCCTTTGGGTATATACCCAGTAATGGGATTGCTGGGTCAAATGGTATTTCTGGTTCTAGATCCTTGAGGAATCGACACACTGTCTTCCCCAATGGTTGAACTAATTTACACTCCCACCAACAGTGTAAAAGCATTCCTATTTATGCACATCCTCTCCAGCATCTGTTGTTTCCTGACTTTTTAATGATCACCATTCTAACTGGCATGAGATGGTATCTTATTGTGGTTTTGATTTGCATTTCTCTAATGACCAGAGATGATGAGCTTTTTTTCATGTTTGTTAGCTGCATAAGTGTCTTCTTTTGAGAAGTGTCTGTTCATATCCTTTGCCCACTTTTTGATGGGGTTGTTTTTTTCTTGTAAACTTGTTTAAGTTCTTTGTAGCCCTTTGTCAGATGGATAGATTGCAAAATTTTTCTACCATTATTTAGGTTGCCTGTTCTTTCTGATGATAGTTTCTTTAGTTGTGCAGAAGCTCTTTAGTTTAATTAGGTCCCATTTGCCAATTTTGGCTTTTGTTGCCATTGCTTTTGGTGTTTTAGACATGAAGTCTTTGTCCATGCCTATGTTCTGAATGGTATCACCTAGGTTTTCTTCTAGGATCTTCATGGTCCTATGTCTTATGTTTAAGTCTTTGATTCGTCTTGAGTTGATTTTTGTATAAGGTGTAAGGAAGTGGTCCAGTTTCAGTTTTCTGCATGTGGCTAGCCAGTTTTCCAAGCACCATTTATTAAATAGGGAATCTTTTCCCCATTGCTTGTTTATGTCAGGTTTGTCAAATATCAGATGGTTGTAGATGTATGCTGTTATTTCTGAGGCCTCTGCTCTGTTCCATTGTTGTATACATCTGGTAGCAGTACAATGCTGTTTTGGTTACTGTAGCCTTGTAGTATAGTTTGAAGTCAGGTAGTGAGGTGCCTCGAGCTTTGTTCTTCTTGCCCAGGATTGTCTTTGCTATGCAGGCTCTTTTTTGGTTCCATATGAAGTTTAAAGTAGTTTTTTCCAGTTCTGTGAAGAAAGTCAGTGGTAGCTTGATGGGGATAGCATTGAATCTATAAATTACTTTGGGCAGTATGGCCATTTTCATGATATTGATTCTTCCTATCCATGAGCATGGAATGTTCTTCCATTTGTTTGTGTCCTTGAGCAGTGGTTTGTAGTTTTCTTGAGCAGAAGTTTGTAGTTCTCCTTGGAGAGGTCCTTCACATCCCTTGTAAGTTGTATTTCTAGGTATTTTATTCTCTTTGTAGCAATTGTGAATGGGATTTCACTGATGATTTGGCTCTCTGTTTGTCTATTATTGGTGTATAGGAATGCTTGTGATTTTTGCACATTGATTTTGTATCCTGAGACTTTGCTGAAGTTGCTTATCAGCTTAAGGAGATTTTGGGCTGAGATGATGGGGTTTTCTAAATATACAATCATGTAATCTGCAAACAGAGACAATTTGACTTTCTCTATGTTGAATAGGGGTGGTGAGAGAGGGCATCCTAGTCTTGTGCCAGTTTTCAAAGGGAATGCTTCCAGTTTTTTCCCATTCAGTATGATATTGGCTGTGGCTTTGTCATAAATAGCTCTTATTATTTTGAGATATGTTCCATTGATACCTAGTTTATTGAGAGTTTTTAGCATGAAGCGGTGTTGAATTTTATCGGAGGCCTTTTCTGCATCTATTGAGATAATCATGTGGTTTTTGTCACTGGTTCTGTTTATGCGATGGATTACGTTTATTGATTTGCGTATGTTGAACCAGCCTTGCATCCCAGGGATGAAGCAGACTTGATCGTGATGGATAAGCTTTTTGACGTGCTGCTGTATTCGGTTTGCCAGTATTTTATTGAGGATTTTCGCATCAATGTTCATCAGGGATATTGGCCTGAAATTTTCTTTTTTTGTTGTGTCTCTGCCAGGTTTTGGTATCAGGATGATGCTGGCCTCATAAATTGAGTTAGGGAGGATTCCTTCTTTTTCTGTTGTTTGGAATAGTTTTAGAAGGAATGGTACTGGCTCCTCTTTGTACCTCTGATAGAATTCAGCTCTGAAGCCACCTGGTCCTGGACTATTTTTGGTTGGTAGGCTATTAATTACTGCCTCAATTTCAGAACTTGGTTTATTCAGGGATTCAGCCTCTTCCTGGTTTAGACTTGGGAGGGTGTATATGTCCAGGAATTTATCGATTTCTTCTAGATTTTCTAGTTTATTTGTATAGAGGTACTTATAGTATTCTCTGATGGTAGTTTGTATTTCTGTGGGATCAGTGATGCTATCCTCTGTATCATTTTTCATTGCATCTATTTGATTCTTCTCTCTTTTCTTCTTTATTAGTCTGGCTAGTGGTCTATTTATTTGCTGATCTTTTCAAAAATGCAGCTCCTGGATTCATTGATTTTTTTCAAGGATTTTTCATGTCTCTATCTCTTTGGATAATTTTTTAAAGAGTTAAAAATCATGGCTTATCAAATCAAATGGAATGAAACAATTTTTTCATTCTAGTACATTAAAACAAATATGACATCATTATATCTCATAATGCCACTAATTTCCATTGTTTTATAGTTTAAAAATGCATGCTCAAGTAATACATATTAATTGCAGACATTAGGAAATATAAATAAGCATAAATTGCATGAATACCAAATACACAGACAATCACAGGCAGCATTATATTGTATATTCTACAATTCCTAGCTATCCATATAAATTTTTTTCTCTTATAACACTATCATATTATAATTAGGTTTATAATGTGCCTTTATCAGTTAACAATCATTCAAAAATATCTTTCCAAGTTGGCACATGTGCATCTAGATAATTATTTCTATTGGCTACATAACATTCCATTATATAGAAGCATTTGATTAAAATAGCTTTTATTATTGGACACTTATGCTGTTTTTAATTTTTTGCTTTTGTAAACTATATACTCTTGCATATATATCTATATATCTATATATATCTATATCTATCTATCTATATCTATATATCGATATCTATCTATCTATCTATCTATATATATATATATATCTCCTTAGGATGATTCCCTAGAAGTGGAAATTATGGGTTGGTGTTTACACACTTCTCTGGCTTTAAATATATATCACCAAATTGCTTTCATTTTAAGAAAGAACCAACTTATACTCCCTCTAGTAATGTATGAGAATGCCCATTTTCACACTCCCACACTAATGATTATCATTCCTTTTAATCTTTGAGAACTCCATTAGACACAAAAAAAGTAACTTTATTGCTTTTCTTTGCATTCCTATGTCTATCCATTCTATAAAATAATCACATTTCTCAGACTACTATCTAAACAAAATGTAAACTTCCTTAGGTCAAAGACAAAATCTCAAAATAATGAAATATTTATATCTGCCATCCTTCTAAAATAGAATAAACCCCCAAAGAGGCATTTGAGACACTACATGGCAGAAAACCATGGATTTAACAGCCTTATTAAGAACATCCTTGAATTTTGTTTTTAAACCTCGAGCTCATTGTTCTCAGAACTCCTCTGCTGGGGAAACCTTGTCTTGACTGTTTGAGGGCAACACTTTTACAGGCAGAATCTCAATCTCAAAACAGAGGAGAGGAGAAGGTTAAGACATCTAAGCCTGGCATCTCCTGATTTTTGTGTTCTAGCCTGGACTGATGGGATCCAAGCAGCACTAAGAAGATAGTAACCTTTAGGGTATGTTAATTCCTTAAACAACTATCCTCAATTTGGAAACTCAGCAAGACCAAGCTATGTTTGGCTGCACATGGTTTTCTACTTAATTTAACTGTCCCTCTGTATTATTTAAACCAACATAAGTTTTTAAATTTCATGTCAAAAATTAACTTATACTTGAATCAACAGAAGTTTATTTATTAAGAAGCATGTGCTGTTTAAAGAGACTTCCTTAAAATAGCAAGTTTTATTTAACTAAATGTTAGGAAATGGAGAGAATCTACTCAAATCTGTGATTATAGCCTGGGCTCTCACATTATCTAAGAACCTTCCTTGGCTAAACATTTTAATGATTGGTCAAACCTGGTTCAAGAGAAAGGTACTGCTGTGTTATTACAAGGAAACTTTAATGACAGAGTTGCCATTGGGAAAGTCACAAAATCCACATGAAATCTCACTTTATGCACTGATCACAAGGCACTTGATCTTGGCATTCAATGGTGTTTCGCATAATTTAAAAGTTGATAGCAAAGTGAAATTTGTTCAACAACCTTTGTCACCATGCCCTGGAAATGAGACGGATTAACTCTTTGATATCCACTCAAAAAGAACCAGAATGTGAGTGAGATGGTAGACAGTGGTTTGTTTTCGTTTTTCATATATGAAAAAAGGCAGTTCTTCCAATTACTCCCAACGTGAATATTCAAATGAACTGGATGAACGTTACAATATGTACACTGTAAGACGGTAAAGGATTATAAAACACTTAGGATTTATGAAAAAACAAAATATTGTAATATAGGGTGATACCTCAGATTCCTTGAAGAAAGTGAGAAAGGAATGGAAGGAAGAATGTGAGCTATCACTTATATGGCATATCTAATCATGCAATTCTTATGTGCCAGACACTGTTTTAAGTGTTTTTTATGCATTCTTTCAACCCTCCAAACAGCCTCATGAGGTAGTTATTTTATTTTGCAGAAGATAATGTTCAGATACAGAGAGGTTAAATAACTTACTAAAGATTTCCCAGCTGGTAAGTGGCAGAGCTATAATATGAGTTTTCTTTTGATTTAAGATAGGACATCTAGATGCCCAGGTTAAAACAGTACTGCCAAGCATGCCCACAAGGAAATATACAACATCACCAGGGAGTTTTATAGTGGGCCTTTGAGGAAGGTGGTATGTTTGCAAATATCACAAAATTAAATATACCCTTAAGAACTAATGTGACAGCTTGGCATTGGAGTAGAAACTGCACTCGTTTCAGAAAACGGGTTTCTAAGATCCAGTCTACCACTAAATATCTGTGGAATCTGAGTCAAAACATGTCATTTTCTGGGGCTCAGTTTCCTCTACCTTAAAACAAAACAGATGGATGACATACTCAAAAAGACATTCTACAATTCTTTGATAAGACAAACATCTACACCGTAGTCTGGTGGGCAGATCTTTCTGTCAAGAAAGACCTCACAGAGGGCACAGTGGTAGGGTTGTCTGACATGAAATGGATTCAGTACAAAATGACTTGCTCATATTCTGAGATACTTCTACATCTCTGTGTTCTGTAGATTCCTCATCTGGGAGACAAGCTAAAACAGAAAGCAAAGTGGCATTTGTGGGTTCGGGATACTGTGGAGCAAACCCTTCTTGTTTCTCTTAGAGATAAGCTTCAGTGATAAGGGAGAGGGTATTGATACCAGCAACAGAAAACCTATTCCTAAATGAAATTCAAATCAAATGATTCCACCCTTCCGAGAATTCTCCAACAGTGGCTTTTCCAGCAGCAGGAATCTGCAAACAGAGTCCAGCAGTTAATTTCAGTCTCCCAGCTTTGCCCATATAACTGTTCCAATCTTAGATTTACAAAGCCATTTCTGATGAAGACAATAAAAGCCTCCTTTCCTTCCTGTGTTGCCTTGTGCTCTGATACTTTATCAAAGCACATAGACAGTGGGTTGTTCTTAACCACATATAAAGCACAGCAGCCTCACAAATCATGTTTTACTATTGCACTATGGAAACACCAAGGTTAAAAGGTAAGTCTGTGGCATAACCATATTGATTAATTGATGTAAGAAAGGTCAGGCTAATCTTTATCTTGCTTGAAAGACTACTTCTACATGGCAGGTGTGTTCCTGTGTGAAAAGATAAAAAAGAAAATATGGAGCCCCAATGCAAAGAAAATGGGGGAAATCTTATCAAACATCACTCAGAAGAAGGTTAGTGTAAAGAGTCCTCATGCAAAGAAAATAGAGAAATCTTGTTAAACAATCTGTCAGAAAGGCAAAGCACTAACATGGGGCCTGGAAGGTGGATGCTATTTAGATTTCCCTTTATTTTTAGTAGGCTTTGTAGGAAACACCTTCACCAGTGAAAGAATCACAGAAGTACCAGGGCAAAGGTAGTGACTTTAGATAATAGTCTCACCCTCTTCCGTGTTCCTTGAGAACAGAAAAAGAGAGCTTCACACCTCTCTTCCCAACAAGACTGGAATCTGTTGAACTAGCAAAACTAGCTTCTCTGACCAATTCCTGCCTAGGTGAAAAGCAGACATAACACTGCCTTTCATAACATGGCTTCTGTATCCCCAGGGTGTTGAGGAACGAGGGATTTATCCCTAGCACACATGGAGATGCACATATATCTAAGAATGGCTTGTCCAGCTTCATTTCTGGCCTGAAAGAGATAAAGAGATAACAAGGTTTGACAGCTGAAATTTAGAACCCTGAGAACACAGAAAGATACAAGTGCAAGTAAGGAAGGACTAAAGGCTAAATATGTGTAAGTGTGGAGAGAGAAAAATGATCTAGGGACCACAAAGACACAATGCTAATCCTGAAATACACTGCTGTTGAATGAGAAGAAGGGACTAGGCTGGCACAGGGAGGGGCCTAGAAGGGTGGGTGGAAGCGGGAGTGCATGTTGGAAATTTTTTCTCATTAAGGTTGTATTAGTCAGGGTTGTCCGGAGAGACAGAACCAATAGGAAATATATATACGTGTGCATATAGATGTGCGCGCACACACACACACACACACACACACACACACATACAGCAGAGGGGATTTATTAGGGGCAATGGTTCAGGTGAGTATGAGAAGTCCTGTGACAGACTGACTGCAAGCTGGAGACCCTGGGATGCCCATAGCATGGTTCAGTCAAAGTCCAAAGGATTCAGACCCAAAGAAGCCAATGGTGTAACTCAGTCCAAGGATGAAGGCCTGGGAACCTGGGGGAGAGGGTGACTGCTGGTGCAAGTCCCAGAATCCAAAAGCCAGCCAGCCTGGAGATTTGATATCCAAGGTCAGGAGAAGGAGGGTGCCCCAGTGTCAGGAGAAAGAGGTGAATTTGCCTTTCCTCTGCCTTTTTGTTCTATCTGGGCCCCTAGCCAATTGAATGGTGCTCACCCACATTGGGGATGGATCTTCCCCACTCAGTCCACCAACTCGTAACACCAATCTCTTTGGGAAACACCTTCACAGACACATCCAGAAATAACACCTTACCAGCTCTCTAGGTATCCCTTAATCCCATCAAGTGGACACCTAAAGTTAACCATCACAATGTTCATACCTGAAAAAGACCTGTAGTAAGTGTCTGATACTAGATGGACTAGACTATAATGTAGTCAACAAGCATGCCTCAGAGGCTTACTACAATAAAAGTTTATTTTTGGCTCATGCAAAGTCCAATGCAGTTGGGTGTCACTTCTTCATCTTATACCTCTGGCATTTAGAACATGTGGCCTTACCACAGCTATGAGGAGATGCCTGGAAGGTTTCATGAGATACCTTGAAGGACAGATCTGGAAGTGGGTTGCGTCATGTTTCTTACATCATGCTGGTCTGGGTGTAGTCACACGGCCCTCAACCAACTGCTAGTGGAGACAGGGAAATAGCCCATAAAAAGGTGATTTGTCTAGCTTTGTCTTAGAACACCAGAGATTTAAGTTTTCCTAAAGAAAAAAAATTCACTATTTTTTTCTGCACTATTAAATATCAGAAGGAGTTACCAGAGGATGTTTGGAAACTTCACTACTATTTTAGACACTAGAGATAGGAGACAGGACTCATCTTTCTTTAAGTTCTACTTTTTATATACAATGTTATGCTTTTATTACTGTGTAGGTTTTATAGGGAAAACATGAAAAGTAAGCTAGCTATTTGAAATTATGTTCTTATTAAACTGAGCTTAATTATCCTTTTATTCACTGATCATGGCTACTACTTACAAGTAGGTCGTAGGCAAGGAAATTTTTATATTAGGGAAGTGAAAAAAGAAAGGGTGGAATAGGAGATTAAATGTATTTTATTCACAAATTTACCCATTTTGTGGCATAAGAGCAACATGATTAATAATAAATACTTAAGGACATAAATCATAATACACTACTAATCCATATGTAAAATATAAAGTCTAACCTTAACATTATAGTCATTGAGATTCTGATAGGTTCTGTGAGACACATTTTGCATTTATGTGTCATTTGCTTCAATATATGTTAATAGATGATAATTATATGCTTTTCATTTGGACAGCCCTTATCCAAAAACGATTTAATATTCGCATGTCTAATGGGTTGCACATGGCTATTGATCATTTGGATCAGAATTCAATGTAAACTGCTGCTGGTTAGATTGGGAATTGTAATCATGGTAAAAAATAAATTACAAGGTCTCTGAAGATCAGTTCTGTTTTCAGAGTAGATGTGCTTTTAGATATGAAACACCAAATAGCGAGGTTAGAGGAAATCTCTGGTGGTATCATTCCATGGGCTTTCTGAGAAATACATCCACAGATCATCTGTAACCCCTCCACCATTATACCAGCAATATGAAATTTATAGGGAATGGTATTTTACTATATAAAGATAGTGACAAACACCAGTAAGTTATTTGTGAATTATAACTATAGGCAAAAAGGGAGGCATAATTTGTAAATATAAATTTTGGTGTAATAAAATGTTGTACTCTTAAAATTATGTGATTTTAAATATAGAGAGATTTTGTTTGGATTAGAAGACATCTAAGTGAATATTAATTTAGATAAAGTAGACCTCTAGTGGCTTCAATAGTAAAAGGATTTTATCTTTGCTTTGAAAATTATTTTCAGTCTAATTACAGAAGAAATACATTTCTCATTTAGAAAACTTGGAAAATTTAGAAAACTCTATTCAAGACCACAAAGGATACTCACCATCCAACAGCCCCGATATATTACTATTAATGTCTTAAGATATCTAGTTCAGGTCCTTCCCTTTGAATTTTTTTGGTCATGAGATATTTTAAATAAATAGAAACAGAAAAACAATATATGAAAACCATACACATCTACCATCTAGATTTAAATGTTAACTTTTTGCTATATTTACTTCTGACCTCTCTTATTCACAAATAAGTAGATTACAGATATAAATACTCTGCTTCTTTTTCCTCCCTCCTTTTTCTGGAATTAACTGCTGTGAAATTTCTGTTTTGTGATTTTACTGTGTATTATCTATAAACAATATATAGTACTGTTTTCATGTTTGAAAAGTAAATGTTATCATCATCACCTTCTTTGACATTGTGATTATAATGGTGAACACATTAAGTACCTGCTGTCTTTCAGGCAGTGTTCTAAAGAATATTACACATATTACCCTTAGAAAGTGGGTGCTAATATTATCATCATTTTATAGACAAGAAAACTGAGTACAGAGAGGGTAATTAACTTACATAGGGTCTTACCACTTTCTCTTTTTTTCCCACTTACTCTTTTATTTATCCATAATGATATGTATGACTCTCATTCATTCAATTTAACTGTTGTATAGTATTCCAGCATATGAATGTCATAGTTTATCTGTTCCCCTATTGACAGAACTTTAAATGTCCTTTATGTATTTCCTCGTGCCTATTGGTGGGAGTTTCTTTAGAGTGGTTACATAGAAGTTGAATTACTGAGTTAAAAATAATGTACATTTTATATTCTGTATGATATGGAAAAAATATATATGAATATTACAGCTCTCATTGCTTTTCTAAACTTTCTTATAAATTCTAATTATCTGTATTTTCTTCCTTTGCTGATATATTTTCTGTGACAGTTTAGTGACCATTTTTTTCCTTTCATTCTTTACATATTTCATTTCTTTTTT
Source organism: Homo sapiens (assembly GCF_000001405.40). Lineage (NCBI taxonomy): Eukaryota > Metazoa > Chordata > Mammalia > Primates > Hominidae > Homo > Homo sapiens. The sequence goes on from NC_000002.12 coordinate 149,681,825, forward strand.
TTTTTTTCTCACTGCATAGGCAAGGACACCCAGTTCAATATGGAGGAGGAATGGTGACAGAGAGAATACTTGTCTATTTCATGATTAAAAAAAGAATGCTTTGTAAGCGTGCATGGTATAAGTGTGCATAGTAGTTGGCTTTCAAGAGCCAAGAAAGAAGGCAATGAAGGACTATACCTACAACTGGCCTGGGGACACTTTCACTTTATTCTGTTGGTCACAGAGTCCATCCAGATGAAAGGGGCCAAAAATAAACTCCATTTACTGATGGGGGAGTGGGCCCTTGATGGGGAGGCCATATTGCAGAATAACACATGGGTTGTTATTAAGTGTGCATTATTAAGTGTCTGTATTTGTTGTACGTATGCAGTGAGTACCCCTTATCAGATTGAGAGTGCTTCTTCTAGTACTATTTTGCTAAGAAATTTGTTAAATCTTATTTAATGCTTTTCTTCACCCTTGATAGAATTACATTGTTTTTCTTTTCTAACCTGCGAATGTGGAGCATTACATAGCACAATGTCTAAAGTTTAACAATCCATGTATTTCTGTGGCACCACATATTTAGTCATGATATTTTATTTTTTGACAGTGCTGGTATTGTTTTCTAATATTCTATTCAGGTTTTTTACATCCATATTCAAAACTGAGGTTTGTCTATAATTCTTCTTTCTTGAATTATCTTATAAATTATTGATATGAAAGCTTTTAGCTTTATGGAGCGAGTTGGAAACTTTATTTTTTTCTACACTTTTGAAATAGTTTCTGAGATTTTGGTAGAACTTGCCTGTCAAACTACTGGGGCAAGATCTAGGGGGGCCTACTAGTGGAAATTTTCAATTATTGCTCTGTTTTTTAAGTGGTTATAAGGCTATTAAGTTTTTCTACTTATTATCAAGTCATCAGTAGTAAGTTACAGTTTCCTAGTTATTTTTCTATTTTGTCTGAGTTTTCTAATTTATTGGCAGAAAAGTTTTCACAGTACTTCTTTTGCAAATTTTAAGAATCATTACTCTATCTGTGACTGTACTGCACATTTTATTCCTGACATTGATGTGTATTTTCCCTTTTATTTTTAATCAGTCTTGCCAAAGGATTGCCTATTTTATTATTCTTAGATATGGCAACTCATTAAGAACAAATTGTATGATGAAAAACTCTTCACACATGGCAGGTTAAGGCTCTACTTTATCCCCCAAAAGAGTTATAGCCTTCTTCATAGTCATTCACATTCTTGAGTAAGTTCACAAACCCAGAGCCCCTAGAACGGAGGAGAGACTTGATACTGTGAACATCATAAATAGTGTCACAGACTGCATTTCCCAAAAATGGCTGCCCTCCAATGGCTCCCAACCCATGTGTTATTCTGCAATCTGACCTCCCCATCAAGGGCCCACTCCCCCATCAGTAAGTGGGTTTATTTTTGGCCCCTTTCATCTGGGTGGACTCTGTGCCAATAGAATAAAGTGAAAGTGTCCCCAGGTCAGTTCTAGGTATAGTCCTTCATCGACCTGTTTCTTGCCTCTTGAAAGCCAACAATGGTATAAGAAATGTGACTACTCTGAGACCACCATGTTATGAAAAACCAAGCAACACAAAGAAAGAAAGGTCAGGGAGTATGGCGGTGCCAGGCCTGTAAATAGAAAGCCATGTTGAATGTCCAACCCAGTTAAGCTTTCAGTTGAGTCCAGTCCAAGTTCTATGTGACTGTTATTCATGAGAGACTCTTAAGAAAGACCTTACCCACCGGCACCCATTCCAACTATAGAAATATAAGAGAAAATAATTTATTTGGCTCTTTTAAGCCTCTAAATTTTGGAATTGTTTGTTACACAGCCATAGATACCTAGACCAAGTAGACACCATAAACCCTTCCCCCACCCTTAACCTTCTCCCTAAGAAAACTCTTGTCTTTAACATAATGCATAGTATGACTTATGCATAACATACGCATTAGATAAATATGAATAAGAGAGACATGCATATTATTAAGAGATTGTTGGATGCCAGCTCTGAGGTAACACTATTCCCTAAAGGACCCAAAATGCCACTGTGGTTCCATTTGGATACCAGGTGATAGATGTAGTATTGACTCAAGTTCACGTAACAGTGAGCTTATGTTCTGAAAATTATCTGAAATTATCCTAAAGATACTCAGTGTTTTTTTTTTTTTTTTTTTTTTTTTTTTTGCATCATAAGCCAATGTAAGTTGTTTAAAGCTGATAAAGTGGTAAATATAAAAACGTTACATAATACTACAAAAGTGAATTATTTCAAGGTATAAGGAATGTAGTAACAAGATCAAAAAGAAAAGAAGGCAACTGCAAGGAAATAAAATAACAGGAGTTTTTAAAATCATTTACAACAGGAAATAAATGTTGATTGAGGAAATAAAAGACTAAGATAGTATATGTCATTAGATTAATACTTATATAGGGCTTGCTAGGTACAAGGCTCTGTTATAAGTGGTTTACAAATATTAACTCATTTAATCTTCAGAACAATCCTTTTATGTAGGTATTTTTATTTATCCTCATTTTATAGATAAGGAAACTGACCCAGAGAGAGGTTAAATATAATTAGCCAAAGCCACCAGCAAGGATGCAAATAGTTATAATGATAGCCATTACAAGAAGCTGAAACAAGACTACAAACCTCTCAAGCCAGGTTCTTGCTTTCAGATTAGGCCTATGCCATAATGTTGGCAGGCAGACAACTTCTTCTGGAGTCTCCTGAGGCTGGATGTTCTTCATTCTTATTCTTTCCTTCATGATAACTTGGAGCTAGCATCCCAGACATACTGCACAGATTTCTGTCCATTTCTTTTCTTTCTTTCTTTTTTCTTTTTGAGATGGAGTCTCACTCTGTCGCCCAGGCTGTTATGCAGTGGCATGATCTCATCTCATTGCAACCTCTGCCTCCCAGGTTCAAGCGATTCTCCTGCCTCAGCCCCTCAAGTAGCTGGGATTAAAATCACGTGCCACCATGCCTGGCTAATTTTTGTATTTTTAGTAGAGATGGGGTTTCACCATGTTGGCCAGGCTGGTCTTGAACTCCTGACCTCAGGTGATCCAACCATCTCGGCCTCCTAAAGTGTTGGGATTACAGGCACGAGCTACCGCACCCGGACATCCATTTCTTTTCAAAGAAGGATGTTTCTCTCTATGCATTTTCAGACTACCCCATGTTGTGAGATGGATAATTATTTAGGAATGAAGAGTGGGAGTATTGATGTCCACTTTGAGGAAGGAGACTACAAGAATAATTTATTTGGTAAGTGGGCTATAAACACAAAGCAGATTTAAAAATAGGCAAAAGAGGTGAATAGACATTTTTCAAAAGAAGACATACAAATGGGAAACACTCATATGAAAAGGTGCTCAACATTATTGATTATCAGAGAAATGCAAATCAAAACTATAATGAGATATAATCTCACCCCAGTGAAAATGGCTTATATCCAAAAGACAATTAAGAACAAATGCTGGTGAGGATGTGGAGAAACAAACGCTTGTGCACTGTTGGTGAGAATATAAACTAGTACAACCACTATGGAGAACAGTTTGAAGCTTCCTCAAAAAACTAAGAATAGAGCTATCATATGATCCAGCAATTCCACTACTGGTATATACCCCAAAGAAAACAGTATATCAAAGAGATATCTGTACTTCCATGTTTGTTGCGGTGCTATTCACAATAGCCAAGATTTGGAAACAACCTAAGTGTCCATCAACAGATGTATGAATAAAGAAAATGTGGTACATATACACAATGGAGTACTACTCAGCCATGAAAAAGAATGAGATCCAGTCATTTGCAACAATATGAATTGAACCGGAGGTCATTATGTTAAGTGAAATAAGCCAGGCGCAGAAAGACAAACATTGTATGTTCTCACTTATTTCTAAGATCTACGAATCAAAAAAAAAAAAATTGAACTCATGGAGATAGAGTGTAGAAGGATGGTTACCAGAGGCTAGGAAGGGTAGTGAGAGATGGTGGTGGAGATGATTAATGCGTACAAAAGATAGAAATAATGAATAAGACCAATATTTGATAGCACACCAGAATGACTATGGGAATAATAATTTAATCGTACATTTTAAAATAACAAAGAGTATAATTGGATTGTTTGTAAATGCTTGAGGCGATGGATACCCCATTTTCTGTGATGTGATAATTGCGCGTTGCATGCCTATATCAAAACATGTACCTCATAAATATATACACCTACTATGTACCCACAAAAATTAAAAATTAAAGAAGTAAAAAATTCAAAAAAATCCCAAAGCCATGGTGATGTCAAGTGATGTTGAGTTTGTGACCACAGTTTCATCACTGCTATGCCCAAAGAAGGGAACTTTTCCTTTTTCTCTGGGTTTTGAAACGCTTTGTAGTTATAGTGAAGTAAACTCTTTGTTCTCCATCCCTGACATTAAAACAGTAAAGAAAAATATGCTTTGGTGCTAATCTTTGGGTTGATCTTTTAAATATCTCTCTAATTGAAGTAAGAAGGGTATTAACCCTGGGGAAAATGTCATGGACAACAAAATATTCTTGGCTTTGCAGTTCACAGGATGTGTTGGTACCAATTATAGCATTTTTTTCCCCAACAGAGTCGAATGTAGTGGAAGCCAAAGGACCCTACCAACTCAATGTGCTTTTTCAACACATTAACTGAGCCAGTAGAATTCATTTCAAGTTCATTTCTGCATGGATCATTTACAGTGTTAATTTGTGGGTTTGGATGATGACTGCTTTTTTTTTTTTTTTTTGCTTCACACTTACTGGTCACAAAATGAGTTAGTTAATTTTGTCACTTAATGGTTGCTATACTTTTCTTCTTTCTTAAGTAATGACTGTTTTTTTTGTCATCATTTGCTGGACTAGATCAGGTCTCCCTCTATGATTTTTTTAAAGACCTTGGTGCACACAGCTGCTTTGGCAAGTCAGGAATCAAACTGACAGCCTATTGGAAGGCATACCCCATCACAAGTCTAAAGAGACACAGAGTGACAGTTCACAGACGCGGGTGCAAGGCCTGCCTCTCAATCTTCTTCAGCTGGCTAGGATCTTGGCTGATGCAGGGCGCCCATGCCAGACGGCAGAGAGCCTGAAGTAACAAAAACAGGCCCAGTGAGGTAATTAGGACTGACAGAATGTTTGTCTATCCACAGACTTCTTTGCAACAGGCAGCCAAATTTAATATATCCTATGAGAGTCTGAGCACATACGGTTTTTGCTCTGTCCCTGTTGAGATTCTTAAACTTTCATGATTATTATTTTGTTTATTTTTGCCACAGATTTCTCAATCTACTCTTTTTTTTGTGGATTTGTGACCCAAAGGGTGTCATGGCAATCATCTTGTTTTCTTTTCTCTTGTGTTAAAACTCATCATGAACCATGAAGCCAGGAAACACATGAGGAAATGCAGACTCAATTAGAGCTGAAGAGGCGAGAATGCTATTGGATGTCTTTGAGGGGTTATTCACAATCAATGTTTTTAGCTGCTATTATTGCTGTACCTGCTGCTAAATGAGAAGGGCAGCCTTCAAACTGGTTCAGGTTCTTCAAAGTGTGCAGTTAGCTGGGGACATAGAACCTAATCAAAAATGAGGTGATCAGATCTCAAAAATAAAGGGCAAGTATGATTTTTCAAGATGAATGGCCTGGGTAAAGGACAATGCTATTTCTACCAGTAACAAGAGGCAGGCCATATGGTATTCACTCTGTTTATCCTTTCCCCATCTTCACTATGAAAAGGTAATTTAGATTTTAGTAAATTTCCAGAAATACAAACTTACTGGGCCACCCAGGTATTATTATAATTTTTTTTTAGTAAGTTCAGGGTTATTTTTACCCATCAAAATAATGTAGGGTTAGAATCTAGCATATGATCTTAAATGGCCAGGAATATGGAGCTCAGGCAGAACTGGAATCTGATTTATTTCAAAAGCAGAGGGGTCTGTAGTAGTGGAATTATTTTTTCTTAGTTCTATTGATAACAACATTTATGCCAGAAAAAAATAATGTATCTGCCATAAACATGTGGCAAATAAACTCGGAATAGTGAGAGAAGGGTTGGGGGATCCATCTGGCACTTAGCGGATGTTCATGCATAAAAGTGGCTGTATAGATCTAAAACTCTTCATAGTGGTTTATTCAACAGCCATTTCTTTTACCTCTTTTCACAGTAAGTTAATTTGGTTCAGCAATCAGATGGCCATGTCACCAGGAGAGGCTAGCCCCTTCCACATCCCCAGGGAGGGAATTTTGATAAATCTAACCCTGTCATGATAAGCCCATCCACCTTGCCACTGTTCAGTTTAGAAATAGTGCACATGATATTGTCCTGGACAATGAGTACATATCTGTTGCAGAGGCTTGGGAGAAAGATTTTTTAATCTTTAAAATAGTCTCAGGAGAAAGTTTAGTTGCTTAGCTGTCTCTAGTTAAATTAGGGTGAGGAGAAGATGCTGGACCTTCTGAATCTATCCTGTAATTATGAGAAGGAAGTAGAGGACCAAGACAGCATGTTGAAGATGGCAGAGTAGACAAGCAAAATATGGCTGATAACTTGAGGATGTTACTGCAGAAGCAAAATAACCAACCCCACAACCACTCTGCCTCCCAGCTTCTTGTGACATCAGAAAACAAATTTCCTGATTTTTTAAACTGATACTTAGTTGGGTTTTCTTCATCTTTTTTTCTTTTTTTTTTTTTTTTTGCCAAAAATGATGCAAATATTGCTAGAGATAAATTATGTATTCCACAGTTAAAATCAAATCAGAAACCCACAAATATAATCACTAGTCTGTTTTCTTAAAGTTAATTAATTCATTTGACACGGGTCTAGAGATATTCACTCATTCATGAATTCATTCAGTAAACAGTTATTGAGCCTTTATTTGAGCCAAGAACTGAGGATAGAGTTATAAACCAAATCAATATTGTTGTTCCTTTCATGGAATTTATAATCTAGCAAGAAGTAAAGATGTTGAACAGGTGTAGTTAGAGCAAAATACCTTGTGGGTTCAATGATGACTTGATCTGCAGCATTAGCATCTAGCATTTCAGGATGCACACTCAGCCAAAGCGGTTACAGCCACAGCTAAAGGTCAGAGAGAATCTGGCTTCCCCGTAATAGTGCTGCAGTGATTGCTGGGCTTCGCAGATGGAGCTATGGGGTGATGAGACTGGTCACTAGGTATGCAGTTTCGTACTTTCTTCTGTCCAGTTTACTAATTTACAGCACTTTCTTTCATGTGCCATTTTTGCCCTTTGGACTGGTTAATTGGTGGTAAAACAACAAAAATCAAAATGTATTGATATAAAGATATAAATGCAATTCCCAGGAAACAGTATGTCAAGTACAGGAATATTTACCTCGAATTATTCCTAATTAGTATTTGGGAGAGACCATGAGCCAGATGTTAAGTAGTTACTGTTCTTCACTAGTCAGGCCTTTTTTTTTTTTTTTTTTTTTTTTTTTGAAACTTTCCCACTCATGGCCTCTTATTCCAGTCTGCATATATTTATTGAAATTTTGCTATGCCCTGGGAATGCAATGAATAAACCAGACACAAACATAGAAGTCTCCTTTTTATTCTCAAAGAGTTTAATTTTAAATTAAGAGCACAGGTTTGGGAGATAGCAGATTTTGAATACTGGCTCTGCCACTGACTAATTGTGAGGTCTCAGGTAAGTCAAGAGATCCATTTGACTTTAGACTCTTTTTATGTAAAATTACCAATAATTATAGTACCCATCACATAGGTGTTTATGGGGATTCCATGAGATAATGCAGGCAAAGCATTTAGCTGAGTATCTGGCACATGACAATTTTTCAGTAAACGCAGTAAACGGTAGCCCTACTCAGAGCTTAAATATGTGCACAAGCAACTATAACACAAGCTAGCAGGCAGTATGCACCGTAAGATGCAGAGGAAAAAATGCTGCTTGAATTCAGAGGAAGGAGCCTCTGAAAAGAGGATGGGGAGCCCCTTCAGGAAGGAGGTGCCATTTGACCTGGGTTATTCCAGTGCTGCTTTGACACTGGCTTTCCTTTCAGTAGTGGTTCACCTTCTGTGGGGGCCTACCCTCCAGGTTGTCAGGGGCAGGCTCAATCTCGATGAGGAGCAGGTCTTCTTTGTTTCCTGTTCACACCACTGACTCAAAGAAGTCACTCCCTGAAAACCAGCCCTTGGCACTGAGCAGAGATGGAAATATGACAGAGCAATCTATCCCCACTTAGTACTGAAGTAGTGAAAGTAGCAGTAGTAGTGACGTAGTGAAAAATATCACTTGTTTTCTCCTGGATTGCTCCACAGATAGTGCCAGATCCAAGCCTGTGATTTCGAAGAGCTATGTGATATGAGCTGTGTAATAGATTATTTTGTTTTTCTAGGCTTAATTCAATCATATTTAAATAGAGACACTGGACTACACAATCTACAGAGGAGACACTATGGCAAGGACTAAATGGAATGCAGTACATAATGTGCTTAGCACAGTGCTTTGAACATAGCGGTCACTCAGAGGGTATCATCTAAATATTTATAATAATAGGTTCTATAATACTATTGTATCAGCGTGCTAGCATTGCTAGGTTACAAGTTACCATAAACTTCATGGCCTTAAACAACACAAATTTGTCATCTTATGTTTTTGTAGATTAGAATATGGGTTTCAGGCCAGGTGTGGTGGCTCATGCCTGTAATCCCAGCACTTTGGGAAGCTGAGATGGGTGGATCACTTGAGGTCAGCAGTTCGAGACCAGCCTGGCCAACATAGCAAAACCCCGTCTCTATTAAAAATACAAAAATTTGCAGGGTGTGGTGGTGCAAGCCTGTAAACCCAGCTACTCTGGAGGCTGAGGCAGGAGAATCACTTGAACCCGGGAGGCAGAGGTTTGTCGTGAGCTGAGAATATGCCACGGCACTTCAGCCTGGGTGACAGAGCAAGACTCCGTTTCAAAAAATAAAAAATGAAAAATAAATAGAATACGGGTCTCAGAAGGCTATGACCATGGTGTTGATAGAGCCTGTGTTCCTTTATGGAGATTCTGGAGAAGGATCTGTTTCCCAGTTATTTGGGTTGTTGGCAGCATTCATTTTCTTGTGGTTGTGGAAAGAAAATCCCTTTGTCCTTGTGTGCTGTCAGCTGAGGGCCTTTCTCAGCTTTGAGGAGCCACCAGCATTCCTTGGATCTTTCATCCCTTGCTTCATCTTCAAAGCCAGCACCATGGGTTGAATTCTTTTGCTTCCAATCTCTCTTTCTTCTGTCTTGCCTCCTAACTCAGCCTAGAAAAGTTCTCCGCTTTTGAGGACTGATGAGATTGGACTGGATCCATCCAAATAATCCAAGACAGTCTCTCCATTCCAAAGTTTGTATTCTTAGTTACAGCCACAAGTCCCTTTGCCATGGAAGATGTCCAGTAGGGCAGGAACATCTTTGGGGAAGGGGCATTACTCTGCCTTCACACTGATCTTTTCACCTTAAGGGAAGCACTTTACGATGAGACCTTTTACTATTTCATCTTGGAGTACTCCTTTTCTATTTCATTTTTTATCCCCAGAGCATCCAACATTTTGACAGATCTTTGTTTCCATGCAGCAATCTTTATAGCTGACTTCTCTTTTCATGCATGAATGCCTTTTCTTTATTTCAACTTTTCCTTTCCTTTCCCTTCAAACCAATAATTTTCATACTTACCTAATCTGTGATTAGAGATATCATTTCCATATGTGTTATATTTAGCTTTTGTTTCTACTTTTCCTCCAATGGGTTTTGTTACTTGCCTTTTTTTTTCCATTTTCATTAGTGTGTGGCTTCTGCATTTTAGGCTCTTGAAAATAATCATTATTTTAAGTTATACAGAAATGGATTAAGAAGAAGAGAAGAAATTCAATAATTTAGGAAATGTTCTGCTTCCCAGCAATATATTTTATTTAAGTTTTCATTACACTTAATAGCTATTCATTGTAACAATTAATGCAACTCAAATGTGTAATCAAATATGTAACAAGTACTCCTCAACCTTAGCTAATCACATGCCCATGCAATGAAAGTTAACAGTTTGTGCATCCTGTGTATACTTCTACCCCTTTCTCGATGTAAATATAACTGTATACAAGTACAAAGACCTTTTTCTTTTTTTGCTGTAGTAGATTGTATTATATCCTTCCAAAATTCATATGTTGAAGTCTTAGCCCTCAGTACCACAGAATGTAAGCTTATTTGGAAATAGAATTGTAGATGTAATTAGTTAAGATGAGGTCACTAGGCTGGGCGCTAATTCAATATGGTTGTATCATTATATAAAGAGGAAATTAGGACACAGAGATGTACACTCAGAGAGACTGCTCTGTGAAGGTGAAGGCAGAGATTAGGGTGATACTTCTGTAAACCAAGGAATGCCAAGCTTGCCAGCAGACCTCCAGAAGCCAGGCAAGAGGCATGGAACAGATCCTCTTTCACAGTCGTTAGAAGGAACAAACCCTGCTGACACCTTGGTCTTGGATTTATAGCCTCCAGAACTATGAGACAATGCATTTCTGTTGTTAAACCACTCCATTTGTGGTACCTTGTTAAGGTAGCCCTAGCAGACTAATATATCTGCTTTCCAAATATAGGGTTATATTGTAGAAATTGTCTTGTGATATGTGTTGTTCACTTTAACACGTCATGAGCATCTCTTTAGATCATGTATTTTAAACAAGGGGATTGCCATGCTGTGAACAGGAAGGTGGAATGTGGAGCTGGAGCTGCTCAAGGCCCCCTTCCTTGGAACAGGCTGGGTCTGGGAAGCTGTAGAAGTCATGGAGTAGTTCTGGCTATGGGATGTGACCAACATGGGTGCTGGCATGGTGGGCAGGGACTCAGGGCAGCTCTTCACTGTGTAACTCCTGGAGGCCCCTCAGGTACCAGCATGCACAGAGCTTTGCTGTAGGAGAAAAAACATTTTCTCCCTCACAGTCTGTGTGATATAAATAACATAAGCACTGGCTGAATAGCTAGGTCCCTGTTAAGTTTTTAGGAAAAACAACTTCAAACTAATAAGCAATCACATTTCAAGAGTGGAGGAGTTTCCACAGTCTAGGAATTTCTTTGACTTTCTGGTACTTCACATAAAACCAGCCCACCATGGTAAGAATGCAACCCTCTCTCACACTGAGGGATTCTTGTTCTGCGGGAACCAACATCTGACGTAAGTGGCTATGGAGTTTAGCCCTGTGAACATTTTCGAGATGAGTGTCAGTTTGCAGGGATTAGGGTGAGGATGGTTTGTACTTTCAGGGGAAATGGCAATATCTATGTACAGTTTCCACTAACCATAGTTTCCATGGTGTCTAAATAAAGATCCAATTTTGAATGAATTCTAGGCAACAGCAAATTGAATAATATTCTCAGGGCATTTTAAATGCCTTCTAGGCCCAGCCTTCCCAAAGCTTAAAAAGTTCATATGGTAAGTCACATGCCAGGAATTTTCTACATATTCATGGCATTCTTGGAGTGATTTATTCATGAAATGGAGCAGCCATGGAAAGCTAGGCAGATGTTGCTTCTTTTTAAGGTCACTGGTCTGAAGCAGTGTACACTGTGTATGGAGATTGAAATAGGAAGGTTTATTTAGGGAAAAAACATATTTTGCTAGTCTATCAAGTAATATTTTATTTTTCCAAAAATGGTAAGAATTTGGTCCTATTGAATTATCAGCAAAACATAAGAATAGCTAAGATAGTCTGACATTGAGTTATATTTCTGAATTGACTGTTTATTTTGACACTTATGTCAACTCTATTTGCTTTTCAGCTTTAAATTTGTCTTTCAGGTTTTTAAAAGTCGCAAGTATACTTTTAAGCCATAATAATCACTTCATTAACAGAATGGGTCCATGACTAGTCAATCCTTTGTTTAAGATTTAAGGATATCTTCCAAACTATGGCATAAAACTCCTGTGATTATGTACGCTTGGCCATACGACTAGAATAAAATGCATTTAGATGATTATATTTCATTAAATCAATCTATAGACCAAAATCTAAATAACTCTATTTTTCCTTTTTTATTCCCTCAAAATATTGTGTATGGTAGACAATTCATTACATGAGGCTTTGTGATGCTTATAACTTCTGAACTATGGATCTGGTTTTCTGTAGGGATGGAGAGAAAGGTGATCTTTTAAGGAGACTGGTGCCAAGAAGCTAAGGGAACATTGGATGTGTCAGTGCCTGAGCCAAACTAAATCTTTTGCATTTTGTAAAGTTTGCTAACCCAGTTTGCAAAATCTGGGCTTATGTTAATTGTCTTTCTTACATCATCAACCTGTAATAATGGAAAAACAGAAAATAAGTAATAATTTGTGCAATGTTAGAGTAATTCTTATTTAATCTCTGTAATTATGTAACTATAGAATTTTTATTTCTTGGCTCACTTAGTCCATGGAGATGTTATTTCATGGCTAGAGGAAATTAAGAAAGGTTTTGGAGTAAGCACAATTTCAAGGAACCAATTTAACCATTTTGCGTGGTGCTTAGAATTTGAGAGTGACACATGAGCCATAAATTCAACTTGGGCTGATTAAACATCTGCTATTATGGGATAAACTCTGAAAGAAAAAAATAATTATTTCCATAGCTAAATATAGAGGTGAAGGAAGGTGTATGAGTGAAGTAGCATGATAGAAACTTTCAGGCAAAGGAATTCTATTTTGCCTTAGAAGAACCCAATAGTATAAAATCCATCATGAGAAAATTTGAGGTTGCCATGTAATTCAGTCTTCCATTTTCCCACAATATGTCATTCCCATTACTTGATCTGTGAAAGTGAAATGAGGCTGGAGTAGGAGAAAGTGGAGATACTTGGGTTTAATCATTTCTAAGATTACTAATATTCTCTGCTTTTATATTTAAGTACATTAAATGTGTTTTTTAGAATATTTGAGAGAATGTGTCCACAATAGCTTTTTCTTCCAGATCCACAAGCATTAAGTTAATATAGGCTAATGGCTATAATAAATAGCCCCAACCTTTAAATGGCTTAACATAAAAGAAGTTTATTTTTCTTTTGTTTCATAGTTCTATATGAATCAGTGTAGAGCTCTGCTCCATGTGGTCACTCAAGGACCCAGGGTCGTTCCCTTTTGTGGCTCCACCATTTGCTAGGTGCTCGTCTTCCTCTGCATTCAGCTGCACACATGGGGAGAGTGATGGAATGTGGAGAAGGCATATTCACTCTTAACTGCTGTGCCCTGGAGGTGATGCACTTCACTTCTACTTACATTGCATGGCCTGGAACTCAGTTCGATGATTTTCTCTAATTTCAAAAGAGGTAGGAATGTAGTCTGACAGTGGGACCAGAAGAAAATACTCTCTGCCACAATATGCAGTAATTTTCAAATAAATATAAACGAGTGAAAGGAACTTGATATTAAAGACAATATAAGATATATTTAATATTTAGGTTTTACAGTGCTTATTGTTATGAATATGAAGTCTGTACCATAGGTTCATTCATTTATTTATTCATCAAATATTTACTGAGTGCCTGCTGTGTGCCACTGTGCTAGGCACTGCTCCAGTGTGAGCCAGATGGTCATAGTTCCTGAATTCATCAAGCTAACAGTTTAATGGCAGAGACATATGCTAATTAATGTATGATTTCAAACTATCCAGATGCACTTTTGTGGTAGTTCTGGGTAGTACAATGCCACATGAAGAATGTTCTCTCGATTTCCCTTTAAATATCTTTGTCACTTCTCATCATAATTTCTCAGTTATTTAATTAATTTTGTATTTCTCTATTACCATTTCTTCCATTTCTCCAGACTCAGTCATTTTCAGAGTATGTAGTAGATGATTGTCATTCCCTAGGGATTATTAGTGGAAATGGAGGGTTGTCTTTACTTGGAGTTGAGTTTGAGCCAGTTGTGTCATTTTATACCCTTTGATAAGTATTTTTAAATGAAAATCCTTTTATTTTAATCCCTTTATAACTCTTACTGTGAACATATAAAAAATGTTCTATTCTGTAACTTGGGCCTCTTCTTGCACAAAACAACCTTAAGAGGTGAATAACTCAAACTGCTGGGACAGCCTACTGGTGATTCTGGCAGAACAAAGCCTGTCTGGGAACGGGCCAGTCAGCTTCCTACCCTAGCACAGGTGCTAAGAAGCCTCACATGACTGCGTCCACCCTAGACACAACCCGCCACAACTGCTTTAGGTGAGGTTTTCTCAAGGAATGCCCCAGCGTGAGAAGGGATTCAAGGGCATTTTTCCACAGCCCATAACTCTACTGTCTGATTTCACTATTAGAACAGGGAAGGTTGTATTAGTCCAGTTAGGTATACAAGTTTGGGAATGGGTTAGCAGTTTGGTTGTCTGGTGCCTTTTATTTTTGGAGGTACCCAGATATGAGGAGACATCCCCAGGTAACTATATAATAAGGGAAAGATTGCCTTTTCTCATAGACTCTTTCTGAATGTGTCCAGTCTCCCCAGGGTGGAGGGGCTTGGAATGGGGGTGGGGGCAGCTGTGATGTTGAGTTCAAAATTAATCGATTCTCTCTTGAGGTCCCAGCAGCCTGGAGGCAAAATTGGAATCTACGAAGATTGCTAGAGAATCTTCTCTCTGGGACCAAATGAGAAACTAAATTTACAATAATCCTTTAAGAAGAAAAATAATCCCAAGGGCCTTTGATCCTTGCTGTGTACAATTGGAATCACCATAGAATAAAAAAATCTTAAATATGAAGAATTCAGTGACCTCAAACTTTGCTGATGTTCACAGCTGACACTGAATTCAAACAAAATAAGCAAACCTTAGAAAAAAGAAGCCCTCTGCAAAAATGACCTTAAGATGGTGGTGAACTCCCCTTTTTCAGAAAAGCCAGAAATGAATGAAACTATAGCTTAACTATTAACATTTCATCATGAGCTTTGTCTCTTTGACATATGGGAATTATCATTTATGAAAAGATGCCCATCTGTAAGGAATGAGATAGACTATCTGTGGAATATTAAAGGTGATAAGACTATGTCTGGTATTAATTGAAACATTTTTGGGCTACATCTCATCTCCAGAGAAATAACTTTTTTCTGTAGCTTCGAGAGTTGCAGCTTACTTTTATTACATTTATAGGCACATACACACGCACAGACACACACACTATATTTAAGTGAGGGAAATGGGAATTCTAGTACCTGGGATGTTTAAAAGATGTTTCCAATAAAAAGTTTAAATTCCTTGGATGTTTCTTAGGTATTTTGGGAAAAATCAATCACGTGGTAAATGGCTTCATATTGGAATAATATAATGGTTGTCAACTTGCAACTACTTCTGTCAAAAATTAAATGATAAACGTTTTCCATTGGAATTTTTTTGTTGCAAGGGATTTTTTTATTTTCTTTTTGTGAAGAAGAGCCTTTCTAAAATCTAAAGTAAAATTCAGAATAAAATCTTTCTGAGTGTGAAGAGACTAAATTTTATTTGGTATAAATATGGTTGCTGTTTTTGTTTAAACAAGACTGTTAAAATCTATGTTTGTCCAGTATTTCTGGGGCCCTAAAGTTGTGATTTTTGCTCAGATTATAGGTTATCATCATCATCACCAATTGGGACGTTAAAGGGGGGAAAATGGAGACGGCAATGCAGGTTTTGTTTTTTTTGATTTGTTTTCTTAACTTTTCCTTCAGCATAATTAATTCCTCTCTGGTTTCTTGAATGTTTTCTTTCTTTTTTTTTTTTTTGAAGCACATGTTATATGATTTTAAAATTTGTTAAAAAGTTTTGTTACTTAGATGACTTTGTAAAATTGTTTGCTATCACTATTCCTACTAGATGTATTATTTGTGGGTCTGTAGAAGATATTATGTAAACAAAAATCTGATATGGTCTATGATGTGTGTGTGTATGTAATGTGTGTTTGTGCATATGTATATGTGCATGTATGCATGTGCACGTGTGTGTGTGTGTGTGTGTGTGTGTGTGTGTGATTTCTGGTAGCTAAAGCCCAAAAGTGGAAAATTTAATTTTTATATTTATTGATATCCATTGGCTGTCAGGTGATGGCCAAGTCTTTTGAATTATAAACTTTTGTATGTAAGTTAAAAACATTTACAATAATCTATAGAGCTTTTTTTCAAATTGCTCAATATTTAGGTTTTCTGCTTGCTGGTTTAGTCAACAGAAAATCTAGTCAGAAAGGTCACGGAGGCTCCTGAAGTGGACCAAGGAACCTCTGTCATAAACCCTGAAGGTGAGTCCGCACATGAAACCTGCTCTTCCATCGGGCACTGAGTTTCCTCAGACTCAGGAAGGTGTCCATTTTCAGCCAGCCCCTTGAAGGAAGCAGTGCAGTGGACTCTGGCTTTAGAGCTGAAGGCCTGGTTTTGAGAATTGCATCAACATTTTTATTAATTGTATGTTTTAGAAAATGTACTTATTTTTATTTCTTTTCAATTGAATAAAACTTTCCATAAACCATAGATAATAACTTACTGCACAGAATTTTATTAGGAATGAGTGAAACAAAGGTGGTAAAAGTATGATAAAGTTCTCCAAATATGCTAGGTGGTGGTGGTGTTTTTTTGTTTGTTTTTTTTTTTTTTGTAATATCACCTCTTCCATTGGCCCTGTTTGGTTTCTATTCATTTACTCAGCAGAGATATATTGAATCCCTACCAGTGGCAGACCCTGAGCAGGTCCTGGGTTGTAGTGGCCACCCCCAACCCAGAGCTAATGGTCCAGTGGGAAATCTGACTGTAAAGAAACACATTAGCCAATACATAGTCATGCCTGGTGATAGAAGCTAAGGTGGAAAAGTGATCGGTTTTAGGAGAGAGTGTAATAGAGACTTAATTTGGATCATGAGTCAGGGAAGGCCTGTTTGAGGAACTGACATTGCATTTGATGTTGGATTATAAGGAAGCCTTGGGTGGATGAAGAGCAGGCAGAATGTCTTCTCAGTTGAGGAAACATTAAGTGCTATTACTCTGGGATGGAAAGCAAGTTTAAAAGGCTGAAGGGATACAGAAGCAGCCAGGCAGGAGTGGCTGAAGCATAGTGAATTGGAGGGGCCCGGGGGTTGAATGACAAAGGATAAATCTGCAAACACAGTCATAGTCTAGACCATATTAAAGGTTTGGGTTTTATTGCAAATTCAGTTGGAGGCCATTACAATATCTGGAGCAGGTGAGTGGCACAAGCCGATTTATGTTTAAAAGAGTATAAGCCCTAAATATAAGCCATATCAAGAGCCATGCTGTAATATAGATTATTTAGAAGCTTAATGACTCTTGTAGAAATATAGATGCTCATCATAAACATTCAAACAATTTATGAAAGTCCACAAAGGAAGGCAAAATTAATTGTGAATACCAGGCCGGGCACAACGGCACATGCCTGTAATCCCAGCACTTTGTGAGGCTGAGGTGGGTAGATGACTTGTGGCTAAGAGTTCGAGACCAGCCTGGTCAACATAGAGAAAACCAATCTCTACTAAAAATACAAAAATTAGCCAGGTGTGGTGGTACATGCCTGTAATCCCACCTACTTGGGAGGCTGAGGCAGGAGAATCTCTTGAACCCAGGAGGTGGAGACTGCAGTGAGCCAAGATCATGCACTGCACTCCCACCTGGGCAACACAGTGAGACTCTGTCTCAAAAAAAAAAAAATTGTGAATCCCATCATTCAGAGAAAATCACTCTTAACATTTGCACACATGCTTACAATTTTATATATATATATATTCAGATGATCAAAAAAATATTGTTTTATTCTCCAGTGACCTGAATAAAAACTTCACATATTGTGGTCTTATTTCCATGACAATAGTGAGACACATCAATATGTCTGATGGATGCTTAGCTGTGAATTACTCTAATTGGTTTAGTCAATTCCCTATTGATGACTTTCAGCTTTTTCCCATTTGTTGCTAATATACTGATGTGGTGAAGCATCCTTGTGAATCTTTTGTGCGTGGATATATTTCATATATGCAATTACCTAATTAAAGCAAATATCTAAAAGGGAAAATGCTGGATTATGGACTTTGTACATTTGAGGTTTTCATGCCTGTTGCCAGTCATCTGCAATTTACTTTAGGAAATCATGTGAAGAAGAATCAGAATTTTTTTCTTCTCTAGATGAAGAGTCAATTATCTTATTCACTGAAAAAGTAGGGTGCAATTTTAAAGCAACACAATTATCAATTTTACTCTTCGCAAATTTAAGACTTCTTTCTCTCATTCATTTTCCCTGTATACAGGCCCATTTCTCTCACTGGACTATAAACTCCTTGTAATCATAGTAATGTAAGCTTTTGGTCAATCCCAAACTCCTGTCCCAGCTTGGACTACTTGACAGTTGTACAACCAAAGGCAATGGATTATTACAGTGGCTGTCGTTTATCTTTAAAATACTTCAGCATAGACGATACCATGGATACCATGTGTGAATGAGCGTAAATTGGTTTTAATCCATGCCTAGTTAACATGTAAAATATCCTAATTCAGAGTACATGCCACCAGGGATGCTTAGTTAGCATGTGAAAAACTGTAGTCAGAATTTCACTTTCTGAAGGCGTTGGCTACAAGCCTTCAACTACCACTATCTCAATTCACATTAGAGTGTTTTCAATTAATATAGCACCGTAGAAATTCTATTTCATTGGTGAAACAGATAAACAGATTCTGTACTAGATATGTGGATTGGTATACTGTGAGACATGTGAGAGGCCTCTGGCACATTTACCCTCAATGCAGACTTAGAGGCACTCGGGTCCTCCAGTTCTTCTCTGTGCCTTCTGCTGTTGAGAATTTCTGATCCAAATCTGATGAAAATAGAAGCTCAGTTGAATCCAGCTTCTGTGATATTGCCTTACTAGTCTGGAGTGGCTTTTTCATGCAAAGCCCTCTCTTAATAGTCTAATGGGCCAGAGGTGGGACAAGATCAATCTTCCAAAAATAGGTTTTACAATGGTTTCTGTAGACACTTGGTAATAACTGTTTGGAAGGATTGCTGAATATGGTCTGAGACTTGCTTTCTTTGTACCATACAGTAACCTGGAACAAGATATCTACCAGAAAGAATCTGCCAGCTGTACAGATCAATTCACAATGCTGGGAATACCTTGGAAGTCACTTTCTTTCTCTCTTTTTATGGAAGCATTCAGCCAGGGGACCTTCAGCTACTCAAAACTGCTGAGCTGCCTTGTAGCCTTGGGCAGGCAGTTGGCTGAATTGAGGTTGGTCACAGAACTCTCCCTGTGCTCCATTCTTCTTAAAATAAAAAGCTCATACCAAAAATCATGGCAGGTATGCAAATATTACTACAGTTTTCATGGGGAGATGTGATTGTCAAGTCACAGGCAGAGCTTAAGCAAGCTTCCCTTTAAACACCGTTCTCTCTCGCCAGTCTTGTCTCCACCCTCTCTCTTCCCTTTCTCATTTTCCATTTACTGTTTGATTTTCTTTCCACTTTCCTATTTTTATAAGGCCTCAAAAATCCCATTTATTTATGGTCCACACCCTTGCAGTGAAACTAAATTGTTGCTCATAAATGCCCATTGGCACCATGGAACTATTCTTGTATAAAAGAGGAGAACTGGAGTTATTTCATTATTTCCCCTCAGGCAAGAAATTTCAGAACTATAGAGCATTCATTCCGCACGCAGGGCATGTTTTGCCCAGAATTTTGCTTCATTGCTGCTCAGCCCACCATGAAGCCCCCTTATGTTGCCTCCTCACATCTTAGGGCAACTAAAGCCTGTTAGCAGTGTTGAAAACAGGGCAAAGGAAATATGTTCCAGGGAGGGGAAGTATTTCCCAGGCCGTAGAGTCTGCATTCCATTTCCTTGAGAGTGGTGTCAGCAAACAATTCAGAGTGTGAAAAAGACATTTTGTATCATGTTTACAGGGCCCTTGGATGCACTTTTTTAATTTTTTTTTATTTTTTATTTTTTTAGGGGTATGAGCTTAGCTGTCCTTAAGATCTTTTGATTAGCATGTGGAGACCAAGCCACTTTAGGCCCGGCCTAGTGCAGTCTGTAAAGAACTGACCATGGTACGAATATTCCCTCCTTGACTCCTGCGATATGCTTTAACATTTTAATTCCGTGCTTCTCATGCTCACAACAGTGACTTCTCATGAACAGTAGGCATCTCACGAAGTGCAGTATGGTTTGCACTTTAATTATAATAGCTACATTTCTTGACCACTTGGGTTCTTTTTGTTTCTCCTAACCTCACAAGTTGGATAATATGTAATGTGGGGAGGGTGTTTGTTCTAGTGGTTAAGGACACGGGGAAAGAATCCTGATTTTGCCACCCGCCCACTCTGTACCGTTTGATGATTGCAAACACTTCTAAATCTTAGTTGCCTCGTCTGTAGAATGGGTGTATTAACAATACTTACATTACAGGATGGTTGTGAAATACAAATTAGATAATATACATGAAACATATACATAATATAAATAAAGTGTCTGGTAAGTAATTCAATAAATGATAGTTATCATCATCTTCATCACTTAAAATGACAGAGTTGGGAAGTGGGATTCCTGGGATTCAAACCCAGACCTAACTTCTAAGCTTATGTATTTGGGATTGTGTTTTATGAGAAAGACAACAGTGAATCAGAGCTAACATTTCATTTTGAGCTCTAGAAAGACTTGCTGGGTACTGTCATAAGCACACAGACTTATTAACCTCTCTTGTAGTCATGACAACCCTATGAGATTGGTATAACTGTCATCATTTTCCACATTTGGAGATGGAGAAACTGAGGCCCAGGGAGGTTAAGTAGCTTGCTCAAGATTCCTGCTGCTAAGTGGCAGTAGCGAGCCACCACCTGCCTGGAGAATGCAGGCACTGAGCCACTTGCAGTGCTCTGCCACCTTTGTGAGTCCCATTCTTGGACCGGACACTTCATTGCTCAGAATTCTTTCCTGAAGTAGGGATGGTTTCCGTGCAGCATGGTGGAGTTCTTGCAGTGTGGGAGCCTGAGCCAAGTAAGCAGGCTTCAAAAGTTGGCAGGACGGTGTCCCAGGGTTCTCTTAGCAAACAGAAAGAATTTACCCTCCTGTTGGAAAAAAGAAAGATGGGGAATTCATGGAACACAAGTTGGGTCCAAAGCTGGTGGCCACTAGGGAAGGGAAATTTTGAGTAGAGTTATCTTGTCAATTAAGTGGATTTCTCCCTGACTTAGCTTGGGGCTAATGCCTGCATGGGAAGCAGGGACCATGTAAGACAACGAGATTAATAACTCACATTTATTACAGCTCTGTATGAGTCATCTTATATAATTATCATGACAAACATTGAAGTAGTTGTTATATTTGTACCCATTTATCAGATGGGAAATCTGAGGCACAGAAAAGTTTAAACTTGTGCCCGTGGTCACAGTTCTGGAGTGAGGGTCTTGACAGGCAGACTCCAAAGTGCTCTCCAATTCTGTGGATGTGATGATGGCACAGTGAAGCCACTCGGACCACAAAGCATCAGAGCAACCACGCCATGAGGGACATGACTTTTCCAAGCAAGCATTCCAAGGAATTTTCTGAAAGAGCCAGGAATTGACATGGAGGTGGGGAAGTTTTGCACATTCTGAGGTCTTATCAGTAAGAGAAATAACTAAATTAGCTGAATAAAGCTTTCCCTTTGTTTCTCTTCCATTCCAAGGTGGTGAGGCTTGAGGAAACATGATAGAGAGGAAATGATTTAGTCAGAGGTTGTACATGGAGAATCATACTTTTGTTTTCCTCAATAAGGCCATGCCATCAGTAGATGAAGCACTTTAAAGAGGGCACATCCTATATATCTTTCAACTTTCAGGGAGAAAATGTTTCTGAGAGTAGAAATTTCTTTTTTTTGTTTCGAGATAGAGTCTCGCTCTGTCGCCCAGGCTGGAGTGCAGTGGCGCGATCTCGGCTCACTGCAAGCTCTGCCTCCTGGGTTCACGCCATTCTCCTGCCTCAGCTTCCCGAGTAGCTGGAACTACAGGCACCAACCACCACATCTGGCTAATTTTTTTGTAGTTTTAGTAGAGACGGGGTTGAGTAGAAAAATTATAATGGGGATTCTGCTATCCTTTGGGAGGGAAATGGTAATAATTTAGTGATGTGGCTGGAAGGATCATGTTTCTTTTCTCTGAAGCATCATTCTGACTTAGGGGAGTTCTTAATTATTAAGATAATGCCAGACCAATAAACCAGCTAGCCCTAGTGTGGTCAATAATAATTCTATCAGAAAAGCTTGAAATCATTTGCTGTTTGTGATTTCATAGCAAATAAAACTTTTCCCATCAGGTGTTTTAAATAACATAGTTTGACTCCAAGGTCTGCATACAATGTTTTCTTTATGCTAAATTAGTTTGCTTAAGAAGTGTCCAAGATAGGTAAAGTGAAAAGCATTACTCCCAAGAATCAAACCAACACAACCACTTAAAACCTAATAAAAATGTATTTGACTAAGACAGGGAATAGAACCTCATTATTCTAGCAAAAGTTTAGTTTGTGTTTTATTTCACTTAGCTTCATCTTTCTGTGGACCATAAATAAGAAATGCCAAGTAATAAATACACTATACAAAATGCATTTTAATAATCCTAAAGGGCTTCATTACTGTGGTTACAACCTGCAGATGTAAATTATGGCTGATACTCTAGCCTTCATTTATCAACTTCAGAGGTTCTGTTTTTTCTGCTGTAAATGCTATAGGATTATGCTAACTATTTACAGAATAAATTAACTTGATGTAGCTAAATGGAATTTCATTGCTTTTAAATATCTAAAAGATAATATCAAAATCTTCAAGGAATATATCATAATACATAATTTTGTGTGGCTTTGGATTTTTTAAAACTGAAAACAATCCATACTGCAAGGTAATAAATTGGGAAGTTACCCAAGAGAAACCAAACAGCTGTTTTCAATAATGCAGGTAAATTCTAGTCATAGGAAAATCTCTATTACTGCCTGAGCTATTGGAAAAGTTTTGTGCATTAAACAGGCCTTGAGACTAGCAGAGAAATCCCTTATGCAATCTAGACCCAAACCACTGTTCTTTTTTTGTTTTGTTTTCTGGTCTTCATTTTTACCTTCCATTTCAGTGAATCTGGAATTTGGAATAGGTGGTGCATCAGAAAAAAAAAAAAAACTATATGCCACTGTGTATTTTTTTGTTTTTAATCTTTTAAATTATTTTGCTTTATTTATTTTTTTGTTATAACTAACACATAATATTTGTACATGTTTATGGGATACAGTGTGAGGTTTCAATATATGTATACATCATATACTGATCAAATCAGGGTAGTTGGCATGTCAATCACCTTAAATCTTTATCATTTCTTTGTGGTGATAGCTTTCAAGATCTATATTGAAATATACAATACGTTGTTATTAGCTGTAGCTACCCTACTGTGCAATAGAATACCCAAATTCATTCTTCCTAATTAACTGTAACTTTGTACTCATTGGCCAATCTCTATCCATCTTCCCCTCCTTCCTTCCCTTCCCAGCCTCTGGTAACCACTACTGTATTCACTACTTCTGTGAGATCAACTTTATTAGATTTCACATATGAGTGAGATCATGCATATTTGTCTTTCTGTACCTGGTTTATTTCATTTACATTATATCCTCCAGGTTCATCCATGTTGCTGCAAATGACAAGATTTTCTTCTATTTTTAGCAGAATAATATTTCATTGTGTATCTATACATTTTCTTTATTCATTCATCTGTTAGTGGACACTTAGATTGATTCTATCTCTTGGCTATTATTCATAATGCTACAATAAATGGGAGTGCAGTTATCTTTTTGACTTAACTAATTTCAATTCTTTTGAATATACACCCAGCAGTAGAATTGCTAGGTCATATGGTAGTTCTATTTTCAATTTTTGAGGAATCTCCATACTGTCTTCTGTAATAACTGTACTACTTTACATTCCTACCAACAGTGTATAAAAGCTCCATTTTCTCTTCATCTTCGCCAGCATTTGTGTGTGTGTGTGTGTGTGTGTATATATATACACATATATACATATATACATACATATATATACATATATACATATATACACATATATATACATATATACACATATATACACACATATACGTGTGTGTGTGTTGTGTGTGTGTGTGTATATATATATATATATATATATATTTTTTTTTTTTTTTTTTTTTTGAGACGGAGTCTCTGTCACCCAGGCTGGAGTGCAGTGGCGCGATCTCAGCTCACTGCAAGCTCCGCCTCCCGGGTTCACGCCATTCTCCTGCCTCAGCCTCCCGAGTAGCTGGGACTACAGGCGCCCGCCATCACACCCAGCTAATTTTTTGCATTTTTAGTAGAGACGGGGTTTCACCGTGTTAGCCAGGATGGTCTCGATCTCCTGACCTCGTGATCCGCTTGCCTCAGCCTCCCAAAGTGGGGGGGATTACAGGCGTGAGCCACCGTGCCCGGCCACATTTGTATATATATTTTTTTACCTTTTTGATAACAACCATTTTAACGGGAGAGGTAACATCTCACTGTGGTTTTGATTTGAATTTCCCTGGTAATTAGTGATGTTGAGCATTTTGTTATATACCTGCTGACTGTATGTCTTCTTTTGAAAAATGACTATTCAGATATTTTGCCTATTTTTAATTGGATTATTTGTTTATTTATTTGCTGTTGAGTTCCTTACATACCCTGGGTATTAACCCCTTGTCAGATGCATAGTTTACAAATACTTTCTCTCATCCTGTAGGTTCTCTTTGCTTTGTTGATTGTTTCCTAATCCCTACCAAAACACCAATGACATTCTTCACAGAAATAGAACAAACAATTCTAATATTTGTATGGCACACAACAGACTCCAAATAACCAAAGTAATCTTGAATAAAATGAGCAAAGCTGAAGGCATCAGGCATTACACTACCTGACTTCAAAATATACTACAAAGCTACGGTAACCAAAACAACCTGGTATTGGCAAAAAAATGACACATAGACCATGAATAGAGAGTCTAGAAATCCATGCATTTACAGCCAATCAATTTTTGACAAAGGTACCTCGACACATAGACCATGAATAGAGAGTCTAGAAATCCATGCATTTACAGCCAATCAATTTTTGACAAAGGTACCAAGGACACACACTGGGGGAAAGACAAGTTTCTTTAATAAATGGTGCTGGGAAAACTGTATATCCACATGGAGAAGAATGAAACTAGACCCTTATCTCTCTCCTTACACAAAATCAACTAAAAATGGTTTAAAGACTTAAATGTAAGATCATGAACTATAAAAATACTAGAAGAAAACACAGGGATAATACTTCATTGGTCTGGGCAAGGATTTTTTGGATAGGACCTCTAAAGCCCAGACAACAAAAGCAAAAATAAACAAACAGGATTATACTAAGCTAAAAAGCTTCTGCACTGCTGTATATTTTTACTAAAGTCTTGGCACTGATCTGGAGTGCCCCTTTGAAATCTCTACCCTCCTTCAAATCCTAAACCAAATGCTGCCTCTTCCATGAAGTGCTTAAACAGAGTAATTATTAGACCCTTTTCTGAATCCTTTCAAAGTGGTTTACTTAGATTCACATGTAACAGACATTATATAAACTTTTTATTTGTTATATCTGCATACAATTCTGATCTTCCAAATAAACTGTAATTTCTGTGAGGACAGAGATCTTCTTGTCTTATGCTCGTATGCATTTCCCAAATGGCTTAGCACAGTGCCTTATATGCATTGGAGATTCAATAAGTATTTGTCGACTGTACAGATGAGTGGCTTTCTAATGAACTAGTCTGATCCAGGAAATAATTTGTTTACCCTGCATAGGTCTTGATTTTGCTGCTTTAAATGCCCCCAGCTACTCATGGAGTAAAGAGAAATCCATGAGAAGTGAATTGCTGTGTGGTTTTGAAAGGATATTCTACAATATTCTTAGAATTGCATAATAATGTTTGTGACCCACATTTTCAGTATATGTTTTACTTCTGTCCTAAAAATATTACATATGTGTGTGTATGTGCGTGTAATTGTTTCTTAGTACAAAGTAGTGACATTTATATTCCCTATCCTCATCACACAGTATCCTGTTTCAACCAAGAGTACAGCTCAGTTCTTTTTCTGTCCACGATAGAAGAGTGGAGTTTTTTTTTATATAAATACAGAGCTACATTCTTATATCATGGTACTCAGTGCTTTTTCCAGCGAGACCATTTTTCTTTCCTAGAACACTGGCCATGTGCCACACTGATCCGAGGCCACCATTTTATTTATGAACCAGCTCAAAAGTTACTTCTGCCTAAATGCTTTTCCAGTCTGTTCACATATGTACCCAAAGTTCCTTCAGTATTTATGTAGGTCATGTACAGTATATTATTTCAATATTCATAAGTTTACTTGGTCATTCAGCAAATATTTACAACATTCAAGCCCTATATTAGTGAAGGTGAAGTTACAAAGATGCCTCAGACACATCATGTCTTCAATAAATGTATAGCTTAGAACGAAAGATTAAACACACCTGTGTGCCGAGGTAGTAGAGATGAGAACCACAAAAAGAGGTATAAATGAAACAATACAGTTACTCAGAGGAAAGAGAACCTAGTGTAAGCTGCATATTATTGGGTTGGGTTGTAATTTGAATGGGGCCTTAATGGGCAGGTGGAATTTGAGCATTTGTTAACTTATTGCTGTCTTATAAGTCATTGTAGACTAGAGAACAAATCTGTATGACTAGCATAAAGTCTTTGTAATTCCTCCAAAGAAAACCTACTCCACCAAGCATTTTTGAGAAATGAAAATTATACCAACAGTCACATAGCAGAGAAGGAGGTGGGTTTTACATTGCACATTCAAAGAGATTTCTTCAGTCCCACCAGCCCATCCTCTCTATTTCCCTTATTTCCTGTCTCTCTTACCCTGGAGGCAAGAGGTCCCTTCTCCTCAAGTGCTCCTTTCTGATGCACCCAGCCTTGCTGGCTCTAGCCTCTCTCCCTGCATCTGTCCTGCTGCTTTCCCATCTCCCCTTCTCACAAAGCACTACTGTTCTCCTTTAACTGCTCCTACCCACTACTTAATGCTACATTTGTCAAAGGTCATTATTATAAGAGTAAATATTTTATTGCACTCAACTGTTCTCAACATCCTCTCTCCTTAGAATTCAGTGAGATTATAAATAACACAATTTCTGGTTATCCTATAATTATTTTATGGGTGCATGTTCTGTCTCTCAATTGCATTTTAACTCTCTCAGGGGCCACATCTTCCAATTCTTTGGAAGCCCTCTCTTTCTTTTTTCATAATACCTGGCATGGTGCTACCTGCACAGGAGGCTGTGGAGAAGGAGAAGCAAAGCTCCTGTCACTGTACAGGGCCACAGTGCTTGGGCACTACTCTGCCAGGTGAATCAGTAGCTGAAAATAAGTGGTGCTTTTGCTACTGACATAATAGCTGGACACCAAGTCACCAGGAGTCGTGTTTGCTTCTATTGACTTAGGAGACCCTTAGAAGCTTCTTTTGGTATCTCAGACTACGTAACAAAGTTGAGTGAGATGTGATGCTCTGCATCCCCTGGGAATTATCATGAAGGAATGGGAGACTAAGGGAGGTGAGACAAGGACAAATTTATCTCTGTCCCTAAGATGTCAGCAACTGTTAGCCGTGCTAATATTTATTATGACAATTTGACTCTCCCACGTACAAAAGGAAAGCACTGTGGCAGATTCTATTCATTGACTCTAGTTGTGCATAATAAAACGTGACGCCCAAATATTTCCCCCATCTTTTTCAGAATTTATTTCCATATGTTTTATTTTACTGACATAATAAATGTGCATATGGTCTGTTCCCCTCTTTATGGCCTAATTGCTATAAATAGCCTAGAGCCCTTTCCACTGTACTGAACCATCATGTATTACAAGGTTGTTTATTCTTGTTTTCTGAAGAAGCACGTGGCATTAAAAATTCTGGAAATGAGAGTTTAGAATTCAATGAAAAGTATACTGTGAATATTCCCTATGCATAACATTGCAACATATTAAAAAATATATATTTAGCTGTAGTCACATAGGGAAAAGGAAATGTCCACCAGTTTATGTTCATTCCTGGATTAAAACATATACGAATGACAAAGACAAAATTAAAACCGTTTAAACTAGATGTATTACCCATGCTCAGAGGGAGCTACAGGAAATTCTCCTTAATGGCTGTTTATTCTTACATTTGTTTGGAATGTGGATGTAGGAGGGCCAAGGGCATCTCTAGGTCTTTAGCTTCCAGAAACAAACAAGCAAAGAAGAAAAAATTAAAAAGGAAAAGTGAGCAAGGGGACAGTGTTTGAGGGAAGGATTATTTAGGAGGATAATTTTTTGAAAAATGAACACAACACGCCCCTTTTAGTTAAAAGTCCCTGACTGTGTCCTGTGTCAGGCACATCTTAGATGCATCCCAGAATGCAGAACCAAAGGTTTCTTTGTGGTCATCAAGCACCACCAAAAACCAGGGATATGATGTGATTCATGAAGCTAATTATTGGCAAAGCTGAGTCTGATACTTATGCCTCTAACTGCTAATCCAGTGCTTTGTCAATCCTTGCTCTCCAACATCCATTGTAGCATTTCTGATGGCTGGAAGCCATATTTGGAGGATTATTTTTACAATAAAAGTTGTCATTTTTAGAAAGTTTTGTCGAGTAAATTTTGCCCACCTATATCCACTTAAATATTCTCACTCTGTCTGCTAAAACTTCATTGTCTGTTTTCTTCCTCTTTTATAGAAGAGCCATTGAGGTATTTATGTTGGAAGCAATGCCAGGATTGAGGTGCCATTGGATAGACTTTGGCCTGGGGATTTCAGGAATACCCCAGTCCAGCCTTGGACTGGACCCATCAGCTCTCCTCCCTGTAAAGTCTTCAGGAGATAAACAAGAAAATAGAACAGTGAGCTGCTTTATTATTAGCTTATTAGCTTTGCTTCTTGCCAAAACACTATTGAAAAGTTCTAGTAATTTGGTCCAAAGGCATAAGGAGACCTCACCCTTTCCAAGCCCTAAATCCAAATCTTACAACTAGTGAACAAAAGAGAGAGGAGGAGAGAGTGGCAGAGCATGAGCAAGGAAGGAGAACTGGGGCAGCAGTGCTGGAGGGCAGGATGGTGCTGGTTGTTTTACCGCTTAGGGCAGGATGCTGCTGGAAAGCCACCACAGAATGCAGAGAAAGAAGCCAGAGCTGGTTTTCTTGCATCTGCTTATGGGGAATTTCAGTTTTGATGGCAGGCAGGCATGAGGAACAACAAGCCCTATATGAGCAGTAACCCTTAACACTACAGTGTTGTTACCTTCCAGCAAATATGGCCCAGTCTGTGTTGTATTGTATTACTAGACAGTCTAGTGTTTTGCCTATGAACGAGAAGGACAGAGCAATATGTGCCAGAGAAATTGAGAACAGCCCCCACCTCTATTTTGAAGGTGGCCCTTTTTTCTTCCTTATGTTTTACATACTCTGTCTTAAGTACCCACAGTTATATGATCTTCACATCGTCTTTCAGCACTCTAGTCATCCTCTTCTGAATGGGCTTCCTTAGTGATTACTCCCCAGAACCCTGTGAGAATCTTCAGACATGGTCTGACTTAGAGGCTTTGAAAGTTTGTCAAGATCCAAATAAACCATATCTATGGAATTTCCTGACTTATTACTTAGTAATTTTATACAAACAGGAATAAAAATTCATTCACTCATGTATTCACTCACATTCATATGACACCTTGCTGGCTCTCCTGGCCTCCTCCCGGGAACTTCACTGTAGCTGGTGATTCCACCATCAACCATCCATTCCCCAGGCTAATAGCTGGGGATTTATCCTCAATCCATCCCTTTCTATGTTCTCTCCCATCCAGTCAGTTACCAGACTGGCCATGCTGCCTCCCATCTATCTGCTCTTATGATTGTTGTAGTAGCAGTCTTTATTATTTCTTGATTGGGTACCACAATAATTTCCTCATTGATTCTCTTCTTCACTGCTGCAAGTCTGGCCATTTCACCCTCCTACCCTTCTGTCGTTCCCCACTGTGGACAGGACACAGTTCAAGTTCCTTTTGCATATCTCTCCAGGACATCATCTAGCCTTGTGGGTGACCTTTTTCCTGACCTTTTCATGTTTTTTGCGAACAGCTTTTTTCCTGTCTTGGGCTTTCACATTCAGAACACTGCATGGCTTGTAACTCTCAGGAATTGGTAGTTTTCCTCCACCTCTGCAACTTCCATGTCTTTGCTTAATGATGTCCCTTGAGTGGGATATCATCCCCCACTTCCATTGTTGTGAGAATTAAATGAGGGAATACATGTGGAACACATTGAATAGGAGCTGGCATATCACACATGCTCAGAAACTGTTGGCTGTGAGAATGTAACCCACTGATTAAAGGGGCAGAAGCTGAAGCCAGACCAGCTGTTTTGGAATGCATAATTCACTTACCATCTCTTTGTCTTCATTGCCTCTTCTGTAGAAAGAGATAATAATTGTGCCTATCTCATAGGTTATGAAGATTAAGTAAAGTAATACATACAAAATACTTAGTCATGTCTAAGAAATAAATTCTCAATCAGTTACTATTATTAATCTTTGAGCTTTAGTTCAGGCAACATCACCTCTGCCTATTGCCCTTATTGGCTGAGTTGTTGTTAGGTGCCCTTCTTCAGTGCTTACATAGAACTCACTTCATTCATTCATTCATTCATTCAATAAATAAATATTTATAGAAAGCATACCTTCTGGTAAAAATGAAGACACAAATAAGACTACCTTCAAGGAAATCTCAATCTAATGAAGACCAACCCATTGATGTCATACAAGCAATATGACAAGTACAGTGATAGGAACAAAAGCCCAGAAACGTAATGACAAGAACAAGTAGTTACAAATGAGCACAAAAGTCCCCATTACTACTTTGTTTTGCCTGTCTTCTAGTTCAACAATAAGGATTAGAAAAGATCCTTTACTTCTGTTTCACTGTACTTTTCCAAGCAATCCTTTTAGGTCTGACTTTCCTTTTAGTTTCACCAATGGTCTTCATTTTGGTTTTCCTTTCAAGCTTGTGCTGTGTCCTACTGACAGGTCACAGACTCAAATATGAGGGTCAATAGATACTGAAAATGAGAGCAGCTAGTGTGGTGGAGACTGGGGCATGGCTGAACTCATGGCATGGCTGTTCGATACTGATTAGAGTGAGAATGTTTAAGAAGGTCTAGGCTGGGCACGGTGGCTCACGCCTATAATCCCAGCACTTTGGGAGGCTGTGGTGGGCGGATCATGAGGTTGGGAGTTGAAGACCAGCCTGACCAACATGGTGAAACGTCATCTCTACTAAAAATACAAAAATTAACCAGGTGTGGTGGTGCACGCCTATAATCCCAACTACTCAGGAGGCTTGAGGCAGGAGAATCACTTGAACCCAGGAGCAGAGGTTGCAGTGAACCGAGATTGTGACACTGCACTCCAGCCTGGGAGACAGAGCAAGACTCCGTCTCACCAAAAAAAAAAAAAAAAAAAAAAGTCTAAATCTCGGTGAAAACTTTCAATGTCCAAATGATAAAGGAAATTTCAGAAGAGTGGACTTCACTCCTTGCTTGCCTGTGTGATGTTGGATAAAGTGCCTGAATAACGTCTTCCCAAGAACTGTTATAATTCTGTGTTTAATGACGCTTGAAAAGTGGACTCTTTGGTTAGATTAGGGAATAATATCAGTGCTGTCAGAAAAGGCATTGCCCATTTGGGTTCCTCCTTTTTTTGATCACATATTGAGAGCCTTAAAAGAAAACTGAAAGTTGATTTGTGTCAGGTAATGCTAATGGATGCAGTGGTTCTATACTTGACACATTGTAGGCACTCCATAAATAGTTTCGAGTCCTAATGAAAAGCTCTTTAAGCTTCTGTAGAGCAAACAAAACTATCATTAGAGCAAATAGATAACCTACAGAATTGAGAGAAAAATTTTGCTATCTATCCATCTAAGGTCTAATATCCAGAATCTACAAGGAACTTAAGCAAATTTACAAGAAAAGAAACAACCCCATTAAAAAGTGGGCAAAGGATATGAACAGATACTTCTCAAAAAATGTCATACATGCAGCCAACAAACATGAAAAAAAGCTCAACATCACTGATCATTAGAGAAATGCAAATGAAAACCACAATGAGATACCGTCTCATGCCAGTCATAATGGTGATTATTAAAAAGTCAAGAAACAACAGATGCTGTTGAGCTTACAGAGAAATAAGAACACTTTTACACTGTTGGTGGGAATGTAAATTAGTTCTCAACCAGTGTGGCAATTTCTCAAAGATTTAGAACCAGAAGTACCATTTGACCCAGCAATCTCATTATTGGGTATATACCCAAAAGAATATAAACCATTCTATTATAAAGGTACATGTACGTGAATATTCATTGCAGCACTATTCACAATAGCAAAGACATGGAATCAACCCAAATGCCCATCAATGATAGACTGGATAAAGAAAATGTGGTATATATACACCATGGAATACTATGCAGCCATAAAAAGGAATGAGATCATGTCCTTTGCAGGGACATGGATGGAGCTGGAAGCCATTATCCTCAGCAAACGAATGCAGGAACAGAAAATCAAACACCACGTGTTTTCACTTATAAGTGGGAGCTGATCAATGAGAACACTTGGACACAGGGAGGGGAACAACACTCACTGGGGCCTGTCAGGGAAGGGCAAGGGAGGAGAACATTAGGGAAAAGAGCTAACGCATACTGGGCTGAACACCTAGGTGATAGGTCGTTAGGTGCAGCAAACCACCATGGCGCACATTTACCTATGTAACAAACATGCACATCCTGCACATGTACCCCGAAACTTAAAGAACAAAAATAGAAATTAAAATTTTTTAAAAAGAGGAAAGTTCTTTAAATTGCTTTGCCAAGGCAATAATAATTAATACTCATAATGCAAACTGAGGAACTGACTCACTCTTCTGAATCATCGAAAAGATTTAATTATATTTTATTATTTGTATGATATTGTATTTTTTGGAAACTAGAAATAATTGTTCAGTAATTTTTCTGTCTATTGCATCTAATATTTGATCCATGAAAGCATGCTTTTCCCCATCCTGTATCATAAAAATCATCATGATTGTAATCATCGTCTTCATCATCATCATCATCATAGCTTTTATGACATAGAATTTCACAATTTCAAAGATCTGTTTTGTATTATCTAATTTGATTTTTCATATTCCCCTTCTGAAGTAAACTGGAGGGATACATTCTCTAAGAGTTCATTTTCTTTCTTGTAAAATGGGCATATTCAAACTTATGTGGATGTTAGAGTAAACTGCATGTGGCCCCTGCCAACCCTTTGATGGTCAGGTCATTTTTTACAATGCCCGTTATATTAGTTTGCTGTGGCTGCTGTAACAATTTACCACAAACCAGGTGGCTTAAAATAACAGGAATTTATTCTCTCACAGTTTGGGAGCCCAGAAGTCTGAAGTTTAGAGTGTTGGCAGGGCTGTGCTCCCTCCAGAGGCTCCAAGGGAGATTGCATTCTTTGTTTCTTCCAGTTTCTGGTGGCTGTCAGCCTTCCTTGGCTTGTGTCTCACTCCAGCCTCCTCCTCCATGGTCACATTGCCTCCTCCTCTTGTCTGCGTGTCTCTCCTTGTGTGTTATAACAACACTTGCTTTTAGATTTATAGCCTACTCAGATAACCTAGAATGATCTCCTCATCTTGAGATCCTTCATTGCATCTGCAAAGACCCTTTTTTCACACAAGGTCACATCCACAGGTTCCAGTGATGAGGATTGTGGGCATATATTCGGGGGTGGGGGGCAGATTTTTCCCTCTGCCACACAGATCTTAGGTGATTTGCATGGGGCTTATGTGCAGTAACAGATCTCTGATGCAGGCGTCTACGTTCACTCCACAACTGTGCCCCTGATTTTTCTGACTTTAACTTTTTTTGTGTGTATATAAGTGATTTTCCAAGGTCACAAGACAGTGAAACCAGACCTTTGGTGTTTTTAATTTTGGGATCCAATGCTCTTTCCAGTAACCACATTGTTAACACGATTTACTCTAAGAACAAAATAGGACATTTGAAAGGTCTGCCTGCGCTGAGAGTAATATTCCTCATTGGAACTGTGATGATCCATGTTTAGCCTCTGGAAATAGTGAACAGCTGAATGGGTGCAGAGTAGTTGACTAAGAGCTTTGGACTGAACTCTATAGCCAGGCTGCTTGGGTTCAAGTTCCACTTCTTCCATTTGTTAGCATGTGACCTTAGACAACATAGTTTACCTCTGCATTCTCATCCATGAAAAGAGCTTGATACCAACAACAGCAACAGACTGCTGATTATTAAGTGACATATGTAAGAATGTCTGGTCTGAGGAAGTGTAAGCACTAGCTTCTGTCATTATTATCATCACTGTCACTATTTGTATTGCTTTTTGTCATATGAGTGTGTAATAGGAAATAGTCTGGTCTTTGAAAGTAAGGTTTTCTGTCACTTAGTGAAGAACATGCAAAGTAGAAGTTCATGAAGGGGCTGATCATTCAGTTAAAGAAAACTCAAGAAACTTAAACAAAGCCAGTGGGTGCCAAAGAAAGGATTCTGGAAATAAAAATGTCACTTACTGTTAAAAAGGCTTAGAAATGGAGCTGCTTTTTCACTACTGAATAATAAACTATCAAATTTTGCTACTGGCTGCCTGCCCTGATCAAAGATTTGGAAAAGTGTGGTAAAGACAGCTGGTTGTTAAATAAAACTATTTACAAATCCTTTAGTTTTCCCTTACATAGACACATATGTGGCTTTTACCTGACAGAACCTCGGAGGTGATTCCCCCCTCCTCACCTTTTTGATTCACTGTAGAAATCAAACAAAAATGTTAGTAGGGCAGCGAGGCAGGAGAATGTCAGTTACCCGAATGGTGCCACAATGGAAGGAGTCATAAGGCTACAGCATTCAAAGAATCTGAAGCATTTAGCCAACTTAGAGGACCTGGTGGGAAGCTAATTCAGGATTTCCTTGCAGAGGGACCTTGTATAACAGGAATTATTTCATTGGCCGACTTTGTATTCATCTGAAGCCTGTTTATAGAGCAACCTAGAAACTTGCGCAGCCAGGCTGTAACAGAGCTTTGGGAGGACGAAAGGGACTCACAGGTTGCTGTGTGCTCTTGGAAAAGGTTTGTGACTCCAGGCTCTTGGCAGGGTTAAGTAATTTGTCTATGATCCACAGACAGTACAGGCCCACTTCGTTCTCTGCTAAGACCAAGAAATCTCTGAAAACACAGTTTTTTCATAACATATTTGGGGATAGAACCAGACCGGAATTGACACAAGGCTATTTAACGTTTTAGTGTGTGCATTAGTTTGCTGGAGCTGCCATAACAAAGCATCACAGACTGGGAGGCTGAAACAATAGAATTTCATTTTCTCACAGTTCTGGAGGCTAGAAGTCTGAGATCAAGGTGTTGAAAGGGTTGGTTTCTTCCGAGGTCTCTCCTTGGCTTGGAGATGGTCATCTTCTCCCTGTGTTTTTACTTGGTCTTCCCTCTTGCCTATCTGTGCCCTAATTTCATCTTCTTATAAGGATAGTAGTCATGTTGGATTAGGGCCTATGCTAATGTTCTCATTTTGACTTAATTACCTCTTTAAAAACTGTTTATTAAACCAATCACATTCTAGGTACTAGGGGTAAGCACTTCAACATGGGAATTTTGAGAGGACACATTTCAGCCACAAAAATGTGAATAATAATGTGTTTCTTGCAGAGATATTGCCTAGTTTGATTATGGGGTGTGGCTCCTGACCCCACTGGAAGTGTGGTTTTTAATATGTTATATGTACTCTACTATAATAGCTTTCTAATGTGCCCCCAATTCTGAACTTCATGATATATCTTGCCACAAAGGTTTCACAAAAGGAGCTGTGGACCTATAACAGTTACAGCTGAGATTCCACCTGAGGCCAGGCCTCTGCTCTTACCCACAGAGCTAGACCATAAAATGATGAGATGCAGTGAATGGTCCCCAAGGTCCTCCCAAGTATTAAAATGCCATTAATTCTATGACAATGAGCAGAGATGATTTAAAAATAAATTTTTATCTCTAAAAAATTGCTGGCATTCAAGACCAATTCTTCTAAATGAGCACATCTACTTGGATGACCTGCAAGACAACACTGCATCATGCTGCCACAGAAGATGACTCGAGGGCCGGGTGGGGTGGCTCACACCTGTAATCCCAGCACTTTGGGGAGGCCCAGGCAGGTCAATCACCCGAGGTCAGGAGTTCAAGATCATCCTGGCCAACATGGTGAAACCCCGTCTCTACTAAAAATACAAAAATTAGCTCGGCATGGTGGTGGGCTTCTGTAATCCCAGCTACTTGGGAGGCTGAGACAAGAGAATCACTTGAACCCAGGAGGTGGAGTTTGCAGTGAGCCGAGATTGCACCATTGCACTCCAGCCTGGGCAACAAGAGTGAAACTCCATCTCAAAAAAAAAAAAAAAGAAAGAAAGAAAAATGGCTTAAGCTATTTGGGCATGAAATTCTGGAGTTCAGAGTGCCTAGAGGGTAGTCTAGAAGGGTGGAGTGGGCACCTACCCAAAGAGATCATAATGTTCTCTTGCTCTGTGAGGAGGGGTCAGGCTGGAGGAGGGCCAGAATGGAGCCTTCCAGAGCACAGGCCAAAAGTAGCATTGTCTGACAGCTAGGCATTTTAGGGGTTGCATGAGGAAGACAGAACCAAAGAATTCCCATCAGACAAGAAATAGGTTGAATTGTAAATCTTATGGGGCATGGAGTGCTGTTTTCCCTTTTTTTGTTCTTACATATGGAGAACTTTTTGCTCTTGAGGACCAGTCCTCAGGAGACAGGAGAGGGGAAAAATTCTGTTGTTTCCAAGTCAACATACAATTCAAAATAAAACAGAAGAAGCTCTTAAGATTTATTTTAGTAAACTTTGAAGAGCTGGTTAATGCCATGTGAGGTCTGAAGGTTTTAGATTTTGGAGGGTAAACGCTTTGCTTTTTAAAATAGTAATTGCCATTTATGGGGCATTAGACTTTGAAAGTATGTTTTGAAGCCAAATGTTTCATTAAAAATAAAATCTAAGAAGGAATACCTAAAGAGAATGTTGCTTACTTTTATTTGATGCCTTTCCACAAACTGAGATAAAAGAAATATTTCCCCCAGTTCTGAAAAGATTTCTATTTTGTAAGAGGTTTAGTGGTTTCACTCTGTTAGGAATTTTTAGAGACTCTCCAAACACATGGTCAGATAGGTTACAGGAGGCCGTCATGTGAAGGACTTTGGGTCGTATAATAAAATTTGTTATTATCTATTCTGATGGCCGTCTTCTCTGGGTTTTGAGTTTCCCTGGGCCAGTGGGCAGTACCTGGTGATTGGGAACACAACCGCCAAATTTCCCAGATCAAGGCTAAAGACCATGGAGGGTCTGAGCAAGTGAACTTACTTGGTCTCCAGAGTGGGTATGTGATGTTGTGCTGGGTGAGAACCAGGAATCCAGTTTCAAAGATTATTGTGGATGATGCCCAACTCTTGGTTAAGGTCATTTTTGCTTCTATTTGATAGATCAAGCCTACAGATAGTGCAAAGGGGGTATGTGTGAATGAGAATATGAGTGAGTGGACAACCCCCTTAGTCATGAAGACATACTCAGGACTCAGGAGTCAACACAGAGGAATCTGTCATGTAAGAAAAGCCCAGAACAAAGAGTTAGCAGCAGTTTATGCCACATCAATAATTTACTCTTTCTAGTAAAAATCTCTTCTGTGCCACACTTCTATATTCTATTTCTCATAGATTCATCAGGGCAGCAAGAGTGCTGGTCACCATACTTCCGGGAATCAAGGCAGGAACATAGGGTTGTGGTCCAGCCAATTCTACATGAGGTGGAGACAAAGCAAACATTTGGCCAGTGTGAATCTTGTTCAAAGAATGACTCCACGTATCCTTAGGCTTCTGTTTCTGACCTCATGGAGGCCTCCAGCAAACATCTGCCCTTCCAAGTCCTGCCACATACAAAGCTGACTTTGATTTTAGGGCAACCACATGCAAATCTCTGCAAGAGAGCAGTGGCTCATGTAGTTTCTCTGTGGCTCTTCTATTGTCCCTTTTTATAGCACATGGGGTTTGAGGTTGAATTGATCCATCCACGTTTCAAGGAGGGCACTTGTTACACCATGGGAATGTATATAAGCATGGCTCTTAACCCAGAAGATTTTCCATTCTCTAGTTGGTGACTTTAAAAGTAGTATTCAGCATCTGGATGGATGGGGCCAAAGTCTGTGATACAACCATCATGCAATTAAGCAGTCAAGATATACACTTTAAAACTGACATTATAGCGCTTTGTGGAATAAATATGGGACACATGAGTGGCAGACGATGAGTGATACAGAGGTTCCAGAGGGGAAGAGAGGACTGAGAGGAGTTGTCCAGGGAGGCACTTTGGAAATGTTGAGCTCTGAAATGGGCATTGAAAGTGGGCAGGAGGGCAGCCCAAGTTGGGGAAGGGGGCCCTCCTTGATAAACAGAACAGCATGAACCAAGGTGTGAAGCTGGAACAAACAGTGATTATTGGGGGCCAACGGTGGGCCAGCCAGACCGGGAAAGTCCTTATCATTAGAACTCTGTCGTGGTGAGTCTCCCTTCAGGCACGGTAATATACTGATGGTCTTTCTTTTGAAAGACTTTTGGGTAATTTTCTTTCTCCAAAATTCTTATAATCAGAAAACTGTGATCAGCAGGTTCTGGGCTATAACTGCTTCATCTGGCCTCAGAATCAGTCAACATTCATGCCTGCAGAGCAGGAGACTGGACCCTACTGACTCCAGTGCTTTTTGCACAATTTCTGCTGTAGCCTCTGATCCATGCCATGACCCGAGGGCTGCGTTTGGAAGGCAGCCATCCTCTTTTCCCCAGGAAAGATTCCTACAAACAGCCTGCTCCATATGGTAGAGAAAGAATGGGTGGGGAGGGAGAGAAGACTGGGCTAATTTCATCCTTTCATACAGCATTTTTTACATGCAATAACTTTTTCTACACACACACACACACACACACACACACAGACACACACACAAAGGTCATTGTGTTTAGGTTATTTGCCCTAAAAAGCACATTTCTTTGGTAATTTAAGTGGTAATTGGATTTATCTGAAGGCTGTGCAGTCACATGTTATCTGATCCCCAGTGTTTAATTGTGTGGGTGCAGTGAAGTCTCTTTGTGAAGAATAACTTTGCAGTTTCCCTTGGGAAGAAATGCATCCCTAAATGGGTTAATTCAACTCAGCTACATTATCTTTTTAATGTTGGAGTAAGCAACTTTGTCTTCTATGTCCTAAAAAGCTTCTTTCAAGAACATCACACATCTAAATAGCCTCCTAGATTTATTGTTTATTCAGCTGAAAAGCAAAACATTATTGGCAACAGAACAAACTCAAAACTAATGAAACAAGATTTTTTTTAATTGGTGGAAGATTTATCTAATTGGAGTATGTATCACAGCCCTCATACTTAAAGGGATATTGTAGAAAATGCTGCAAATCAAACATACAAAGAGAAAAAAATAAGTTTCCTGTAGGGTCAAAAATCCTTCTCACTGTGTATATGAATGCTGGTTCCCAGTGTCCTAGGGAGCTTTGCCTCTTAAATAACAACAGTGTTTATGCCTGAGCTATCTTGGAGTGGCAAAAATCAGTGTTTAATGAGGAAGCTTCTGCCTGGACACCTCAGGAGGCCACATCAGTCCACTTGAGCTGTCTTCGGTGGGATGGAGGAACACTCCCCAGATTAGTTTGAATATCAAAGGCTGGTCTACCTTATAAGAAATGAAAAATTTCTCTTGTGCCTGTAACCCCATATTTCTAGAATGGATGAAGTGTAGAGACTTGACCTTATGTGCACCTACTTCTTCCCCTTACCATTATTCAGAAACAGTGTTTGGCCATCAGGTCCTGTGCATTGGACCTCACTCACCTCCTTATCCAGAGGGAGTTCAAGGCTAAGAATTTCAGCAACACTCTTGCTATCACTTTTGATTTCCCTGACCCATTGACCACCTGCTATTCCCACCAGCTAAAAAGGACACTGGGAAACAGCAACACACAGAAGCTAATAGCTCTGCATTGTAATTTTGGATATTTTTATTCTCTTTTGTTTGCAGGCTGCTGACAATTCACAGAGTTAAGTCACAAAGCAAATCCCAGAGCTTAAATGAAAGTGTGTTAAATACATGGTCTGTCATGGGGTCTTCCGTGCTGCTGCACAGTACTTTGTCCCTCTCTTTTACACTCCTTCACACATTCTGCTGAGTCTTGATTCTAAAGTATCTCGTGGTCTGTGAGCTCTCTGAGCCTGGGCATCAACCTTTGACTCTAGAGGTGAATTGAGCCTTCTCTACCATTGTAAGTGAGGGACTTTCTTCTCTCTAATATTTCTCATCATCTTCACCCATTTTTTTGCTCTTGACTTCTAGTCCCTGGAAAAGAGGCATTACTCTACTTCCTTATTAGCCTCCTTAATCTCGTGCCTTTCTGCTTCTCCTGGGATCTTGCTCTGCTGCTTATTCCCTTTGCATTTTACATCAATAAAAGTATCTCCAGAACTATGGGACTCTTCTTTCCACCTGACAAATATGGTCATGTTCTCATTAACTAAAACCAAAAAATAAGTGAACAAACATCAAAGAAACGTGTCTGTCTGGACTCCTTGCCCCAGACACCACTTCTCTTGTTTTCTTTTGGTGACAAACATCTTAGTCTGTACCTGCTGTCTTCATCTCCTTAGCACCCATACACTCCCTGGGATCTGGCTCCCAACCTCAACATTCTGCTCAAACTCCCCTCTTGGTTACCGATATCTCATGGTCCACAACTCAAATGACCTCATCCTTGGTCTCATGTCATTACTCTCTC
The DNA here is from genome assembly GCF_000001405.40 of Homo sapiens. Taxonomy (NCBI): domain Eukaryota; kingdom Metazoa; phylum Chordata; class Mammalia; order Primates; family Hominidae; genus Homo; species Homo sapiens. The sequence continues at coordinate 149,722,819 of NC_000002.12, forward strand.
TGCCGTGTGATGCACAATGACCACCCACACCTTGAATTTTCAGGTGGATTTGGTGATGCTGTACGTTCCTTGTCCTCCTCTGGGTCTTCTGGTGACTGTTAACATTTGCCCTTTGGTCCTCTTTCTTCTTCCTAAATGAGGAAGCTCTTTCTTCTCTTTTTGGTCCTTCTTGTTTCTCTCCCTAGCCATAGTCTTTCTCTAAGTGATCATATCTATTCACATGAATTAACCACTTTTTGGAAAATGCCTCCAGATTCTGTGTCACAGTAATGACCTCTCTTAGACCTGCATTTCTGATTGTGTGCAACAGAGCTTCACTTGAAAGATGACCTGGGGCCTCAACTTCAAACTCAACTAAACTTGCTCTTTTCTCCCTATTACTACTTTAGTTCAGTCCTTCTTCACTGCTTATCAAGAATACAGCAGCACCTTCCTACCTGGTTGCTCTAATTCCCAGGTTACCTGCTCATAATTAACATATGTGGATACATTTATTAATGATAAATTTTCTTTCAAATTTTGGTTCTGTTTAGAAACTCTCAGTAACAACTTTTGCCTACTGAATTGAACCTAGTCAGAGCCTTGCTTTTAAGCCTTCTCTACAATCTGGACAGACTCTACATATTCCTTATGCTATAGACAAAACTGACAACTTATGGTTCTATGAATTGTCCTCTCTTGTCTCCATGTAAATAAACTGAGGTGAAAAATGGTAAATTTAACAAGTGGATAAGTAAATCTACCTTCATTAGTTGAGTTCATGAACCAAGAGATGATATATAACTCTAAACTATAGGTTAAAAAAAGTTGAGTGGGTAGGTACGTCTTTGTTATTATAACTTTTGTAACTTGCTTGTCTTTGATCATAATCATATTTCTTCTGTATATGTGGTCTCTGTCCAAAGAAAAAAGAAACAATACCATGAGCTTCTTGGAGACATCAATATGAACTTATTCTTCTTTATATCTTCCAAAACATGAAGAGCACACCAAATATTCTACATATATTCTACATTGAAAGGATACACAGATGGTTAAGAGTGGACACTGTGCATACTATCTTTTGAGAAAAAATGTCTACTATTTATCACACAAGACTGGTTTCCTGTTGTCAAATGAAAGTTTAGTGGTAAACATCTGAAAGCCTAGACAAATGGAAATTAAGCTGTTCCCAAATATATCCAGAGATTACAAGGCACTTTGTGATGCTTTTCCCATTTTATCTTCCAGCTTAATTTTCATCTGGAAGGCAATAGTCCACGAATGGCTCTAGCAAGTTGCAGATGCCAGCTGGGAGAATTTTGCCATTTATAGCATGAGCCATTAAGCTTTTTCACAAAATTTCCAAGTTTTTTTGAGGCTGGTGGTAACTGCAAGGATAATGCGTATTTTCTATGCCGAAAGATGTGAATTAATGAGGTAAAGGAAACATTTATCTCTTGCAAATGACCAGAGAAGTCTTGCCAAATCTCTTCAAGTTGTCTCTTTTCTCTTGGCATTTTCTTGGAAAGAGTACATCCCGGTAATCAGAATCGCATGTGATTAAAGAGACCTTTATGAACTGATGCAGCCTTACATAGCCACAATTAGTGGTGTGGGGATATTGGAAGTTGACATAGTCTTTGAAACACATCCAGAATGTATATTAAAATATGATAAATGAAAAATGTCCAACATCTAAACTTGGACTGTACATCCAATGCTAAGTCGTGTGTGTGTGTGTGCGTGTGCGTGTGTGTATGTGTGCGTGTTTGTCTTACATGTGAAATGGCGATTAAAATGTTGAAAATAAGGAAACATTCTAGAGAAAAGCCTATCCTAGTGAAAACTGACAGAGGCTGATATCTCTAAAGTAAAATTTTTGGGTGACTGTGGATGTGGACACTTAGTCTGGGTACTCCTTATTCTCTGAATAAGAAAGAGTAGAATTTCAGGGGTTTATGCTCTTTACTCTGGATGATTTCTACAGATGTTATTAGATAATAGACTTTACTTAGGATCCACATGAAGATTTCCTTATGCTCATTCTGTCTTCAACTTTTAACGCATTCATAACAAAGTGGAAACACTTTGCACCCTACTTCCTAGACCAAATAGTTCCTTATTCAGTTAAAGTAACTGACCTCTGGCCTAGAGGACTTGGACACAAATAGAACCCTTTAAGTGGATTGTTATGCAGTCTGTTTAGTACCGTCCCTCCCAAATAGCCAGAGCACGCTCATTCATTTTGGGGCTTGATTTTGCTTTTATTTGTTTTTTTTTTTGTTCTGTGTCAGATCTTCCCCTATCCTACTCTTGCCTTTCCTATTCTCCTTCTTTCCTTGTTTTTGATTATATAATTCTAGATGCCTAGAAGTTAATGTGACTGGTTAAATATTCTCTGCACAGAGCTTAGAGCTCTTTAGTGGAAAAGTGCTATGTATGTCATGCAAATAATGATAAGGAATCAAATTCCTCTCTGTGCTTTTGTGACTCTCTGGTAATAAGTTATGTAATAATGCACTAAATGATCAACTGGCAGCCTGGTTGGGTGAATGCGCTTCTTTAAGTGCCTTGAGAATGTGCTGGGAGTGGCTTAGATACTAAGAAGAATAAAACTCAATAATACATGTCAGCACTGATCCACTTGAGAATTAATGTCTTGAGAAATTTCAATGGAAAAAATGTAATTTCAAAGCCACAATGGCATTTGATTTGCATTCAAAGAGGGATACTATTCTGGTCTGGTTGCTCAGGGAGGGAGCACAAAGCTCAGAAAAGCTTTTACGTCCTTAATTTTTGTTCATTTCCCATTACCAGTGAATGCTTACTAAGTTCATGGCACTGCCTGCAAGAACAGCCAAATTAAGAGCAAGACTGGTCTGGTTGGTGTCTTTGAGATTTTTATGGCCCATAATTTCCAAAAATGTTCCTCAGCTAAGGAGTTCACTCAAATAGCTAGTATCCTAACCTATGTGTACAAAAAAAGCCTGCAGCCTGTCATGCATTGATAATCCCAAACCCCAACTCCAATACAATTCCTGGACACAAATTGTTTACAGTTGAGTTGAAGAAACCCATATGCTTGTTGTAAAACAATTGGTGAGCGTCATTGTCTATATCAAAGTTCAGGGAATAAATAACAGAAAAATTGGGGCAAGTAAGATCTGTACGGGCTGCAACTATCAGATGGAAGCCTCATGAGGACAGTAAGACCTGAGCTTGGTGTTTTGAAATAAAGAAGGACTCTGACTACAAGGAGCCAGTATGGTGTAGCAGAAAAAGAAGGGACTTTGGGAACAAATTGGCCAAGTTTGAATTTTGTCTGTCACCTCAGACTAGTTGCTAAACCTCTCTGCATCTCAGTTCTCTCCTGAGCAAACTCTGCTGAGATGCATAATAGGCACAGTGTAAGTCAGATTTAACAAGGTGGAGGGCATGGAGAAAAGGCAACTGAAGGAGCTGAGCAAAGGTGCAGAGCATGAGGGAATAAGTCTGTGGGGTAGCAGCATGGTCACTGATTGGAGATTGCAAAAGGTAATCTAGAGAGAAGTGCAAATAAGGTTAGATTATGGGAGGAAATAGAAAATGTGTAGGTCAGATACTTGAGTTATTTCAGTTAACCAGAAAATTGTGTTCACCAATGCACTCAGTTCTCTGGTGTGAGGGAATTTACTGTAAAATTTGGCACTCTCCTGGTTGTGCTTCAGGTCTTGGTTTTGGTGTCACCTCCAGCGAAGCCGTCCAGATTTTCTAAGGCTAGTCTGTGTATGTGCTCCTATTATGTTGCATTGCAATTGCTTTTCCCCATGACTATCTCCTACTCTAGACGGGTGTGTTTCTTGAGAGTGGCTCATACTGTGTCTGTTTTATTCACTGCTGTCTTCCCAGCACTTAGCACAGGACCTGGCACAGAGTAGGTGCTTACTAAATATTGGTAGATGGAAGAAAAGAGGAAAAAGGGAGAATGGAAGAAAGAGGGAGGGAAGAGAACTAATCAATAAGCTGCAAGAGAGAAGATTCTGGTCCAATGAAGACAAATGGTTTGAGAGATAGTTGGTGAGCGGGGAGTGAAAGCTGACCTACAAATTCCTGTCACTGGGTTTTGTTTGGAACAGGCAAATAATTTAACTTTCCAATACCTAATTGATTCAGAGTCAGTCTGCAGCTACTAGAAGTGCATTTTCCTTAAAAGCCCTGCTCCTCTCTTTTCTGCAGTTATTTTCAGTGCTTAAGTACAACTGCAAAAAGAAGTCAACAATAAAAATAGTCATTTCTTAAAAAGGGCAAGCAACCAGACAGGATCACTTTCAGAAATATCTGTTTTGCTAAGCCCCTACCTCTCAATTATACCATTTATCATTGATTCTAAGATGTACTTTTTTTCATATTTTAAACATCTCTGCAATCAGAATGCATTTTATAATCAATGCATATTGCAATTCTAAATGACTATTTTTTCTTTCCTCGTGGTCAATAAAATAGTGGTTTGTCTTTTAATCAATTCCATCTTGCATAAGATGAAGAAACCAAGGCCTCAGTTAATTTAGAGATTTGCCAAAGGTTATCCTAGAATTTGGAAATGGTGCTTATCTGGTACTGAAGGCCCTGATCTTACACTAAGATCATGGCTCTGCTCCTATGCTTCCTTCTCTTTCTTAAAAATTCCACACATCAAAATGGTATATACTTCACGGTAAAGTTGCTTTTCTCCCTCAGCTGCAATAAATAAACCAACTCCAACCCAGGACTGGGAAAAGACCACATGGGAAACCTGGAGAGTTAGAGTTTATATGACCAGTGTGAGATGCAGGAGCATCCACTCTTGATCTGAGTCCTGTGAAAGTTAACCAGAAGATGTTTGCCAGTGAATTGGTTCAAAGAGACTCTGTTCCACTCCTGTGAAACCAGGGGATGCAGCAGGGATGCCATGACAATACACATTTCCATCTTTGTTCTCCGGCCTCTTCTCAGCCCTGAGGGCCTGTATAATGAGACCTTGACTCGCCTGGACTGGATCGAATTTTTAAGTATTATATTGTTCAGTGACTATTTGGATTTTAATGCCATCATGCCCTGGGTGGCCTCGCCTGACAATCTGGAAGCCTGAGGGAAGTAAGTCTCTTTGTATTATGCATGCTTTGAGGGTCCCACTGTCAGGGAGCCCCTGCTCCAGATAACGAATGGGCAGATATAAGTCTCTGCAGGGAAGCAAAATTTTATATCCCAAGGTTTAGGTCAGGCTGTTCACAGTGAGTATCTTGCTGCAGAACACTCATTCAGTTTCATTTAGCTATTTCCCCCGTGTGTGTATTTTCCTGGTCTCACAAAGAATATTTCTCATTCCAGAAGTTTCCACACTCAAAGAACATTTGGCTTTTGTGCGCTTCTTGTCTGTTTATCTTTGTGCTTTCTTGTGGAATGTATTATGCTCTAATATATGTGAGGTGATGTCTAAGACAAGTCCTTAGAATTCACCTGGCATTTATCATTAGGATATTTTCATGGGGCCTTTATAAAACTCTTTGCTCACGTGGCTTTGAAAATATCACAATGGCTGTTTCTCTATGTTACTCTCTGATAGCAATCTGCGAATCTTACTCTCTGGCTGCATCTACACTGATGATATTATCTAATTCTCTGGTGAATTTAGTGATTTTCCCAGGATTAGACTTTATCTTTAGGTTTCTAGAAGAGAATTAAATTACTCATTGGGCAATCAATTAGTTTAAAAAGGAAAAACTAATTAGGGGCAGGATTTTGCAGACATTTCCCCCTCAAATAAAATGTTGGAGGGCAAAGGTCTCTAATAATAATAAAAAAAAGGATTGTTCATTAAGACTGTAATGATCTGCATATGTTTACTAAATAGTTTCTTTTCATAAGCAATAGTAACAGCTAACATTTGAACACTTCTTTGTGTAGGAAATAAATTGTTGGGGCTTTAGTCTCTGAATCAAAATGTAGAGAACTAAGTAAATGAGTGTATAGTCATAGATATTATACTAGATTCTCATTGATTTTTTTTTCTCTCTAGGTCTGATTTTTTTTCCACTGGGAAATTATTTTCATCAACTTCTCTCCTCATTAGAATGAAAATAACCAATATTTTACATGAGCTTCTGGTCATAGTCCAGGGGTTGTCAGAAGACTCAAGCTAGGTGTATCACAGTCCCTTACTTAGTAAATTTGGAATTGAGATCAAGAGATTCACTCTATTTCTTGCAATGTGTAAGCTAGGTGTCTGTTGGCCACCTTATTTTTTACTCATATGGCTGTCTGAAGGAGAGAGAACTATAGAGCTAGAAATGAATAAAGTCTATGTGTAAAGGGGGCAGAGAGGAGAGGTGGCAGGCTTTTCTGATGGTATCAGAGGCCCAGTTTTTGGGACCTCATAGTAATTCTATTATGTTTTTTGTTATTTAATCATGAATGAGTTTCTGTTGATAACCAAAAAGTTCAAAGCAACATAAGGACAGATGTTTAAAGTGCATTGATACTATCAATACTGTGTAAGATAACCCAAGTCCAAAACTGATTTTAAATCCTACTTGAATTAGTTTTGAAAAACTGTGGAGTAGGTGGTCTTGCTCAATTAAATGAGAAAAAAAAGATATATAAATATACTTTCTATTTATTCAACTTTTTATTTTGTGGATCGTCCATTCAACAACTTTCACTGAGCACCCGTTATCCGCAAACCAATGCAAAAAGTAACAAAAACAAAGATAATGTGTACTTACACACTCCCTGTCCTTGAGGATCCTGTAATCTAGTTGAGGGAAAATATATAGAGGAAACATTCCTAAGTATTCTACCAAAGCAACAACTGTATAAATACAAATTAAACAGAGCAAAGTAATTGCAAAAATGCTGAGGGGTGACAGAGTAATGAGCAGGTTCAAGGAAGTGATATCTAAGGTCTGTTTCAGCTACAAAATGTCATGAGGCTGTACAGGATTGATAATTGGATAAGGCAGCACTTAGCAGTAACCCTCAGCCTTAGGGAGCTTCAAGAAATCAGGCCAAAAACAACAAGGATTTGAATGAAGCTTGAATGTTGGGAATGCATGCTGTTCTGGACGATAGCAGAAGATTTCGTATATGATAACAGTAAGGGGACTCCTGATAGATATTTGGAATCTACCTCAAAGGGACGATGAGACAACAAGTTCTCCTCCAGGAAGCTTTTGGCCAGGAGAGAAAGGGAAAGCCATCTTTGCCAGCCTATCTATGGCTGCTTACCAGGTTGACCAAGAGAGGGCAGGTTGGCTGGTCTTCTAGATTATTTCAATTTGAGTTTCAAGTCAGGATATGTATATATTTTAATTATCTCCTTTTCTGTTATCCATTTAGATTATTTCCTCTGAAGATCCTTGTTTTAAATACATTCTATAGAGGGAGAGTCCTTGGCATCATGTATTAAGAGAGTTTGACATGATGTGGTATGGCAGTGTAATAACAGCTACGTTTCTGGAATTAATAGACTCATTTATAATGAGATAGTTATTTACTGTTTCTTCTTCCTAAACTGTAAGTTCCTTGACCACAAGGAATATAGTCATTAAAAACAAATCTTGTTCTCCCTTGTTCTTAGAACAATATATGACACCTAAGAGCAATCAACAGAGGCAGGATAGCTGAGTAGTTAAGAGTCTGGGCTCTGAAGTCAGAGATTTGGTTTCAAGTATTGATTCTATAAAATTGGATGTGGAACATTGGGCAGGTGACCATCGCTCAGTCTTCCTAGCTGTAAGATAGGGTAATAGTAGCAAGCACCCTATATAGTCATTATGAGGAGTCAATGTGATAAAGTAAAGCACCTAGAATAGTATGCATAGAGAGCATAGCAAGCTCTCAGTGAAGGGTAACTTTCTATTCTCTATATTAATATCTGCTGTTGAAAAAAATAGATTACCAGATGAATGGTTTGAAAGCATTCTGTGATAAAGTGGTCTCAATAAATATTTTGGCCCCTGAAAATAATGAAATAATTAGAAATTTTTAACAAGTCTCACTATAATTAAAGGCTGTAAGATTGGTTTTATCCTCTATCCCAGAGAGTTACATTTTCACCTATATTATTAGAAAAGACGAGAACAGGCCTCCACATTTTTAATTCACATAGATTTGTGGGTAGCTGGGAACACTGCCGTGCCTGAAGGCATATAGGTTACAATGTGGAGATGGATCTTACTGCTGCTAGAAGTATCTCTGAAGCATAGAGATATCCTTTGCTCTCCTCTGCATATAGTCAGTGACAAGCAGATTTGCAGATGCAAGATGGTATTGGCAGAGGCTGAGCTGTCATCCAAACCATGTCTTTTGTCATTTAAACTCTCATTCATTTTGAGGGAGAGGGAGGAAGAACTGCCTTTTGCGCTAAAGCTGTAATGCCAAGGCATTGCATGAGCCAGAGCTCAGTGGATCTTATCACTAAACTTCCTTAGGTTTTGAAACACAAAATGGGGACTTCCTTTAACAGTGAAACGCTTTTCTTACAGCTTCATTTGTAGCAGCAATGAACTAAGATTAAATTCCCTATTTGAAGCCAAGAAAAGATAATTTGCCAAAAGAGAACGTCAGAACAGCCATTCAGCTGCAGCTAGTCAAACTCAACAGAGTAATGAAGAGGGGAAAAAAAGGAAACCTGAAGGAGGCTTGGTTAATGTATTAGTTTTCTAGGGCTGTCATAATGAAGTAGCACAAACTGGGTGTTTAAAACACCAGAAACTTACTGTCTCCCAGTTTTAGAAGCAAGAAGCCCCCAATCAAGATACTAGCAGGGCCATACTCCCTCTAAAATCTGTAGGGGAAATTCTCCCTTGCTTCTTCCTAGCTTCTGGGGGTTTACCAGCAATCTTTGGCATTCCCCGGCTTGTGGGTACCTCACTCCAATCTTCCATTTTCACATGGTTTTCTCCCTGTGTGTCTTCCTGTTATCTTCCTCTGTGTTTGTCTCTGTGTTTAACTTTCCCCTTTTTACAAAGACACCAGTTATATTGGATTAGGACCCATCCTAATGACCTCATAATAACTGGTTACCTCTATAAAGACCCTATTTCCAAGTAAAGTCACATTCTGAGGTACTGGGGGTTATGGCTTCAAGATACTTTTCTTTGAGAGGGTGCACAATTCAACCCATAACAGTTAAGACAAAGCGTAAGTTTTTGCTTATTGAGAAGGGGTCATGCTTACTGCATTAAGCATAACACTTAAGCTCAGGGATATTTCCTTCCAGTTAAATGTTGAGGAATGACCAACGATGAAAGGAGTCAGCTTGAACTCTGGGATACTGGGATGTGAAGGAAAGAAACTACTCTTGAATGGTCCTCATTGAAGAGACACAAATGTTTGGTTTAACGGCAGGCAGGATGAGTCATATTTCTATTAAGTGAGTTAGCCTGTCTCTGCACCTTAATGCCCAAGCATGGGGGCAATCTAGATACCGTCCTAGCTGCTGTGACCACACAGCCCACCTTACAGAACCAGGCTGCACATGTAAATCACCTAATGGATTCTTTCTGCCTGTTTCAATGATGAAAGGTAAATGAAGAAAGAGTCTGATTAATGCAAGGCAGGTCACATGGTAAACAGAGTTTTAACTCAAATCAGTCTCCCTGAAGGCTTGGAGATGAGAGTTTTTATGGACAATTTGGTGGGCAGGGTGCCAGAGAAGGGGTGCTGCTGATTGGGTGGGGAATGAAGTCATAAGGGTGTGGAAAACGTTTCTCATACACTGAGTCTGCCTCTGGGTGGGGGCCCAGGACCAGTTGGGTCATGAGTCATGAGTCTGGGTAGGGTCAGTTTGAAAAAAATCTCATAAAAAGTTAATCTTAGTTTCTACAATAGTGATGTTTTCTATAGGAGCAATTGGGGAAGCCACAGATCTTGTGACCTCTGGCCATATGACCACTGAGCAGTAAAGGGTTACAGAAACTTTGCCTACATTTTAGCAGAACTCAGGCTCTTCCCAAAATCCTCATCTTGTGGCCTTTCATTAGTCTTACCAAGTCAGTTTCAAAGTCAATTTCAGCCCTCCAACAGTGGCGGGGGTTGGAATGGGGAATAGAGTTAGTTTTAAGGAGGGACTACTATCATCCTTGCTTCAAAGTTAAAGTATAAGCTAAATTCCTCCCTTGGTTAGCTTGGTCTATGCCCAGGAATGAGCAAAGGCAGCTCAGAGGTCAGAAGCAAGATGGAGTCCACTGTGTCAGATTTACTCTCACTGTCATAATTTTGTAAAGGCAGTATCATGTGGAGCTGCTGAGCATCTCAGTGGGGCAGCTGTGCCCTCCTGGGCCCTGTGCCAGGACTCCCCACCACTTCATATTTTAGTCTTTTTCATGGGAATGTATGGGATAGTACATGTGAGAATCTTATGGGGTTATTCTGAGGGTTACCCTATATGCAAATATACAAATATACTAATCTTGTAAAGTGGTTGTAAGAATTCCATGACTTATTTCATGTAAAGCTGAAAGCTGTTAGTATAGCATCTGCCAAATAGAAATGCTCAACATTTGAGGGTAAATTTTTTTAAATATGATCACTATGAAAGTAATCAAACTGGATTGAATTCTTTTAAATCAAATAATATTTTAGTCAAAACATAGGAAAAGTAATCAAAATAAGGGCATTTAAGAATGGCTATACAGAGTAGCCTAAGGGGCCTTATATTTGAAATGTATTCTAATGTTTTAAAACCTATAAACCATTGCATAACTATTTCTTATTACCTGTGCTGTAAATATGAAAACTTGCAAAATCAGTGTAGGAAGATGATTTAAGGAAGCAGTCGTTGATCAATATACACTGAATTTTAAACCCATTAAGCACAGTAGATTTAATGAGGAGGAAAATAGAGCTTCCCATTTAATAGAAAAGTGTGGAAAAGTGGAAGTTTTTCAGAGACAACCATTAAAATAATAATGATTTATTCTTAGCCACAACACTAAATGTATTATCATATCATGCTGTCTGTATTTCAGTTAATTAAAGCTTTATGGATTATGGTTTCTTGTTTATTTCTAGATGTCAAATGTTAAATCTGTATCACTATTTAGAGAAAAATGCAACTTTTTGATATTCAAGCTAGTTCATATATATGTAAAATTCTGACATCACTCCTATAGATTTATTTAAAAATGTCAGTAATACAGGAAATGAGAAATGAAGACAGAAAAAGGAGAGAAGCAAAGACAAATAAAGGGAATGGGCCTGGGGAAATTTTCTCATTTTAAATGCTCTACATTTCCTGCCCCGGGGGAATGTGCTTTTATCTCTGCAGTTCTATGTTTTCTGTAATTTGACTTATCATTTTTTCAGTAGATTATAAAGCATTGTTTCCTTTGTCTACAGTGTTGAGGCTGTTGCCCTTACCCCCACCCTAGGAATTCTGCCCATAAATCACTGCTTACAGTCACTTTCTCAGACTGAGTCTAACTTCCCTTCTATCTATATTTGCCTGACCTTTCTATCAGAGGATGGAAACTTTTCAGTAACAATTTCTTGTGCTCTACAAAGAACCAAGTTGAGATAAAATTTTAACTTCTCAGGGCACAACTTAAAAAAGGGTTCTTTTATCTCTCTAAGTAATTTAAATGCAGCTAGTCAACATATGTGTGCTTGGCAATGGCAGGACTAGTTGGGCTATGTGCTGAGGGATGTCGGAAAGTGATGTTAACATGGAGACCCTTGGTAGTAAAAGTCCATGAAGTCAAACCACTATCCTTTGTCTTTGTGCCTGCTCCTAGAATTCCTGTCTTAACTCTACTTCCCATTATTTTTCCTCATGTTTACTTTAAATTCCAGTCAACACAGCAGACTGCAATTCTTTTTTTTATGCCCTGGTTCATGGCGTTGACTGTTAAAATGAAAACCTAGCATCCTGCTCCTGGAGGCTCCACACAATGCACTTTTCCACCTTTCCAATTTCCTGTGTCTCTCACAATGGGCTTCTTAAGCTTAAACGTATATCCTGTTAGCTTTGAATTTGAAGGGTGCACCTTCAGTTTTGGGCATAGCTAAGGACCAGTGTCTTTGTGAGAGGAGAGATACTTGACAGGGCCAGGAACAGTAGAGCAGAGGACTACATTAGAAAGTAACTAAATCAGTTACACAGTTTTATTTCTGCCTCCCACTAACTCTGTTTTCCTTTTTTTTTTTTTTTTTCTTTTTTTCTTCCTGAGGCAGCTCCTGCCTCTGAGTGAACACTTAGTCAGTCCCTTGACTTTTCTGGTCACTCTTAGTAGCAAAATGTCTTATGAACAAGACATAAAACACAGCCTGGGATAAGTATATATAATGTCCAGTCATATATAATTAATACTCTCAACGACTGTAAGTTGAGGCATCTTGTCTTTCTCTCCAGTTTGGTTCTGTTTCAAGTGGAAAGTCTATGGTTGGGGAAGGGTGGTATGTTTAGCTACCTTTTGAAAATGAGTAGTTCTAGTCTTTCCACTGCCCCATATTCCCACAGAGTTTGAAATTGGGTAAAGGTGAGAAATAATAGAGAATAATGCTTTTACTAGTACATACTTACTTCTGTGAAGGGCGCCAGTGTATTCTGGACTTGGCAGATGTCTAGACTCTGATTCCCATAGTTCCTTTCTAAAGTCTCTTTGGAAATCCCCTCCCTATTTCCTCAGGCATTTGGCTGCGGCTCCAAAATGTTTCTGTTATACTCTTAACCCTACATTCTTTCATAGTTTTCTTCCTTTTATTTACACATTATATAAACGGAATTAGAAAAAAAAATGTTCAACATAAATGATAGGAAAATAACTCAGCTCTTGGGCACAATACAGAAAGTGTCTCAGTACATTTAATTGTCTTGAATTCTTGTTACTGTACCTCTAGGGTCTATGTCCTGCTGCTCACTACCCAGCATGCCAATCATGGAGTCAATGAGTATCACCAGGGAAGAAGGCTTTAATTGGGTGCTGTAGCCAAGGAGAATGAGAGGTCAGTCTCAAATCTGTCTCCCTGAGTGACCAAAACTGGGGTGTTTATATACTGGGGAAAGCAGGAAAACAGGAATTAGGAAGGAGTCAGAAAGCAATCATGATAAATGAGGGGTCTGGCATCTCTTTGGATGTGGTGATCTAGTGAGTTTCAGTCCCTTGCCTGAGCGTTGGTTTCCTGAGGAAGAAACTCAGTTAAGACAAATATAAGTGTCAAGTTTTAATATGGAGGGTCAATTTTTATGTTTATTAAAAACCTGGAAATATTATTTCTATGGGACAATTGGCTGGTTTCATTCTCATAAAAACAGTGTCATTGCCCTAAAGCCTGGACTCAAGTATATGAAGAGTAAACACTGGATCAAAAGTGACCATTAAGATGCTTTTGATTCTATTGCAAGTTAATGTGGATTAAAGCACAGTCAGTCCAGTTAGTTGTGCCACTTAAAGCAGTTGAAAACTTTAAGTATAATAACAAAAAATTAGCCAATGTTCATGTGAAAATAGTCTCAGTAAGATTAGTGATAAACAGCCTGTGAGTTAGACATCATAATTTCATTTGATAGACTATGAAACTGAAGCTCAGAGAGATTAATGACTTGGATGAATTCAACAAGCAATAGTGAGGGGCAGAATTACAATTCAGATCCAGATCCTTCAGACTCCAAATTACATATTATTTATACTACATTCTGCAATGTCCTAGAATACACCAAAATAATAGAAACTTTTAAGATGGCAAAGCTGGTCAATAATTTCAAGTATTCAGAGAGGTAAAGATGCAGGGGAAGGAAGGTTAAGAAAATGCCTTTGCAGAGTGGGATGGTGTGGTTGTGACCATCTGAAGACCAATCAATTCAGTCCATCTGGCTAAGTAGGCAGGTGGTAGCTTCCTCCCTTCACACCCTCTCTGACTGTCCTAAAAGTAGAGAAGGACCATTCTTTCGTCAAAGGCGTGGGATTCCTGCATAGTCCTCCAATAAGCTCTCATAACTTTCTGTGGAATAAGCTAAGGAACAGGGTGTTTGATGTGGCATTGTCAGTGGGAAACTCCAAGACAGCAATTACAATACAGTGTTGAGTACAGAAGGAAGAAAATGTAGCAAGTAAGGACTTTCCTTTAGAAAGTTTTCCAAATAAAATGAAAGGGGGAGAAGTGTTCAAAGGGAGACGTGCGTCTCAAAATAAATCTTTTTGAATTTTAATTTCAGATTTTGCAAGACCTGGATATATTCATAGGCAGGGGAAGGAGAATCCTAAGGAGAGAGAGAGAGATGGATTTTGCAAGGAAGAAAAACTATAACATACATTTATCATAGCTTAAAGGATACTGTGTACATATGACAGGGCTGGCCGTGAAAATAAAAAGATACTGTTTTTTTTTTTTTTTTTTTTTTTTGGTCAGGGTAAAAAGAAAGTGACAGAAAGAGAGTCACATGAAGAAGTTAAACATTTTTTAAAATTTCTGTATAATTAGAGTGATTGTAAAGTTTATCATTTAAATCAGATCACTTTGAAGGGGAAAGGGACATCATCTGGGGGGATGTGGAAGAGCAGGCATAAGCCAAGGCTAACAGCGATGTGTGGTCACCCTCCAGTGGCTTCAACCTTCTTATTAAAATTAAGTTAAGGCTGTCTCCCCTACTCTTTGTTTTCCAAACATCTCTTACTCTATGAGGTATACCTCATACCTATGTAGTACTTTTTCTTCTATTTATTTGCTTAAAAATACTTATTAATAACTTTTAATAACCACACCATATTCACTACACTCTGATGTATGATGGAGCAGCCAGCAATTTTTTTGATAACACACTCTATCAGATTTTTTGAACATATATTCTTAATAGAAATATTTATTTTTTATGAATTTCATATGTATCTCATTGAATTATTATATTATGTCCATTTTATTCCAAAAGAGAAAAGTTTCAAAATGGAACAAAGATGAAATATATAATATTTTAAAGGTTTATATTTGTTGATGACCAATCATTTTGTTCTGCATAAAATACTAAACTTACTAGTACTAAACTTTATTAGTATTAAATTTATTCCAAATATTTTATTGTCTTTGAAATTATTTGTTTAAAATTTGAAACAGTGATTCATGGATTGGCTTCTAAGTGGATATACTTGGTTTCAATAATATTCATTACTGAAAAAAAAAACCTCCAAAAGCACAGTGCATGCAAATATGTTACATAGGCAAAGGCAATGTTTAAATAATGAATATCAACCCATACCTCAAATAGGCTTGATAATTAAAAGAATTTTTTTGCCTGACTTTGAGTCAGAGTCTATTGTGTCATCATCGTTTCTCTGTTTTTGTGGCTGACAAAGAGATCACACTCACACGCTTACATGTGTGTACATCATTAGTGTTTACATCAATCTCTTGCTTCTTTAGGGGGATATTTTAGAGCCATTAGTCTGTTCTCTGAGGTATGTTAGCTAAAAACTCAATATAAGAGATTTTACTTGGCCACATAAACTACAGCACATCATAATACAATAAAAGCTGACCAATGAATGAGGAGGATGCTGTCATCCTTCTGTCAACCCCTTTTAATTCAGCATATTTTGTGAACCAGATGTGGTATGTCACTACCTGCATTGGATTAAAATGATCTTACCAAAAAGCGTAGGTCAAAAATAATCTAAATAGGAATTTTAATGTTTTCTTTCTGCACCCCAGAGTGTTGTCTTGCTCATGCTTAGGAGTGCAGGCATAGGCTTTGATATCACATAGACCTTGATTCAAATTTTACCTCCAATGTTTAGAAACTGTGTGGTCTCCCTTACAAGTTGCTTCCTATCTCTGAAACTCATCTCTTCATTGTAAAATGATGATAATAATACTTGACTCGTTTTTTTTTTTTTACTTTTGAAAATCAGCTAAAACAATGGCCATGAACAAAAAATCCACCAAAGAGCCAAGAACGCAGTAGGTGTTTATTGAACCATGAACTACTTCTCTTTCTCTCTACTTTTCTTTCATCTTCTTTCTTGCCTACCATGATCATCTCACACCCTATGCTTTGTACTTAAGCTCAAAAGATTAAAACAAAAAAAAAGGAACTTGATATATTTCATTAGCCATTTGGAGTGCTCAAATTTATTCTCCTACAATGTTAGTTTACAGACATCTGTTTTATATTAGAGAAAGGGGAGCTCTCCCCAGATTCATATATACCACACATTTCTCCTAGGACTCATCAGCTAGGACCACATGAGGTCACATTAATAAGAACAGCTCAAATTCCACTAGTTTCGCTAGCCTTTTCTACTTGTTGGTAAAGGACTTTCAGGTCCCCTGCCAGACCACCCACCTGCATTTCTGGGGCCCTCTAAAGGGTGCCTCAAATGTACTTGCAAGCAGTTTCACCCTGGAGGCACCCAGCAGCCCTGCTCAGTTTGATCCTCTTATTGCTCTTCTGTAAGCTCTGCCCCCTGACATTGCTCTGCATCTGCTTTCCTGATTTTGGGCCCGCCTGCTCCTTGCTCCCCCAATGGCCATTTCAGTCTTTCCTGTTTCTCTGCTCAGCACTGTTGGCAGCTGGATTGATTCACCATCAAGGAAGACCTGAGGTGGCATCATAACCAACCTGCCTGCGGTTTGTGTCAGGGGAGTGGGAAGAGGTAGGAAATGAGACAGCTGGATTCTCTTCCCCTTTGTCTTATGTTCTGGTAGGGTAATTGGAACAGATGGATTACACAATTTACTAAACATAATTATTTTGATTAGCAATTACAGCTCTATCTCCCTCTCTTGGGCTTATACATGTGTCCAGGAGGCTGGGGCAGGAGCAGCTCT
The DNA here is from genome assembly GCF_000001405.40 of Homo sapiens. Classification (NCBI taxonomy): domain Eukaryota; kingdom Metazoa; phylum Chordata; class Mammalia; order Primates; family Hominidae; genus Homo; species Homo sapiens. Next base: position 149,739,580 of record NC_000002.12, read on the forward strand.
GAGGTTTACTATGATGTACTGAGGCTCCCCACCCGACTCTGATAACAGCCTTTGTAATTGGACCAGCAGGTGAACACAGTCTAAGTCCAAGATGAGTTTCTACTATGTCCAATTCTCTTTGTCACCCCAGGCATTACCAGCACATGCCATTCTAGTGAGACAGGGCTTACAGTGAGCAACGAGAGGCATAGGATATAGTGGTATGGACTGGGGAGACCATCGCATAACTCGAGTAGATTTGAGCCACCAAAAACATGTATGAAAAGTGACAGAAAATGTGCTGTTGTCTTTAAATGGTAAAGCCTTCAGTTCCAATATAATTTTCATAAGTTTGTTCTTCATAATTCAGTTAAAGGGCAAAAGCAACTTATTTTTTGCTGCGTTGTGCATTTTAATGAAATGCCCTAGAAGCGTTAGCATCTCCTTGTCTTTCCTTCCCCTGGAAAGAGCAATATATAATGAACATGCTGACATTGAAATGAGTAATTAATATGCAGCTTGTTTAGTCAGTATGAATCAGCGTTTTGATGATGTCTTGTGAGGATAGGATTATAATTGGCAGAATTTCTGCCTTACGGGTGATAATTCTGGATTCTAGAAGGAACAAATGCATTAAATGGTACTGTTAATTTATCTTATAGTAAAGCATACAGCTTACAAGGGAGAAGTAAAACTTAGACAAATGAATAAAAATGAATTTAAAATATGCTAGCTTTGAAATATTGAGGTCATTGAAAATTTATGGCAACTCTTGAATTATCCAGGACAACATTTTAAAAAACGAATTTAAGAATTATCTTCTGTGATGTGTTATCCATAAGGATAATGGATTCTTCAAGATTTACCTGCTCTCTTCTCATTGACTTCTTAGTAATTATGATTCAAAGTGCTGGTTGACTTTTCCAGTTACCTGATATGCTAGGACTACTGCAGTATTCTTAGAGAAAACTCCCTGAACCAAGCCTACTTTGGAATTCGTGTTTCTTCTGTGAATGTAGATTGTTCTCACCCATGCCAAATGAGTTCAGCCTCCAAGCTGTGGCATGATCCTTCAGCCTAACATGCCTTCCACTCACTTATCTACCACATTATTTACCTCTGTTTCCAAACTCTGCTCTAGCTTCTCCAAAGCTGTTTCCTAATTAATCCTAGATGAGCCTAATCTTTAGTGGAAGGATTTTAGCAAGTATGTTTTTTTGAAATGCAACTCTTTTGAAATGCTCTGGGTAAAGGGTTTCATGAATAAAGAATTTAGGAAAATGTTGCCTTTATTGTAGGCCTAGAGCACATTCCATAGAACAATGGTTCATAGGCAGGGAAACGTGTGATCAAATAAGTTAATCAAGATAAGCTTCTTATAGCAGAACTTTTAATACATGTCCTAGAAATCATGTACTCTAGAGGTGATAACTTGATATTAAGATTACATTTGCTTATGTGATTTTCAGATTATTTACTAATTTCTTCTCCATTTTATTTATTTATTTAGTCTTGCTCTGTCACCCAGACTGGAGGGCAGTAGTGCAATCTCAGCTCACTGCAACCTCCACTTCCCAGGCTCCAGCAATCCTCCCACCTCAGTCTCCTGAGTAGCTGGCATTACAGGCACACGCCACCATACTCAGCTACTTAAACATTTTTGTTTTTTGTTTTTTTTTGTAAAGATGAGGTCGTACTATGTTGCCAAGCTGGTCTTGAACTCCTGGGCTCAAGTGATCTTTCTGCCTCAGCTTCCCAAAGGTGTTGGGATTATAGGCATGAGCCACCGTGCCCAGCATTCTCCTCCATTTTATGTAAAGTGCTTCAGTCTTATTGTCTCATCTATCCAAGCACACATATGTAACTCTGCTCAAAGTAGACTTCTAATTCACATTGACTGAATGTAAAAACGGAAGATTAATTGTGATAGACCTGGAAGTTACTATCCTATCTTGATTTGCAAAGATTCCTCGTATTTTTATAAATATTGCCTAGCAACTTTGTCTTATACTGGCCCTGTCCATCACTTCTTCTAATTCTCTAGTCATCACCTTACTTAAAAATGCTGCTAAACACATTCAACTTCAAAGCTATATCATGGGCCTTTGATTTTAGTTCCTATTGCTGAAGTCTGGCCTTTCCCGGGTGTGCAAGTCACAGCTGGTAATGATGGGGACCAGATGATGCCCTAGCAGCACATTAAAGGTTTTTACCAGGATGTGGTTTGATGGTTTTGCTTGGGTATTTTGTTGTTGTTATTCTTTCCTTTGGAATGTGAGTTGTGGCCAAGAATTAATTCCCTGATTGCATTTTTGCTCTCCTTACACATTTGGAGAGTTGGAAAGTATACAGAAACATAAGGAACATCCTTGTAAACCACTTCTCAAGCTAACTAATAGGCTCTTATAGGGTGACTTTTAACTGTGACCTTTTGTTTATTCAATAAATATGCTTCTATTATGTCCAAAATGCCACACTGTGCCACACTGACATCTTGGCCTTATGATTTTTACCAAAGCATCATTATTCTAGACTTTTAGAACCACTTAAATGCCTGTAGACATAATTCATTGAATATCACAAAAAAGATGTTCACCTTTACAGTGTGTGTTCACATCATAATGTGATGGGGCGTGCATGCTCTTATGATGGTTGAGATGCACTGTAAACAATATATAGGGTATTACTATTTAAAATGTTTACTGTATTTTTTTCATAACATTGTCATGTGTCCATTGTAGAGAATTAGAACAATATAAAAAAGGACAAGAAAGAAATTAAAAATCATCTATAATCTTACCACCTTAAGGTAACCATGTATATCTCACTCTTTATTTTATGGTTGGGGAAAAACATAGGATTAGTTAAATTGATACTCCAACCATTAGTGTCAGCATCATAACTAGACAATCTGCCTGTTAGTACCATTCACCAGACTCAGAACCTAGTGATGATTTTATATTGAGCAATTCTAAATGTTAGAGCTATCCAATCCAAGATGATTTTTTCCTAAATTTATACTCTCTTTCTCTTTATTATCTTAATCCATTTCGCTGCTATCACAAAATACCTGAGACTAGGGCATTTACAAAGAATGGAAATTTATTTTCAACAGTTTTGGAGGTTGGGAAGTCCAAGATAAAGATGCTGTCAGGTTTGGTGTCTGGCAAGGACCCCATTCCCTGCTTCCAAGACGGTGCCTTATTGCTGCATCCACTGGAGGTGATAAAGGTTGTGCCCTCATATGATGAAAGGACAAATGGCAAAAGGGCCTAAGCTGGTTCTTCCCAGCCCTTTTAAAAAGCGCTAATTCAATTATGAGGGCAGAGTCCTCCCAACTTAATCACTTCCCAAAAGGTGCCACCACTTAATACCACCACAGTGGGAACTGAGTTTCAACACGAATTTTGAAGGGAACCCATTCAAACCACAGCAGTTATTTTACCAGGCTGAGGACTTAGAACTATTTATCTGTCCCAAATGTACATCTCTAACCCTGGCCACTCCTTAAAATCTTAACTCCTATCGTCAACTGTCATATGGACAAATCCATTTAGATGTCTAAGAGGCATCTCAAACTTAACAAGGCCAAAGCTGAAACCCTGATGTTCCTCTCTCTAGACAATTTTTTTTCCAGGCGGTTTTTCACATCTTAATAAGGAGCATAACATCCACCCAGGTGCTCAGGTCAAAATCTTCACCTCATTTAGCGTTTATGAATCTGGAGAAAGACCTGGGGTAATGCCAGATTTCTCTGGGCAAAGCCATTATTCAAGAATGTAATTTATAGAGGTCAGTTCTTCCCCTGCTAGAAGCAAATGGAATCCTGTCAACCCCCATGCCGGGGGTAGGCATGACTTTGGCAGAACAAATGTTTTTCATATTGAAAAAAAATACCCTTATGGATGACCCAGTCATATGTAGCAGACTTCAACAACTGCTGTTTTTGGCAGCAAAAATCAACCCCAAGGGCTGAAATTTTCAAGCAGTGGCCTTCTGAGTAGCTGCCAATAAAGAGTATTCAGCAGGTTGACTGAAAAACAGAATTTCCAGCGAGCCAAGAAACTAGGAGAACCTGGGTCAGAAGAGATCACAACCCAGAACAGGAGGTTGTCTTTTAGGGGTGATATGTTAATCTACTTCCTCTCTTCTCCCACAGGGAACCTGATGGAATAAACTGCTGTGAGAGGGAGTATTGAAAGTAAGTGAAAAAAAGAAGGGATGGTGGAAAATTCTTCATGGATTCATTGTTATTGGGGAGGGGCACTTTGTATTTATGCAGATAGCCCCACATGTTGTAGGACATTTAACATCTCTGGTTGGGAATGCCAGAAGAGCCCACCAGTCACTGTGATAACCACAAAAGAGTTTAAGGAAAGGATGTGTGTGTGTGTGTGTGTGTGTGTGTAATAGAGAGGAGAAAGCTCTTTTACCTCCTGGGGTGGTTAGAGTTAGGGAGACATGGTGACACACTGGATCAAGGGCAGCCCATTTCAGGATCCTCGAGGATTCCTCAGACAGGGCAGAACGCCTATTGCCAGGGTCCTGCGGGAGAATTCTTCCATCCTGAACTGAACTGACAAGGAATTCTGGGAATTGTTTTGCCATATGCATCCAAATTCCTGTTGGAGTAGGATTCTATTACACACCCTTAAATAACCAGAGTGTATGACACACTGGAGCATCTGTGATGTCATTTTCTCTGTGATACATTCTAGGGGCCTGAGTAATACTAATTAAAAAACATATGTTCCGTCTCCCTGCCGCTTGGGGCCAGGACTAGCTCTGGTGATCATCACATGCATATAGGAAGAAGGGTACAAAAAATAATCTCAGATGATTTAGACTCATCTGCCATGAATATCAATTTCATAAATTTTATAAGTACGCTAACATACAGCATGCCCTTGGGCTATTTATTTCACTTCTCTTAACCTCAGTTTTCCTATCTGTAAAAGGATAATGATACTTACTTTACAATGTTATAAGAAAGAATGGATAAAATAATTATGTGAAGTATCTGATCCACATTTCATGGCTAAATGCTTGTTAATTCCCCATCTAGCCAGACAGCCTAGATAATTAATTACCTGAAGTAAGGAAAATACTTTTGACTAAATTACGTTATATAGTTTTATAAAAGTCTGTCTTTTTAAGGTACTTTCCAACCTTCCTCTTGTCCATCTCATGCTTCTGCACAGCCAGCACTAGACAACTTACAAGAATGCATCTACACATTACCCTGAAGTTTAAACTGAAATATTAAACCTATGAGGATGTCAGCAGGAAAATGGGTTCTGTAATTTTTCTAGAGCCAAAGAGAGGGTATGATATACCATTCAATCTGGGCATCGAGTGACAGTTGTCTCGTAACAAATTGGTGGAAACAAGAAGGGAAAAATAATCAGCTTGGAACTGATGTATGCTGCAGGCAGCACCGGCATTTATACTACTCATGGCATGACTAAGCATTTGTTTGCTGTCATGTAACATAACCTTGAAGCCAAATACTTTTAAATATCTGCAAAAAACTCAAATAATTGGAGAGATTCCTTAAGAGGCATTCAGAAGTTACAGAAGTCAGGGATGTCAGTAACGATATAAACATTAAGATGATAAAAACGAAGCTGGGATATGTGTAGTCAGACATCAAAATGGAACAGGCTGTTAATGGTGCTTCCTTTTGCTGTTGTTCATTCTTTAAGACATCCTTTCTTATTCAGACAGCTTCATCTTTTTTCCCCAACCTCCATCTTTTCTGTTTCTTTCAAATTTCTCTGTAATACAGTCCTTATACTTTCCCCTCCCCAAAATGTCCCTTGAACACCATGAATATTCCAGTTGTCTTTTATCACAGGATGGATACATAAAGCTGTCTTTATGTGTTTATATACAGCATGAACCTAAGCAAAACAATTACAAGAATTGCTGAAGCAAAAAAAAAAAAATGTGTTAAAGTCCCAATGTTCTCGTTTACTAATTAACCCAGATAAAGGCATACTTTCCAAAACTGCTTTCATTTCACGTAAGAGTGCCAAAATTAATGAACTATTCAAGCTCAGCTGGAGTCTCAAAAATATGGTACCTAGTTCTTACAGGAAATACTTTTATTTTTTCAATAAAAATGGAAAAACTGGGAAATGAGCCAGTGGCTTCTCCTTCTCTTCCAATATCTTCTGTCTTGACCCTGAGGTTAAATATACTCATCACAGACACGGGCACAGACATATGTGACCTCACAGGGGCTGAAAAAGAAATCAGAAACAGCAAGAGAGGCAAAAATAAAAAAAAAAAAGAAATAAACAGCGGGTCATTTCTGACACGTGTGTCATATTTGAGCAAAGTAATAATAGCTTAGCATTAATTGGGTGCTTACTGTTTATGTGTGTGCCCCCCATGATACGTGCTTTACAGGCGTTATTTATCTGTTCCTCACACAGCTCTAAATGGTAGCTAATGACGACCACAGCAATCATTCAAGTAACATTTATTATGTGTTAAGTACAGTTCTAAGCACTTTGTAAACGTTAACCCATTTAATCTTTGTAAAAATTGTGTGAGATAAGTACTACCAGTATTCCTATTTCACATGGGAGAAAATTGAAGCACAGAGAATTTTAGTAATTTGCTCAACATCACAGTTAATAAGTTAGAGGACCTATGATTTCAACCCCGGGGCTGGTACCAAATAGTAGTAACCACCACTAAAGCTATAGGCTACTTCTCCTGGGTTGAAGGATGCTTGGCATTTTATGTGCACAGTGTTTGCAGACTTTATACCCAAAGTTTTTGTCTTCTGAGTAGCCAACATTAGGACTGCTGAAGACAGAAGGGAGACCAAGGTGATCCCAACTAGGGAGGGAGTAGGGGTTAGAGTGTGGAGATGGGCGAGAATGTGCCCTGTGAAGGCACAGAACAGGGAAGATGAGAGAAAACCAGGAAACATGCCTGAGTGAGGACCCACTCCTACCGATTTTAGTGAGAGATGCACTTCGTGACCTGACAATGTCTCTAGCTTTGGACCTGCAGGGATTCATTCCCAGTCCCTCGGTGGCAGCAACCATGTCCAAATAGCTATCATCTTTTATGAAGACTACATTTCTATCTGCCATTTTGTCCTTCTATTATCCTGTCCCCCACCTAACAGCCAACAGGGAGCTTTTAAAAGTGTAAATTGGGTTATGAGGCCCATGGCTGGAAATCATCCAAATCCTTCCTTCTCTCTTGGAATAAAATGCAGACTCCTCACCCTGGTGTTCGGGGCCCTAGGTGACCTGCCTTTGCCTAACTAGGTGGAAAACTTTAGTCTCAAAAAGAACATTCTGTATGGGATATACATTACTTGGCTAAAAACATTTTCCTTAATATAATATTTTGTGCTATCAAACATGATTGGGAAATTTACATTTATAGGCTTAATAGTTTTCAAACATATCATTTGTCTTCAGCAAAAATACAGAACATCAGAAACCGGGTTCTACAAAGAAACCATAAGTGAAATTCATAGGAGAGAGTTGGTTTTCAACACCTACCACATTTTAAAAGCTCTGACGCTAGATAAACACAACAGCATGAATCAAATATAAACATTCCTCTGCCCCTTTGCCTTTCTTCTATTTTGCTGCTCCTTCCCTAAATATCAGAAGCCAGTCAGCAAAATATATAGGAAAGAGGAGAATCTTGACTACTAAAACTTTTAAAACTAAGAGCAATATTGACTCCAAAGAATCAAAGAGTGAAGGCAAGGCCTGGAGTAGGGGAGGCATGTATACCAAATTTTGGGGATATCCACCCACAAAGTAGAACTACCTAATTGTGTAAATGCTATTTATATAAGAGTACTATCAAATATAAAGTTTTAGTATGTATGCAGCATTTTCATTTCATTGTCAAAAATATGAAGTACCTTTTAATCACTGCTAAGGTCTTGCCACCTGTTTATTTCTTGACACCACAATAGAAACATGATTTTCCTTTTTTGTCTTGTTAACATCGAGTTAGAAGTAGTTCAAACTATTTAGAAAACTAAAGAGAACCATGGAGGCCAAATCAACCAAAGGGCTGAGTCATCCACTAAAATCCTCAAATCTTTTTGAATGCTTTTGGCTAGCATCCCAATTAACAGTGTGATAACTCATTGCTTCAATTCTCTTTCTGCTACACCAAGTACTCCTAGGATTGCATCTCATAGAAGCTTCCTGTGGCCTCTCCTATAACACTTTGAATTCTCAACATTGATTTCTGCCTGAAGGGCTTCCTTGAGATATCATGCTAACCCCATCCTATACAAACACCCAGTTCACTTGAGGATGATCGATGGTCTATTCTAGTCCTGATCAAATCACTTGCCGCTTCTGTGATTATTCAGGCTCTTGGGCTGGGTGCAATCAGGCAGAGAATTATTAGAACATTGACAGATTAGTCTCATCAGTTACCTGCTGTGACCACCAGCTTTCTGTATATTAATAAGAAAAAAGGTAGCCTGCTGATTGCCATTAAATTACACGAGGATATATTTGTCTTTTGGAACTCCAAGGCATTTAAATGTGATGTAAGATCAAAATTTATTAAAGAAGGTGAAGAGATGTCCCAGCAAACATTTCCCAGGAGGTGAAAGTATAAAACTTGCATAGTGGAGAAGATAAGTACATTTTATGTTTAATCATTTTCAGTGTGAAACACAGTTTAACAAGTATTTATTGAGCACTTACTATGGGCAAAGTACTGTGTTTGGCTCTGGAAAACAAAGGGAAGTGAGGACCCCTCATCTCAAGAGTCAGTTGTTGAAATCAACATATAAGTAAACATAATCCAAGAAAGACTACAACGTGTGATACAAAAAGAGCCACAGAACTTCCAACATGAAAAAGACCACACTGTAGGGTGATAAGAAAAGTCTTCATAGAGAGGGGAGAATGTCTATGTAAGCTTTTTTTTTTTTTTTTGGAATGGAGTCTCATTTTGTTGCCCAGGCTGGAGTGCAGTGGCGCTCTTAGCTCACTGCAACCTCCGCCTCCCAGGTTCAAGCAATTCTCCTGCCTCAGCCTCTCGAGTAGCTGGGATTATGGGCATCTACCACCACGCCCAGCTAATTGTTATATTTTTAGTAGAGATGGGGTTTCACCATATTGGCCAGGCTGGTCTTGAACTCCTGACCTCAGGTGATCCGCCCGCCTTGGCCTCCCAAAGTGCTGGGATTATAGGCATGAGCCACTGTGCCTGGCTTGAGTAGCCTTTTTAAAAGATGGAAAAGAGGGAATTGCAAGTAGAAATAAGCGCAAAAACAAAGGCATAGAAGTGGGTGTGGAGATACTGAAGGTTTTCCTACTGTCCTATGGACCTGTTGCTTCTTGCTGCAAGCTTGGCAACTCTACCAGATAGCCTTTTCTGGCTATGGAGGCATGCTCAGTGGGCATACAGGGTGAGATTGTTGGCATCAGGGAGTTGATGCCCCTGAATGCAATCCCAATCAGTGACAAACAGTGGCTTCCTTGTCCCGCAGGTGGGACAGTTCTAAGGTGTGGTTTATTCCAATGTCCTGAAGACACTCAGTGGGGCTGCACCTCAGTTACCAAGACTGGCTAATATTCATTAACTTTATATTGGTTCTCTTCCCTTTTCTGCCTTATTTCTCTGTTCTCCTGATGGATGCTTCCTGGGATCACTTCCCAAATAAACTACTTGCCCTCAAATACAATCTATGACAATGAAGAAGCACAAGCCATGATAAATAACCAGCAAACTGCCCAGCTTTGTTTAAAGAGGTGTGGGTCTATAGGACAAAATAATAGCAGAGGCAGCAAAGTTTTTGGCATTTTATTCTATGCCAGGAATTGTGTAAAATGCTTGCGTATGTTCTCTCTCATTTAATAATCAGGAAATGCCTAGGAGTTATATAAAACTATAAATCAGTGGCACTGAAAGGTTAACTAAGTAGCTCAACATCACACATCTGTCAGGTGGGGAAACCAGAATCCAACTCTGATCTCTGAGATGCAGAAACCTGATTTTGAAATCCAATGCTCTTCCACCTCCCTAACGTTGTTGAGGTTATTGAATGCCAGGCTGGAGAATTTCTACTTACCTGGGAGAACACTGAGTAACCATGGAAGTTCCTGAGACAACTGAGTTACAACAGAGAAGCCTCAGGTTGGTGACACTAACAAGAAAAAAGAGAATGTTTACACTGTAAGCAAAGCCTGGTTTGGAAATATCAGAGGAGCTCAGCCATCCAAGGCCCTGCTTAGATGCTCCTAGTACATGGATAGTCAATGCATGGTAACTGGTTGGGGAGCTCTAAAATTGAAATTCAGGTTCCAATTCAGTAATCAGACAAACCTTGGTCAGAGTCCTGGCCCCATTATTAGGTTTTTTGGAGCTGAATGAGTTACCTCCATTCTCTGAGCCTCAGGCATGTTATTTGTAGCAATTCAAGTTAATTCACAGGGTTGTTATAAAGATTAGGAGAGCTAACAGGTTGAAATAACTTTGCCTTTTGCCTGACATGCTCAGTGTACATTAGCTGGTATCAGGGAAGCCTGGAACTATATCTTGGGCACATGTGGTCTGACCCTTTTTTAAGGTCCCACAAAATTTAGCCTCTTCACCAGCTTCCACAAAAAAATTCAAGCATATCAAGCATGTTGTTGCTTTATTGAAGATTTGTGGGGCTAATATACAGAGTGAATATGGAGGTACATTCTTGGTAATGTATGTCCTCATAAGACCTGCTTCTCAAACCCTTTCTTACTCTGCTGTCAGAGTTTTATAAGACCAACAGATGAAAAACAGTGGTAGTAGGGCCACAGTGGGAATATACTCTGGCATGTGTAGAACAAGACCTGCTTTCCTCCTGCTTTTGAAGATGTTCTAATGGAAGTCCCACTGAGGACCAAGTTCATGGGTGCTGCTGTTGCATTTTGGTATGAGCAGGAATATACAAAAGGCAGAAAGGACATGTTTACTAAAAGGCAAGCTCATAGAGTAATCTGGAAATTAAGGGAGCCAGCTGCACATGCCTTGGATTTTTACCTGTTATAAAATATTCTTCTATAATACCCTCATGTTCATATAGTGCCTTTTTGTTTTTAGTACAACTTGGAACATAGTATTTTTCCAAATTATCATCCATATACTAGACATTTTTCATTGCAGTGAAATTTGATTAGGTTTAAAGGGTGTTTTGCACTTAATCCCAGCCTTGTTCTTGGTCTTACAGGGGAATTCAGAGAAATGTAAGACACATTTCCTTCCCTAAGTAGCTTATAATTTCATCAGGAAGAGGAAAAGGAAGTACTAGCATATGGTCAATGTAGAGAAAGAACTATGTGTCTGTGGGTGGGAATTATCTAAAGAAGTGGGGAGATGGAACTTGAGCTTGGATGTATAAAATGGTTGTGGTATAAGTAAATGAAGAAGATGACATTTGTGAAGAAAGGAGCAATTGGAACAAAGGTAGAAGGAAGACCAGGAATAATTTGGGTAGATGATAGTGAGAATATTTGCCTATCAGAGTGGTAATCACTGAAAGTAGATTTGGAAAAGAGAAGTATACTCACATTGGAAAGAGTTTTGGCTTCCAGGAGGCAGCGTTGTCCTCTGAACCTTGTTCCAAGCTCCCATCTTCTCACTTATGCTGATACAACAAGATCATAACTTGTCTCCTGAATCCAGTTTGCATGGCCCACGACAGGCAAAGTGATATTCTTAAAAATGCTGAATTAGCCATGTCACTTCCCTGCTACAGCCCTTTCCCAGGGAGGAATTCAAAACTGTTAACATGGCCCATGAGGCATTTGATGCTTGTGATCTGGTTTCTGCTGACCTTTAAACTTCATCTCACTCTCTGCACACTCCCCACTCCAACTCCTTGTTCAGCCACATTGGCTTTGATTCTGTCCCCGAATGATCCCTCCCACACCTACTGGAAAGCCTTAACTTGTGCTAGAAGGTTCTTCCCCTCCAGTTCTCGCCTTCACCTAATTGGTCAGTCTTTATCATGAACTGCAGCTCATGGCACACATAAGACATGCTAGGGGAAGCTTTCCCTGACTCCCTAGAGTAAATCCCCAATTTTTTGATCACAAAACACCTACACATCAGTTTTTTTTTTTTTTTTTTTTTTTTTGAGATGGAGTTTCACTCTTGTTACCCAGGCTGGAGTGCAATGGCACGATCTGCGCTCACTGCAACCTCCCTTCCCAGGTTCAAGCAATTCTCCTGCCTCAGCCTCCCGAGTAGCTGAGATTACAGGCATGTGCCACCACGCTCGGTTAATTTTTTGTATTTTTAGGAGAGACGGGGTTTCTCCATATTGGTCAGGCTGGTCTTGAACTCCCAACCTCAGGTGATCCACTCACCTGGGCCTCCCAAAGTGCTGGGATTACAGGCATGAGCCACCACACCTGGCCTACATGTCTGTCTTTTAAGACTGAATCTCAGTTTGTGCTTACCTATCTATTTATATGACTATTTAAATGCTGTCTTCTACTGGACTATAAACACCAGGAGGAAACAAAATGTTTGGTTTGCTCATGGTTGCATCTCAGCAATAGCACAATGCCTGACAAAGAATAGACACTGAATGGAGATCTGTTGGATTAATAAATGGTTCAATGAATTAATTGGTGAATGAACAATAAGCAATGCAGTCACCAGAGTTTGGACCATATTTGATATCTACTTTCTCATTATAATCAAGTTTGAGGAATATTAGTTGCTTGTTTTAAGAGCTTCTGATGTTTCTCTTCAGCCAGTTAGCTTATTTTTAGAACTCTCATACATGAATTGAGAAACCAATTTTACACCAACCCTTATCTTTTATTCCTCTGAGTCCAAGTTGTTTTAAAAATAGAGAAGTAAACACTCCAATTTTGTTGTTCAGTTCATATTTCAGTTTTTCTCTTCTCTTTTATTCTGAATATTGCAAATGGTTAGAAAAACCAAACTTACATTTATATTGCTCTTTTTATCGGCAGATTTCTCAGAGCTTTAAAAGCATTTATTAATATTTATGATAGCATTTCAACCTACAAAAATTATCCACATTAAAGCTCCTTGAAGACACATATACTACAACGGTTTTACAATATGCAGCAAAAATTTCAAATATAAATTGGATGTTTTGATTAAACCCAATAAACTGACTAATGGTGAATTCCTACAGGAAAAACCCATCATTCTAAACTCAACAACAACAACATCTTTTGAAAGCATAGGTGAATTTAGAAGGCTGCTCTTTCAAAACTCAAGGATTTGAAATACTTGTAAAAGAACAGGATAACATTTGCTCAGCTATTTCTAACTTCTTGAGAAATGTAATTGAATCTTTAGCCCTACATTTTTTCCTAATCTATGTATATAAAGCTATAAATTTTTCTTTAAGCACAAGATTTTACTATACCCTGCAAATTTTGATATGCTATATTTTAGTTATTTTTACTTCAAAAATATTTTTTAATTTCCACTTTAGTTTTTTTCTTTGACCCATGGGTTCTTTAGAAATGTGTTGCTTAGTTTGCACATATTTGGCTATTTTCTAGTTACCATTTTTATTGATCTCAGCTTTAATTCCTCTGTGGTAAGGGAACATTATTTATATGGTTTCTTAAGAACAGCAGTATGGTCTATATGCACATATTTCCATTTTTGTGAAGGTCTGAGGTGCATAACCTGCATATTTTCAAATGTGTTTACTGTTTTATATATATATGTACATATGTAAATTAGATTGATTTTGTTAATCATCTCATTCAAATATTTTACATCCTTTTTGATTTATTATAGGCTTTTTAAGTCAGTTACTATGTTATCAACAATTACTAAAGTATTGAATGATAGTGTGGCTATGTCAAATTTTCCTGCTAATTTTGTCCATTTTTACATAATACATTTTGGTATTGTGCTATTAGTGCATATTGTGAATTATTGCATTGAGAATTATTGACCTCTTCAAGGAGAACTACAAACCACTGCTCAAGGAAATAAGAGAGGACACAAACAAATGGAAAAACATTCCATGCTCATGGATAGGAAGAATCAATATTGTGAAAATGGCCATACTGCCCAAAGTAATTTATAGGTTCAGTGCTATTCTCATCAAGCTACCAGTGACTTTCTTCACAGAATTAGAAAAAACTACTTTAAATTTTATATGGAAGGAAAAAAGAGCCCATATAGCCAAGACAATCCTAAGCAAAACAACAACAACAACAACAACAACAACAACAACAAACAAAGCTGGAGGCATCATGCTACCTGACTTCAAACTATAATACAAGGCTATAGTAATCCAAACAGCATGGTACTGGCACCAAAACAGATATATAGACCAATGGAACAGCACAGAGGCCTCAGAAATAATGCCACATATCTACAACCATCTGATCTTTGATAAACCTGACAAAAACAAGCAATGGGGAAAGGATTCCTTATTTAATAAATGGTGTTGGGAAAACTGGCTAGCCATATGCAGAAAACTAAAACTGGACCCCTTCCTTATACCTTATACAAAAATTAACTCAAGATGGATTAAAGACTTAAACATAAGACCTAAAACCATAAAAACCCTAGAAGAAAACCTAGGCAATACAATTCAGGACATAGGCATGGGCAAAGACTTCATGACTAAAACACCAAAAGCAATGGCAACAAAACCATAATTGACAAATGGGATCTAATTAAACTAAAGAGCTTCTGCATAGCAAAAGAAACTATCATTAGAGTGAACAGGCAACCTACGGAATGGGAGAAAATGTTTGCAATCTCTCCATCTGACAAAAAGCTAATATCCAGAATCTACAAGGAACTTAAACAAATTTGCAAGAAAAAAACCCCATGAAAAAGTGGGCGAAGTATATGAACAGACACTTCTCAAAAGAAGACATTTATGCAGCCAACAAACATATGAAAAAAAGCTCATCATCACTGGTCGTTAGAGAAATGCAAATCAAAATCACAATGAGATACCATCTCATGCCAGTTAGAATGGGGATCATTAAAAAGTCAGGAAACAACAGATGCTGGAGAGGATGTGCAGAAATAGGAATGCTTTTACACTGTTGGTGGGAGTGTAAATAAGTTCAACCATTGTGGAAAACAGTGTGACGATTCCTCAAGGATCTAGAACCAGAAATACCATTTGACCCCGTAATCCCATTACTGGGTATATACCCAAAGGATGGTAAATCATTCTACTGTAAAGACACATACACATATATGTTTATTGTCACACTGTTCCCAATAGCAAAGACTTGGAACCAACCCAAATGCCCATCAATGATAGACTGGATAAATAAACTGTGGCACATATACACCATGAAATACTATGCAGCCATGAAAAAGGATGAGTTCATGTCCTTTGCAGGGACATGGATGAAGCTGGAAACAATCATTCTCAGCAAACTAACACAGGAACAGAAAACCAAACACCACATGTTCTCACTCATAGTGGGAGTTGAACAAAGAGAACACATGGACACAGGGAGGAGAACATCACACATTGGGGCCTGTCAGGCAGTGGGGCGCTAGGGGAGGGATAGTATTAGGAGAAATACCTAATGTAAGTGATGGGTTGATGGGTGCAGCAAACCACCATGGCACGTGTATACCTCTGTAGCAAACCTGCACTTTCTGCACATGTATTCCAGAACTTAAATTATATATATATATAAAGAAATAGAAAAAAAATTCAAAACCTAAAAAAAACAAAGATGTCTTCTGAGAATGTTGGGACTTTCATCACCATAAAATGAAATGTTACTGTTTATCGCCTTTTTAAACCTCTTTTTCTTCTTCTTTTTTTTTCCTCTGACCCAGGATCCAAAGCAGTATAACCTCCTTTTAAAAAAATGATTTTAACATAGCTATATTAGGGTTTCTCATTTTGTGAGAAGGTAATTTTATCTATTTTTTTCCATTTCCATTCCTTTACTTTTTTTTTTTTTTTTTTTTTTTTTTGAGACAGTCTCAGTTTTTTACCCAGGCTGAAGTGCAGTGGCATGATCTTGGCTCATGGCAACCTCTGCCTCCCCAGTTCAAGCAAAGCGATTTTCCTGCCTCAGTCTTCTGAGTAGCTGGGATTACAGGCACCTGCCACTGTGCCTGACTAATTATTGTATTTTTAGTAGAGATGGGATTTCTCTATGTTGACCAGGCTGGTACTGAACTCCTGACCTCAAGTGATCCTCCTCCCTTGGCCTCCCAAAGTGCTGGGATTACAGGTGTGAGCCACCACACCTGGCCCATTCTTTTATTTTCAATTTGATTTCTTATATTTAAATGTATCTCCTCTAAGCAGCATATAGTTTTCTCTTATTCATTCTTATAGTCCTCATCTTTCAATTAGAATATTGTTCTGTTTACATTTAATACATTTGTTGGTATATTTGAGTTTTCTCTTTGTCCCATCTGATATTTAGTCTTTTCTATTTATCTTTTCAGTAAATGCAGTATTTTCTTTTTCCGTTGACTTGTTAATTACATCTTTTTTCATTGTTTCTTTAGTAGCTGCACTGGAAATAATATACATCCTTAGGCTTTATTAGGGTCACCTGTAATTTAATACTTTTAAAACTTCCTGACAGTGCAAAGACATTAAAACACTTGAACTCCATTTAATTCCTTCCTCCTTCTTATGCTATCTTTGATATGCATTTCAATTCTATATGTTTTTAAGCCCAATATATTATTTTAATTATAACAGTAATATTAACTTAGATTTTCTTCATATATTTACCCCTTTGACTGTTCTTTGTTTCCTACAATTCCATGTGTCCACTGAAATAATTTTTCCTTTATTTGGAGGACATTTCTTAGCCTTTCTTTCATTGTAGGTCTTCCAGTAGTGCAAAATAATCTTGATAGAAAATATATTTGTTTATATTGTTTTTATTTTTTTCTTCCATGCATTTTTAAAAGCTTGTTATTTTGAAATAATTACACATTTACAAGAAGTTGCAAAAGTGATATGGAGGGGTTTCATGTAACCTTTACTCAATTTCCTCCAATGGTTATATTTTGCACAATTGTGATAGGCAGAATTCTAAGTCTCCACAGGATTCCCATCCCCTGATTATTCAGTCAAACACTAGTTACTGCTGTAAAACAACTATGCAAATGTCATAAAGGTTATGGACCTTAAAATAGAAAAAAAAATCCTGGATTGTCCAGGTGGACATAATCTAATCACTCGAGCTCTTGAAAGCAGAGAGATTTCTCCAATTTGAGTCAGAGAGATGTGGTAGAAGAGAAAATCAGAGGACAGATGAAGCAGAGGGAGAGGTCTAAGAGGTTTAAATATGAAAAGGACTTGACTTGCTATTGCTAGCTAAGATAGAGAAAGGAGGTCGTGAGCCAAGAAATGCAAGCAACCTTCTGAAACTAAGAATGAGCCTGGCCAACAACCAGCAAAGAAACAGAGACGTTAGTCCTACAACCACATGGAACTGGATTCTACCAAAAACCCACATAAGCTTGGAAGCAGATTCAACCCCAGAACCTCCTGAAAGAAATGCAACCCTGCTGACATCTAAATTTTGGCTCTGTGAAACCAGAAGCAAATAGTCAATTGAGCCACTTTATGCCCAGACTTCTGACCTACACAATTCTGAGATAATGCATTTGCGTTGGTTAAGACCAGTAAATCTATGGAATTTCTTGCCAAAGCAATAGAAAACTAATACATAGTTTAGTACAATATAATACATAGTATAGCACAATATCAAATCTAGGAAAGTGATGTTGGGACTGTGTGTGTGTGTAGTTATATGCCATTTATCACATGTATAGAAAGTCACAGAACAACCAATGCAATCAAGATACAGAACTATTCAATCATGACAAAGATGTCCCTCATGTTACCCCTTTATAGTTATAATTCATTCCCACACACAATTCCTAATCCCTAGCAAGTACTGATCTCTTTTCCACTTTTACAATTTTTAAATTGTGAAAATGTTATATAAGTAGAATCATACAATATGTGACTATTTAAGGATGGCTTCTTCACTCAGCATAATGCCATTGAGATCTATTCAATTTGCTGCACATATCAGTAGTTCTTGCCTCCCACACACTCCTCCTACCATGACTTTTTTTTTAACTGTGGTGAAAACACACAATAAAATGTACCATCTTAACCTTATTTTTGTATTTTTAAATTGATATATCAGTTTTACATATTTTGAGGGTACATGTAATATTTTGATAGATGTATATAAAGTGTAATGATCAAATCAGGACAATTGGGATATCCATCACCCCAAACATATATCTTTTTTTATATATTGAGAATGTTACAATTCTTCCAGCTATTTTGAAATATATCATAAATTATTGTTAATTATAATTTTTCTACTGTCCTATCAAATACTAGAATGTGTTCCTTCTAACTGTATTTGTGTACTCATTAAACAACTTCTTTGGCCGGGCATGGTGGCTCACACCTGTAATCCCAGCACTTTGGGAGGCCGAGGCAGGCAGATCACCTGAGGTCAGGAGTTCGAGACCAGCCTGGGCAACATGGTGAAACCCTGTCTCTACTAAAAATACAAAACTTAGCTGTGCATGGTGGCATGCGCCTATAGTCCCAGCTACTCAGGAGGCTGAAGCATAGGAATTGCTTGAACCTGGGAGGCGGAGGCTGTAGTGAGCTGAGATAGCGCCACAGCACTCCAGCCTGGGTGACGGAGTGAGACTCTGTCTCAAGAAAAAACAAAACAACATAATTTCTTTCATCCCTTCCTCCCCAATTCTCTTCCTAGCCTCCAATAACCACCACTCTATATCTCCATGAGCTTCACTTTTTCAGCTACCACATATGAGTGAGAACATGTGAAATTTGTATTTCTGTGCCTGGGTTATTTCACTTAACATAATGACTTCTAATTTCATTCATGTTGCTGCAAATGACAGGGTTTCATTCTTTTTTATGGTTGAATAATATTCCATTGTGTATATATACCCTATTTTCTTAATCCATTCATCTGTTGATGGACACCAGGTTGATTTTATATCTTGGCTATTGTGAATAGTGCTGCAATAAACATAGGAATGCAGATATCTCTTCAATATACTGATTTCCTTTTTTGCTGGACATATACCCAGCAGTGGTATTGCTCTATCTGGTAGTTCTATTTTTAGTTTTTTGAGGAAACTTCATATTGTTTTTCATAATGGCTGTACTACTTTACATTCTCATCAACAGTATATAAAATTCCCCTTTCTCACCTTCCTTGACAGCATTTGTTATATTTTATCTTTTTGATATTAGCCGTCCTAAGTAGGGTGGTATGACCTCTCATTGTGGTTTGGATTTGTCTTTCCTTGATGATTAGTGATGTTGAACTTTTTTTTAATATACCTGTTTACCATTTGTGTGTATTCTTTTGAGAAATGTCTATTCAGGCATTCAAAATGTTTATTTTGCACATTTTTAGTTGGCTTATTGCTTATTTTTTGCTATTGAGTTGTTTGAATTCCTTATGTATTCTGATTATTTATTCTTTGTCAGATGGATAGCTTCAAGTATTTTCTCCCATTCTGTACATTGTCTCTTTACTTTGTTAATTATTTCCTTTTCCGCGCAGAAGCTTTTTTGCTTGTCGTAATCCCGTTTGTCTGTTTTGCTCTTGTTTCCTGTGCTTTCAAGGTTTTATACAAAAAAATCTTTGCCCTGATCAATGATTTTTAAAATTTATTATTATTATTATTATGCTTTAAGTTCTGGGATACATGTGCAGAATGTGCAGTTTTGTTACATAGGTATACATGTGCCATGGTAGTTTGCTGCACCCATCAACCCATCATCTACATTAGGTATTTCTCCTGATGCTATCCCTCCCCTAGCCCCTCACCCGCTGGCAGGCCACAGTGTGTGATGTTTTCCTCTCTGTATCCATGTGTTCTCTTTGTTCAACTCCCACTTATGAGTGAGAACATGAGGTGTTTTCTTTTCTGTTCCTGTGTTAGTTTGCTGAGAATGATTGTTTCCAGCTTCATCCATGTCCATGCAAAGGACATGAACGCATCCTTTTTTATGGCTGCATAGTATTCCATGGTGTATATGTGCCACATTTTCTTTATGCAGTCTATCATTGATGGACATTTGGGTTGGTTCCAAGTCTTTGCTATTGTGAATAGTGCTGCAATAAACATACCTATGCATGGGTCTTTTGTAGCACTTCTTCAGTGTTTTACTTCTAGTAGTTTCAAAGTTTCCTTTACATTAAAGACTTACATTTAAATCTAATCCATTTTTCGATTTTGTTTGTGGTGAAAGATGGAGCTCTAGTTATATTTATTAATTTCTGGGTTATAGGATTTATTTCTGGGTTCTCTGTTGTGTTCCATTGGTCTGTTTCTGTTTTCATGCCAGTACCAAGCTGTTTCTGTTACTTTAGCTTTGAAGTACATTTTGAAGTCAGGTAGTGGGATGCCTTCAGCCTTGGTTTTTTTGCTCAAAATTGCTTTAGCTATTTGAAGTTTTTTGTGGGTTCCGTATAAATTTAAAATTGTATTTTATCTCTGTGAAGAATGTCATTGGTATTTTGATAGGGATGGCATTGAATGAGTAGTATAGACTTTTTTTTTTTTTTTTTTAAGACAGAGTTTCGCTCTTGTTGCCCAGGCTGGAGTGCAGTGGTGCAATCTCGGCTCACCGCAACATCCACCTCCTGGGTTCAAGCGATTCTCTTGCCTCAGCCTCCCGAGTAGCTGGGATTACAGGCATGCACCCCCATGCCCGGCCAATTCTGTATTTTTAGTAGAGAGAGGGTTTCTCCATGTTGGTCAGGCTGGTCTCGAACTCCGGACCTCAGGTGATCTGCCCGCCTTGGCCTCCCAAAGTGCTGGGGTTACAGGCATAAGCCACTGTGCCTGGCCTACATTTTAAGAATATTAATTCTTGCAATCCATGATCATGAAATTTCTTCCCATTTTTGTATCTTCTTTAATTTATTTCATCAATGATTTTCCTTGTGGAGATCTTTCACTTCTTTGGTAAAATTTATTTTTAGGTATTTTATTTTACTTTTGTAGCTACTATAAATGGTATTGCATTCTTGATTTCTTTTTCAGATAGATTGCAGTTAATGTATAGAAATGCTACTGATTTTTATATGTTGATTTTGTATCCTACAACTTTATTAAATGTTTGCTTCTGTTCTAAGAGGTTTTTTTTGGTGGGGTCTTTAGGCTTTTCTAAATACAAAATCATACAGTCTACAAGCAAGAATAATTTGACTTCTACCTTTTCAAGTTAGATGCCCCTTCTTTCTTTCTCTTGCCTAATTGCTCTGGCTAGGACTTTCAGAACTATGTTGAATAAGTGGTAAAAATGGGCATACTTGTCTTGTTTCAGATCTTAGCAGAAAGGTTTTCAATTTTTCCTTATGCAACATGATATTAATTGTGGGCTTGTCATATGTAGCCTTTATCGTGTTGTGGTATGTTCCTTCTATACCCAATCTGTTGAGAGTTTTTATTGTGAATAGGATGTTGAATTTTATTGAACACTTTTCAGCATCTATTGATCATATGGTTTTTGTCCTTGATTCTCTTGATACGATTTATTTTGTTTACTGATTTGTGTATGTTGAATCCTCCTTTCAACTTTTTTAAGTATACATTTTTAAGTGTACAGTTCAGTAGTGTTACAAATGTTAACATTGCTGTGAAAGAGATCTCTAAACTTTTTCATCTTGCAAATCTATTTTTTATTTTTATTTATTTTATTATTATTTTTCGAGATGCAGTCTCGCTCTATCACTCAGGCTGGAGTGCAGTGGCGCGATCTCGGCTCACTGCAACCTCCGCCTCGTGGGTTCAAGCAATTCTCCTGCCTCATTCTCCCAAGTAGCTGGGACTACAGGCACGTGCCACCACGCCCGGCTAATTTTTTGTATTTCTAGTAGTGATGGGGTTTCACTGTATTAGACAGGGTGGTCTCTATCTCCCGACCTCATGATCCGCCCGCCTCTGCCTCCCAAAGTGCTGGGATTACAGGCGTGAGCCACCGCACCCGGCCGCAAATCTAAAATTCTATACCCATTAAACAAAACTCCCCTCTCCCGCTCTCTGCCACCAGCCTCTGGTAACCACCATTCTACTTTGTGTTTCTATAAATTTGACTACTATAAATACCCCAAGTAAGTGGCATTACACAGTATTTGTATTTTTGTGACTGACTTATTTCACTTAGCATAATTCCCTCAAGGTACATCCATGTTGTAAATTGTGTCATTTTTATTGCTGAGTAGGATTTTATGATATGAATATACTGAAGTTTGTTTAGCCATTCACCTGTCAAAGGGCATTTTGGTTGTTTCTAGGTTTTTACTATTTACAAATAAAGCTGATACGAACATTTGTGTACAGATTTTTGTGTGGACATATGTTTTAATTTCTCTGGGATAAATGCCCAGTTGTGCAGTTGCTAGGTTAGATATTAAGTATATGTTTAGTTTTGAAGAAACTGCTAACCTATTTTTTTGAGTAGTTTATCATTTTACCTTCCCACCAGCGATGTATAAGAGTTCTAGTGTCGGCCGGGCGTGGTGGCTCACATCTGTAATCCCAGCACTTTGGGAGGCCGAGGCAGGCGGATCACCAAGTCAGGAGATCGAGACCATCCTGGCTAACACGGTGAAACCCTTTCTCTACTAAAAATATAAAAAATTAGCCAGGCGTGATGGCGGGCGCCTGTAGTCCCAGCTACTCGAGAGGCTGAGGCAGGAGAATGGCGTGAACCCGGGAGGCGGAGCTTGCAGTGAGCCGAGATTGCGCCACTGCACTCCAGCCTGGGTGACAGAGTGAGACTCCATCTCAAAAAAAAAAAAAAAAAAAAAGAGATCTAATATCTTCACATACTCGCCAAAATTTGGTATTGTCACTGTTTTTTTAAATAAATTTTAAATGTTCTAATAAATGCATAATGATAATTCATTTTGGTTTTAATTTGTATTTCCCTAATGGCTAGTGATGAATATCTTTTCATGTGCTTATTTGACATCTGTATACCTTCTTTGAAGAAATATCTCATCGTGTCTTTTGTCTATTTTAAAATTTTATTTTTTCTTAATCTTCAAGTTTTGTTAGAGTTCTTTACATGCTCTAGATATAGGTCTCGTGAGATATTTTCTCTTAGTCTTTAGTTTGTGTTTTCATACTCTTAACAGTGTCTTTCCTGAGACAAACTTTTAGCTTTGATGAAATCTAATCAACTGATTTTTTAAAAAATAAATTTTGCTATTGATAACATGTCTAAAAACTCCCTGCTAAAGGTCATACAGATTTTCTCCTACATTATATTCTAAAAGTTTGTAGTTTTATAATTTCTATTTAAATCAATAATCCATTTAGAGTTTATTTTGGTATAAGGTTGTCATTTAGGTGAAGAGTCATGTTTTTGCCAATGGATATCCAGTGTTTCTTCAAATACCTGTTAGTCACACCCTTTTTCTCCTCTACTTTTGGTACCCTTATAATACATATATTTGATATTTCTTATGGATCTATAGGTTTCTGGGTATCTGATTATTTTGTTTTTTTTAAGGTCTATTTCTCTCTGTCCTTCAGATTGAGCAATTTCTATTGTTTTACATTAAGTTCATTGAATCTTTCCTCTGTCTTCTCCATTCTGCTATTGAGCCTATCCAGTGAGATTATTATTATTTTTTAATTTGGTCATTGGTTCTTCATGTCTCCTATTTTATTTTTTTCTTGCAAAAGATATACTTTGTCATTTGTTTCAAGCATGCTTGTAAATTACTTAATACAATATTTTTATAACGGCTGCTTTAAAATCCTTGTCAGAGATTTTCAGCATCTATGTCATCTGGTGAATTATTGACTATATTTTCTTATTTAAGCTGCAATTTGTCTGGTTCTTGTTATGACATCAAAGTGATTTTTTTACCGTACCGGCGCATTTTGGGTATTTCATTATGAGACCATGGATCTTAGTTAAATCTTTTGTTTTTGTTGGCGTCCTCTAAAGGAAGGCGTTACGTCATTACTGACAAATGGTAGTAGAGTCCAGGGTCCCTCTTCAACCTCTTGTGACACCTCAGTTGGGGAGGGATTTCTCATTATTGTTAGGCAGAGTTGGAAGTTCTGGCTCTCCATTAAGTCTTCACTGATACCATGCTGGCTGGGAAGGGCAGAAGTGCTTTATTACTGCTTCTTACTAGCTTCCACTGACACTTGTGGGTTGAGGGTATGGGGAGGTTAGCTTTATCATACCTGGGAGATGGTGAAATTTCTGATTCTCTACTATGCCTCCTCTGATACCAACCCCATTGGCAGGGCACTTCATTATGGATGGGTGAGAGTGGAATTACAGAATCATCCTTTACCCTACTGTGGTCTCTACTGATGCCACAACTGGAAAAGGGCTTGTTACCAGGGGTGGAAATAAAAGTTTCTGCTCTCCCCTTGGCCACCACTCTGGTGGGGATTGAAGGGACACTTAGTTATGGTTGTGTGCAAGTAAAAGTCTAGGCTCACCAATTAGTCTGTGTTTGTGGGGATGCATTGGAATTCAGGTTTTCCTGTGGTGTTTGGTGTGAATAGAGTGTTTACTGTCTAAAAATTTTCTGTATTGTTAGGCTGCCCCGTTCTGGTCATTTGGCTAGAAGGAGCAGGCTTTTCTTGAGACTCTGTTGCTTATGCTTGTTGGTGTGCTAGGTTGCTCTGTAGATCGCTCATTTTATTTATCCCCCAAAATTTGTTATCACTTTAGATCTTGAATATTTAGAACATAGATTTCAATAAATTGAAAATAAAAAAGCTTTATACTAATGTTATGGAAAGCTAAAGAAAACGTTTTCAAAAAGTTGTCAACTATCTGCCTGTAATCCCAGCACTTTGGGAGGCCGAGGCGGGCAGATTACGAGGTCAGGAGATCGAGACCATCCTGGCTAACACGGTGAAACTCCGTCTCTGCTAAAAATACAAAAAATTAGCTGGGCGGGCACCTGCAGTCCCAGCTACTCAGGAGGCTGAGGCAGGAGAATGGTGTGAACCCAGGAGGCGGAGCTTGCAGTGAGCCGAGATCTCGCCACTGCACTCCAGCCTGGGTGACAAAGTGAGACTCCATCTCAAAAAAAAAAAAAAAAAGTTGTCAACTATCTTAGCTATCTGAAAGACAAAACTTTACTAGGATCAAATCCTTCTATTTTATGTTAAAAAGGAATACAATCTTTTTATTTTAAGTCCATGAGTCATTAGGATTCTTTAAAGTCTTTGTTTTCTTACCCCTATTATATTATTTAAGCATATAATACTATTTCAGAAACTTTATTGATATACATCAGAAATAATGAAATAAATAAGGCAACCTAAAATAAAAACCTTCTTGGATTCAGTACTTGAAGCCAAATAAATTTTTTTTTCATTTAATATTTACAACAGACCTCCAGGATCCTGAGTGATAATGGAGAACATATGGAAGGTAGAAAGATATGGCATATCACCTCACACCATGTTCATAAGAACCTTTTCAGCAGAATATTCTCAAATATGAATTATATGCTTTTCAGGTATTTGTTTTTGATTTTCAGGTAGCAAAAGTTCTGCAACAGGTATTTAAGCTAGCACTTACAAATATTAGTCATACAGGATTCATTCACACAATAGGCAATTCATAGTTACTTTAGAGATTATTCTTTGAGGTAGGAAAAAAGCAGCAATCGATGCCAGATTCAGCCATTTAGTGCCCTTCCCCATCTCCTAAGTTTCTCCTAGAATTATCCCCATATAGGGTCAGTCATAGTTGGCTGAAAAGCGAATCACCTTATGTTGTTAAATCTTTACAGATTAGTGATTAGTGATGCAGACTTTGGCATCAGACAAAACTTGTTTTGATTCTGAATTCTAACACTTACTAGATGCTTGACCTTCAATAACTTATTTAGTCTGTCAAAACCCATTTTTCATCTAAAATGAGGCTTACCATATTTAATTAGATATACAATAATTAAACCATGAAAAGTGTTGCATTTAGCATACTATGTGATGCCTTTTATTTTTTATTTAAGAAAAAAGGAAAAATGACTGTGTTGCTTAGAATATACCTTTCTTTGGGATCTCCTAAATATCAGGTAAAAGAAAAATAGCCCCTACAGATTGGTTTCTGAAAATTTTCATTGACATTGAACCCACTTTCCTGGAGATTCAGATGTTAGTACCATGCCTGGCACTTTGAATCAACATAGCCCATAATTCTGCAAAGATAGACCAATTAAGACATATGGCAGGCAAGGGAGACACCTGTTGATGGCAGGTCAAAGCCTGTTCACTTGTTAAATGACAATGCAGTATAGTGTGGTGGTTAAAAATGTGTAAACTAAGGACAGACTATTTAAATTTGTGTTTAGGTATACCTACTTCTAGCTGTACAACTGCAGATAAGTTTACCTCACTCTCAGTATCCCAGTTTCTACATATGTCAAATGGTGTTAGTAACAGAACCTATCTCTTATGGTTGTTGTACATATTAGAAAAAAAAGTAGATATTAAGTTGGTAGAACATTATTACTTACTGTTTAACTCTGACTACACAGAATTTAATGTTACAGCAAAGCCTAGGCTGTTCTAGACCTACCAGATAATTTATTTAAGTTTTAACTTTGTAGGGAAAAAGAACGACAGAAAAAAATTTTCTGCAGCCTTTATATTTTATATTATGTGAAGATAATTTTTGCATGCTCGCTCCTTTGTTGTATTTTCATTAGAGAACAGGAGAAACTTGCCTTTCAATGTCAAAGTTGAGAAAGAAAAATTATATAATTCAACAACATGATTGTCAACTATTTTGTTTTTATTTGTTTTTGCTAACAAAAGAAACAGATAATCTCATGGGGAGAGTGTGGCTACAGTATCCACAGAGTTGACTATGAATGCATGTGTTTTTGTCTACTCCATGTTAGATGGGAGGTGGGGCTGCTTTCAGTGCTTCCCAGTATTCTCAACAGTTTGAGCCAAGACATGTCCTAAGAGAAGGCTGAGAAACTATGTGTGTAACATCTAATTATTGCTTAATAATATCTTGAGTAGAAAATGAAGAACAGTCTCTGCCTGAAAACTGTCTCTGGAATTTCCATTATCTTTTATTCCCTGCCTTACAAAAAAGCTATTTGCCCATCTGGAGCCTGGCAAAGAGAAGGGAGTCTTCTCTTACTTTTGGATAAAAAATGCCACATAAAACAACATCCCAGTGGCTGTATACAACCAATATTCTGACTATATTTATATTTTTACCTATACTTATTGGTATAGGCATAGGCTCTAAAGAGAATATCCAAGTTTTAGGCTTTTTTTTCCTTCTTGCATGCATTGCATTAAATATACACTTTATTGAAGTATGTTTAATTTTCATGTAATTGAATACACCTCTCTTAAATGTTAAATTGAGTTTTGACAAATGTTTACACTCTTATAACCACCACCATAATCATATATATGACATCTCTATCAGCTTTCCCAAAACTATCTCATGTACTTTTGTAATTAATAGCAGCTACCCTCTTTCCCCAACCAGCCACTGATCTGCTTTCTCTCTTAAAGATTGTTTTCTTTCTAAAATTTCATGTAAATGATATTTCTTTTGTAATCTTTTGGTCTGGCTTACTTAACTCGGTACACTAATTTTAAAATACATCCATGTCATTGCATGTATCAGTGGTTTGCATACTCCTTCATTTTATTTATTTGCTGCATATATTCCATCGTGTGTATGTCCTATAATTTGTTTATCCATTTACCTATTGATGGACTTGGGGATTGTTTCTAGTATGGGGCTATTATGAGTAAAGCTGACATGAACATTTATATACAAACTCTATTGCTATTGCATTTTTTTTCTCATTGGCATTGTCATACATTCTATATTTGTATGAAATACTGCATAGAAATATGGGAGGAGAGATATATATGATGTAGTTATGGCTCTCTTGCTTTTGCTATTTTATTTTCTTCTGTTTCTGAAGATGGGGTGATGTTATCCTTTAGGTATCTGGCATGTGACATCATGTAATTTGTTTGGTAGTTACTGTGTTCTCAGTTTCCCAGGACACGTGGGAGTGGCTAAGTATTTTTAATGATTGTTTCCACTTTTTATTTTATATTTCTGTTTCTCCTCTGTGAGATGGTGAGTAATGCTGTGCCTAAGAAGGGAGCGGAGGGGAGTGCTATGTGGATTCAGTATTTCCTTGAAGATCAGATTTTAATATTTTTTTTGGTGGAAGATTTTCTCCTCTTCCTCCGTTCCATCTTCAGACTTTGTTCCCTTGACAAGTTCTTACTCACTGATCCCCTGGTGTTTCCTTTGCCATTAGCCTCAGCACTGAAGCTGCTGGGAGAAGAGCCAAAAAGAAGCAGCTATAACAGAGACAAACATTTTCAACCTTCCCTGCTTTTACCTTAGCCCATGAAATACGTGTGCTCAGCCTCCACATGAGAAATGGTTTGATTCTAAGAATCATGTTCGATGGGTTCTTTTTGCCCTTCAGATTATGGTGAAATTCCAACCTTTTCTCAAATTTGGACTTTTCCTTTATTCAGTTCCTTTGAGCTTTTACAATCACTTGAATTCTTTTATTTTTTTAGCTTCTATCACAAATATTATGCTGAAATACCTTTATATTCAATATCTAAGTCTCAAATACAGTGATGTTCTTGGAAACTATGCAAACCTTCAATAATACAAACTCTGAGAATAAAGACAAATAGAAACGGCAGCATTCAGACCTTCAGCTGTGCTTGTGAAAGATTCAAAGCAGAAGTGTCTCCCAGCAAGGTAGTAATTACTGAGCTCA
The DNA here is from genome assembly GCF_000001405.40 of Homo sapiens. NCBI lineage: Eukaryota > Metazoa > Chordata > Mammalia > Primates > Hominidae > Homo > Homo sapiens. Next base: position 149,768,373 of record NC_000002.12, read on the forward strand.
ACAGCTTATGTTAGGTTATTAAATTAAGGCCAAATAAGATACCTAACCAAACTGCCTCTTAAAAAGAGTGAGTCATAGCCTAATTGATGTGAGAGTCAAATAAATACCATGGAACTCCAGGAGGAAGAAATTCCTTTTAATTTAAGTTCTGTTTTAATGGAATTCACTGAACCTCTTCAAAATTTTCCATAAATGGTTCAATAAAAAGCACGAAGTCTTGAAAGAGTTTAAATCATTTTTTAAAAAGGGATGGTGAAACTCTTTTCCCTTTCCTCCCACCACATGAGAGGAGGAATGTAGTGCTGTAAATTCCCCTGTAATTTTAACTGTGAGGACCTGGATCTGGAGGAGAATGTCTAGCTAAAGAGTTCAAGCATAAAGCTGCCCAAAGCATACAAGGAGTTGAGTTTCCAAGAGTTCTCATCAGGGGACAGTTGACTGGATGGGGTTTTACTCTGACACATTAAACAAATCAGTCCCAGAGTAAAGGTTTGTTCAGTCAGCCTTTGATTTTGTTTTCCTTATGTCAGAGTTTTTGGTTGGTGGTTTGTTTTTAAAAACTCACTCTCCAGGTTTTATTTATCTTACAGATTTTCCTTGCAGATTGCTTACTATTGTACATAGGTAATTTAGAAGAGTTTCTGACTAAATTTCAGACAATCCTGACTACTTCTGTAACTACAACTGGATCTGGTTAAATTATGTGTAGAGAGGGTTAGCAGAGGTCTTGTAGTGTGGTGGCATGAGTAGAATATTTGGCATCATAGAGCAGAATTTGAATTTCTTCTCTGCTACATACTAGAGGCATATTTTTAATTAAATTATTGGCACTTTCATCTTCTGCATTCTCCTCTTGAATAAGAGGATAAAACTACTTAAAAGAATATTGTTTCATTACAAGAAATGATGTATGCAGAATAAGGTATATAGGAGATGGTGACTCACACCTGTAATCCCAGCTGCTCTGGAGGCTGAAGCAGGAGGATCACTTCAGCCCAGGAATCTGAGATCAGCCTGGGCAACATAGAAAGAATCTATATAAAGAAAAAACAAAGTTTACTTCTGCCGCTATATTTTTAGAGGACTATTTCTAGCCTTCTCCTTGAAAATTGTTGATTTCCGATTGAATGTGCTCATAGTAGGTATCTGCTAGAGGCAAATTCTTCTTGCAAAAAGGCAATATATGCAATACACAATCCTCAGTTAAAACTGCGAGTCATGTAGAGTAATGAAACAGTAAAAGAAAAGATAGGAAAATAATAACAAAATAGAAAAAGACCCACTTGGCCTCCAATTAATATAGCAATCAGACTTAACACTTAAAATAGCTATGCTTAAAGTATTCAAGAAGATGAAAGAACACACTGAGGATTTTGGGAGAGGCCTAGTAACTCTAAAAATTCCAAGAGAAATTATAAAATTGGAAAACCTAATATCTGAAATTTAGAACTCAACGTATGGGATTAAAAGCAGATTAGATATAGCTGAACTTTTTTTTTTTAATGTAGCAACTGGAAGTTAGACTAGAGTAAAATATCTAGAATGAAACCCAGATAAGCAAAAAAATGGGAAAATGGAAGAGAGGGACTGAGATGTAGAGGATATGGTAAGACAGTCTCACATGCATGTAACTGGAATCCTAGAAAAAGAGGCAGAATAAGGCAAAAGCAACATTTGAAGAAGTAATGCCTGAGAATGTTCTAAATTAATAACAGACACGAATCCTTAGTTTCAAGCTGGATAGATTATATTCCCAGGCATTGTCTGGTTTCCTGAATGGCCATCAAGGGATAAGGTAACACAGTTACCCAGTTTTGGAGAGTTAGCTCTGTTCTTTCTTCCATGGAATATTCCTAGGTGTGGTTCCTTCTTGCACCCCTTATTAAGAAGTTATGTATGCCGGAAAGTAAACTCAGCTACTGAGCAGCTACCACGTTTCTTGGCAGCTTGATGTAATAGTCAGCATGGTAACACATTTTATGACATTCCTTGCATATTTTCTTGTCTCATTTCCCGTTTTCCATACCTATACTACCCTGGGTTTGCACTTCTCAAATAAAGTAATGCCACATTCATCTGTGCCACAATGTCTGCTTCTTTTTTTTTTTTTTTTTTTTTTTTTTGAGACGGAGTCTCGCTCTGTCGCCCAGGCTGGAGTGCAGTGGCGGGATCTCGGCTCACTGCAAGCTCCGCCTCCCGGGTTCACGCCATTCTCCTGCCTCAGCCTCCCAAGTAGCTGGGACTACAGGCGCCCGCCACTACGCCCGGCTAATTTTTTGTATTTTTAGTAGAGACGGGGTTTCACCGTTTTAGCCGGGATGGTCTCGATCTCCTGACCTCGTGATCCGCCCGCCTCGGCCTCCCAAAGTGCTGGGATTACAGGCGTGAGCCACCGCGCCCGGCCCCAGTGTCTGCTTCTTGAGGATTCAAACAGAGAAACACTATATAAGGAGTAAAAATGGCAAGAAAGCTACATCTAGGTACATCATAATATAACTTCAAGAAACCAGGAAAAAGAAAAGAGATTACTGTCAAAAGACTTTCACTCAGAACACACTCCTTACCAGAACCTATGGAAGCCAAAATATAATGGAGCATCTTTACATTGCTGAAAAAAAATTCATGACATCTTAGACGTTTATGCATATACAAAATGTTTTTATGGATAAGGGTGAAATATATATATTTCAGTCAAACAAGAGTAAGAGAATTTATCAATGCCATATAAAAAGGAAACATTAAAGAACTAAAGGAAATATTAAAGCTTCTATTTCTGGTAGGAGAAATATGATCCCAGATCGAAGTTTAAAAATGATAGAAGAAATAAAGAATAAAAGTTTGTTCAATATGAGGACAAATCTAAATGACAACTGTCTGTATAAAACACTATCTGAATGTTGACTATATGAAATGATAATGTCCTGGTGATTTAAAATATATATAAAATTAAGGCAGATTGTTGGGAGGTGGGTAAATGGCAACAAAGTGTTTTATTAACTTTTCCTTGTTTAGGAACAGGGCAAAAATACCAGCTACCATCATATTCTAGTGAGTAGCAGATTATAATCTCTTTGTTCACTACTAAAATACAGTAAAGAAAGCCTTTTCTTGGTGAGGGGGAGGGGAAAGGAGAGTGAACAAGATCAATCTAGATGAAGGGAAGAAAGGAGAGGAAAATGTTACGTTACAAAAGCTGGTGGGGAAAAATGGAAGTCATGGTAAATTATAGTAGATTTAGTCTCTGTTATATTAGTAATTATATTACAGGTAAATCGGCCCAATTCTATAATTAAAATGTAGAGATCAGTTGGGTAAAATGAAAGCAACCCTATATGTGCTGTTTGTAAGAAATGCCTCAAAAATGTAAGAATCCTTAAATTACAAGCAAAATTATTTAAAAAATTAATACCACAAAATGTTAACCAAGCAAAAACTGGTATTATTGTCTGACGATGATCAGACTATAAAGACTAAAGCATTTCCAGAGATAAAGAATGTCATGATGAAAGGTGATAAAAGGAACTCACTAAGAAAATGTAACTACTGTACATTTAAACATGTAGCCTCAAATATATGAAAAAGTTGACAGAATAAAAGGAAAAATAGCTTAACATATAATCATAGAGATGTATCTTTAGACACTGCTCTCAATAATTAACAAATCAAGCAGTTAAAAAATAGATTGCTTAACCCATGGATCAAAGAAAGATTCCAAACGGAAATTATGAATATTTTGAATCAAGTGACAGTGAAAGAACTTATCTAAATATTATGAGATTGCAGATAAGGAATATTTAAAGAGAAATTTAAGCATTAAATGGATATATTTAAAAAGTAAAGACTGAAAATCAACAAGCTAAGCATGTATTGCTGAAAGTTAGAAAATAAGGAAATAGGCCGGGCGCAGTGGCTCATGCCTGTAATCCCAGCAGTTTGGGAGGCCGAGACGGGTGGATCATGAGGTCAGGAGTTTGAGACCAGCCTGGCCAAGATGGTGAAACCTCATCTCTACTAAAAAATACAAAAATTAGCCAGGCGTGGTGGTGGGCGCCTGTAATCCCAGCTGCTCAGAGGCTGAGGCAGGAGAATTGCTTGAACCCGGGAGGCGGAGTCTGCAGTGAGCTGAGATCATGCCAGTACACTCTAGCCTGGGTGACAGAGCAAGACTCCATCTAACAAAAAAAAAAAAAAAAGAAAGAAAGAAAATAAGGAAATAAGGAAATGTGAAGGAAGACAATAATAAAGGGCAGAAATTAGTTTAGAAGCAAACATTAGAGAAAATTTACAAAGATAAATTTTATATATACTATACATAAAAATAAAACTTTGTCATTGAAAAGATTAATAAAATTGATAACAGTGATCATAATCATGTTTAGAAAACAATTAGGAAAAGGCACAAAATTTCTACAAAAAAATTAAACGCATCACCAATATTAGGAATGAAAACTGAACATTACTATATACTCTATAAATACTAAAAATAAGAAACTGTCAAGAACAACTAGATTTGAATCCATACAAAATATAGAGGTGATGTATATATTCCTAGAAAATCATAATTTACCAAAAGTGACAGGAAAGAAAGAGAGAATATGTGTAAATCCTGTAACTATTAAGTACCTTGAATCTTTAATTAAAAACTGAAACCTTTTTCCACATATAAAATGCTAGGCCAAGAGGATTTCACCACTTAATTTTATTAAAAATTTAAAACAAGATATAAAAAGGCTTGCACAAACATGTCTAAGAATAACGAAAAAGAAACATTTCACAACCTGTTTTATGAAGATATCTTTGACACTAAAATCTGGCAACAATAAAAGGAAGAAAAATTACAGCACAATCTCACTTCTGAATGTAGATGAAAAACATCCTAAACAAAACATTAGTAAACCATATCTAGCAACTATGAAAACAGATAATCCAACAAGTTGAGTTATTTACCTTTTGAAAAATAGCCAATATAAACTACCACATTAACAGAGTAGAGCAGAAAAATAATGTTACCATAAAATGTGCAAAAGATTTCTGATAAATCATTCATTCACGATAAAAAAAAGGTTTGGCAAATTGAGGTCAGAAGAACTCATCTTTAATCTGATAAATAGGGTCTGAATAAAACTTATTGTAAATATAATACTAAATGAAGTAGTTATAAAGCTTTCCCTTTGTTGTCAGAAATTAGGCAAAGATGGCCACTATCATCCTTACAATTCAACCATATATAGGAGATCTTATGCAATAAATAAATTTACAAAAATAGGAAAATATATAAGGTTGGGAAAATTAAAAATAAAGCTACCATTATTCTCAGATGACATGATTTTCATACAAAAGTAATCTTAAAATTACAAACAAGTTATTAGAATTAATAAGTGAGTTTAGCTACTTGCTGAATATTTGTTAAATATAAACATTTAATTACATTTCTTTTTTGGGATAAATCAATAAATTTTATTTTTTACATTTTTTGACTTTTCATTTTTTTAAAACTTTTAGGTTCAGGGGTACATGTGCAGGTTTTTTACAGAGGTAAACTCGTGTCATGGTGGTTTGTTGTACAGATTATTTCATCACCAGGGTACCAAGCCTCGTACCCAATAGTTATTTTTTCTGATCTCCTCCCTTCTCCCACCCTCCACCGTCAAGTAGACCCGTGTCTGTTGCTACCCTCTGTGTGTCCAAGTGTTCTCACCATTTAGCCCCCACTTATAAGTGAGAACATGTGGTATTTGGTTTTCTGTTCTTGCATTAGTTTGCTGAGGATAATGGCCTCCAGCTCCATCCATGTTCTCACAAAGGACACAATCTCATTATTTTTTATAGCTGCACAGTATTCCATGGTGTATATGTACCGCATTTTCTTTATCCAATCTGCCATTGACCGGCATATAGATTGATTCCATGTCTTTGCTATTTTGAATAGTGCTGCAGTGAATATACGTGTGCATTTGTTTTATGGTAGAATAATTTATATTCCTTTGCGTATGTACCCAATAATGGGATTGTTGGAATGAATGGTAGTTCTCTTTTTAGCTCTTTGAGGAATCATCACAGTGTTTTCCACAATGGTTGAACTAATTTTTACTTCCATCAATAGTGTATAAGCGTTCCTTTTCTCCATAACCTTGTCAGCATTTAATTTTTTGACATTTTAATAATAGCCATTCTGACTAGAATGAGATGGTATCTCCTTGTGGTTTTGATTTGTATTTCTCTAATGATCAGAGATATTGAGCTTTTTTTTGTATGTTTGTTGGCTGCATGTATGTCATCTATTGAAAAGTGTCTGTTTGTGGTCTTTGCCCACTTTTTAATGGGGTTGTTTGTTTTTTTCTTGTAGATTTGTTTAAGTTCCTTATAGATGCTAGATAGTAAACCTTTGTCAGATGCATAGTTTGCAAAAATTTTCTCCCATTCTGTAGGTTGATTGTTTACTCTGTTGATAGTTTCTTTTGCTGTGCAGAAGCTCTTTAGTTTAATTAGATCCCATTTGTCAATTTTTGCCTTTGTTGTGATTGCTTTTGTCATCTTTGTCATGAACTGTTTGCCAGTTCCTATGTTCAGAATGGTGTTGCTTATGTTGTATTTTTTCCACAATGAAATTTAAAATACAGTTTATCTAGAAATAAATTGAGTTAATAATATGCGAGAGGGCTTCAAAGACAACTATAAAGCATTATTTGTAGAAATTAGAGAAGACCTAAATAAATAAATGATATTGTAAAGATGTCATTTCTTCTCAAAATGATCTATAGTATCTATGTATTCCCATAAAATACTTCAATAATTTTTATGTTTGTATGTATGTTGTATGTCACTTAACATGCTAATTCTAAAACATAGAAACATACTGAACTAAAATTAGCTGACATACTTATATAGTGGAAAACAAGACAGAAGGACTTTCTGGTGAAGATATTAAGAATTAGTATACAATTTCAGGCTAATGTGGTATTTATTCAAGTATTGATAAATAGGCTAGTAGAATAAAATAGAGAGCCCAGAAACAGACTGAAACACAAATGCACACTTAATTCATTACAAATTTGCTAGTGTAGAGCAGTACAGAGTTTCTTTTCTATAAATGGTTTTGAGTAAATTGAATATCAATATAGAAAATATAAATTTGATCTTTACCATATACCATAAATGAACATTAATTTCAGAAAGATAGTAAACTTAATTGTAAAAAACAAATTATGCTTCCAGAAGATAATAGGAAAAAGTGCTTTATTCCCTTCAGTAGAGAAAGATAACCACAAAGGAAAAGATTTATTAATTTATCTAAATTAAAATTATTTATTTATCAAAAAATACAGGAAAAAGTAAGTTCTGAAAGGAGAAAAGATATTTCCCACAAGTATATCTGATAAGTGGCTTTTGTGTCCTGAATATATATAGAATGAATACAAATTGGTAAGCAAAATATAGATAACAGTGAAAAAATTGGAGCGACTTGAACAGACATTTCACAAAAGATGTACAAATGGCCAGCAAGGTTAGGAAATGGCCAATATGCCTGGAAAACCTTATTAGTCTTAAGAAAAATGTGAATTAATACCAAATGATGTACCACTGCATATGTATTAGAGTAGATAAAAATCAAGATATCAACAATACCAAATGTTGGCAAATGTGTAGAGTTCCTGGAACTGGTTGTGAGTGGGAGTGAATATTAGTGCACCCACCTAGAAAACTGCTGTTTGATATTATCTACTAAGAATAGATAATACATATATACCATGAACCATAAACTTTATTGTCAGATTATTATACAAAAGAAACACCAAGAGTTGGATACATGAGGGTTTATAATAATATTACTTTAAAATCCCCCAAACTAGAAATAACTCAAAGATCAATCAATAGTGTCCTGGATCAATAAACTATTAGTTTATTTATTTATGGAATATTGACACAAAGAAATGTTATACAGCAATAAAAATTAAAAACTATAGCTACATACTGTAGCATGCATATATTTCATGAACACAGTATTGAGAGAAAAATGTCAATTATAGAGGAACATCTACGATATGATTCTATTTACACAACACTCAAAAACAGGCAAAACTAAATTATAATGTTAGAATTCAGGATAGTGATTTCTTTTGTAGAGGAGGAAGAAAGAATAATGATTAGAGGTAGGGGCTATGTAGGGAAGTTCCTGTGGTGCCTATAAGCTCCTACAGCACTAGCACCAGCACCCAGCACCCAGCATTCAGCACCCGGCTGTTTCTTTGACCAGGGTGGTGGCCACATTCATGTTTACTTTATGAAAATTTATTGAATGATACATTTAATTTTGTGGCATTTCCTGTAAATGTTTTATAATCCACAATAAAAAATGTAAAATACTACATTGAAAATAGTTTTAGGTGTCTTTCAAAATATACTGCGGGACAGGTTTGGTTTCTTGTAGTTTCCACGTTTTATTTCTTTTTGCTTATAATTTTAATACTTGATTCAGTAAAGTATTACTCAGGGCTGTTAGATAACCTAATTCAGAAGCCTACTAGACATCTTGGGACCAGCTGAGAAGAAGTCCTTGGATACTGAAATTAAGACACCGAAAATGGGAAACTTCTGTCCCCAGCCCACTGGGGGTTCTGGTGCTCAGGTGGGCGTAAGCTGGTGGGAGAGATGCTTCCTCAACACCTGCAGTGGTGGACAGCAAAGGCAGCACCAAACAGGCATCTTTGTTAGGACTACTGACCCATGACGTGTACAGACTTTTTCTAATTCTCTCAATATTTCTTCAGGTTAGTGTTACCACCATTTCATGAGTGAAGAAAGTACAGCTCAGAGAAGTTAAGTGATTTCCTCAGTGTTCTATAATACAAGGTGGGATCTAAGCAGGTTACAGAAAAGGCAAAATGGAAATGTACACTTAATTGGGCCAGAAAGCGATATTAATTTGGTCTTCAGTTCACTATTTATGCCCTGTTGCCTAAATGCACAGTTTTAGAAATAAAATATGTATGTGTGTATATATATATTATATAATATATGTAATATAATATAGATATATAATATAATATATATAATATATACAATATATTATATATATATTTTAATCTCTAGAAGTTCAATTTGTGTCTGTTTTTGAAAAATACATTCCATGTCCTATAATCTCAAGCTTTATTTTGCCTTTTTTCTTCCTTTTACAATTTAAACAGATATAATACACTGAACAAGTCAAAAAAAGAAATAATCATAATATAAAAGTGAACAAATAACATAATCTAGGAATATACATAAATGATACATGTACAAATTCTTGATAAAATATACATAAAACATGCAACTAATCCCAAAATTTGAATAAAAAAAAATTGAATAAAAAATATTTTGCCTATCAGTTCACTAAAAATAAAAGCAATTGACAAGACTGCTTTTGGTGAGGGTTGGGGCAATGGCATTGTTGTGTACTCTGTTGATAGGAACATAAATTGGTCAAATATGTCAAATATATCTTTAATATCTATATCCTTGGAGTCAGTGATCCCACTCCCATATCTCTACTCTAAAGAGATAATTGCATTAGAAGATGAATATTCATTCATTCATTTAGCTGATAATCTAGAGAAAAAGATAGGATGTGCTCCTCCTACAGGGTGATTAGGAAAGGCTTCTCTGAGAAAAAGACATTTGAGCAGAGACTTGAAGGACATAGGGAAACAGGGCATAGATTTACCAGCCAAAGATGATTCCAAGCTGAGGGAACAGGAGGTGCAACGGTGAGGGTGTGTTGGTATGTCTAAGGACAAGCGAGGAGGCCAGTGACAATGGAGCAGACAGAGGAAGGAATAAAGTGGTGGAAGCTGAAGCAGGTGGGGTTGGGTGGAACCCATGCTCTGAGATTGAGCAGGGCTTTTTCAGCCATTGTAAAACCAGTGAGGTTTTACTGTCAATGAAATAAACAGTGTTGGGGGGCTTTGAGTGGAGCAGTGATGAGTTATGACTTGAATTCGTAAAGATTTTTTCTGGCTGCTGGATGGTAAACAGGCTGGAAATAAGCGAAAGTGTAAGCAGAAAGACCACTCTGGAAGTAATGACAGTAATCCATATGAGATATATGGGGGAGGGGACAGTGGAGGTGGTTGGAAGTGGTTGAATTCTCGATACTCTTTGAAAGTAGAAGCATCAAGATTTCCTGGTGGAGCAGATGTGAGTTGTAAAAGAAAAAATCTCAAGGATGACTGAGACTCGTGGCTGAGAAGAAGTATGACATGTATTGACATGGGAAAGCCTATAGGAAGAAAAGTTGGGCAAAGCTAGGTCAGAAAAATCAAGTGCTTTCAACTTGTGAAGTTTGGAATACGTATTAGACATTTAATTACAGAATTCAGGAATTTAGAAAGATATCTAGGCTGGAGATGGAGATGTACATTTGGGAGTTGTGTGGATGGTGTTTAGTCCTGAGACCAGATAAGATCACCTCAGGAATGAATATAGATAGGGAAGGAAAAAGACCTGAGAACTAAACCATGGAATATTCCAAAATTTAAAGGTCAGGAAGATGAAGAGAAACAAGCAAAAAGGTCAGAAGAGCAGTAGCTGAGAAAATAGGAGAAAACCTGAGCGAGTGGTGTCCTAGAAGGCAAGTGAAGAATTTCAAGAAATAAAGGAATGAACTAAAGTGTCAACTGCTGCCCATGGGTCGAAGAGGATGAAGATGGAGGACAGACCAAGGGCATGACAACACGGAGGTCATGATGGCCTTGAGAACTGTGTGTAGAGGAATGTGGATGTAAACTGATTGGAGTGGGTTTGAGAGAAGCAGGAGGAGAGAAAGCAAGGATGACAAGTATAAAGAACTCTTTGAAGCATCTTAGTTGTCTAGGGGGAAAAAATCCTTTGCCTCCTTGAACATATAGAATACAATTATAATAAATGAATGTTTTAACATCCTGTAATTACTAATTCAATCATCTGTGTCACTTCTTGGTCAATTTCAATTGATTGATTTTTCTCTTTATTATGTGTAGTATTTGCCTGCTTCGTTGCATGCATGGTAATTTTTAATGGGATGTAATACATAAATTTTTCCTTTTGAGGAACTAGAAATTTCTGTATTCCTATAAATGTTCTTGAACTTTTCTCTGAGGCACAGATAAGTTGTTAGTTATTTGATCCTTTTGAAGCTTGCCTTTAAGCTTTGTGATGCAGGACCAAAGTAGTCTTTAATCTAGCTTTGCTTAGAATACTGCTGAGGCAAATCCCTGAATTATGAGATTTTCTGATTCTCACCGACTGGTGGGGAATACAACTGGAATACAAACAATTCCTGTTTCTGTGTGAGCTTTAAGGATTTTTTTCCTTTTCTCCTATTGAGTGGTTCTTTCCCTGGCCATGGATAATTTCCTTACATAAATACACTGATCAACACTTAGTTCAAGGCCCAGGGGAGAACCTCTCCAGGTATGGAGATCTCTCTCTCTGTTTAGCTCTCTTCTCTTCTTTCTTCCTTCCTTCTCCCCTCCCCTCCCCTCCCCTCCTCTCCTCTTCTCTTCTATTCCCTCCTCTTCTCTTCCCTTCTCTTTCCTTCTCTTTCTTTGATGGAGTCTCACCCTGTAGCCCAGGTGATCTCGGCTCACTGTAACCTCCATCTCCTGGGTTCAAGCAATTCACCAGTCTCAGCCTCCCAAGTAGCTGGGACTACAGATGCCCACCATCACGCCTGGCTGTTTTTTTTGTTTTGTTTTGTTTTTTGTATTTTTAGTAGAGTCGGGGCTTCACCATATTGGTCAGGCTGGTAAAACTCCTGACCTCAGGTGATCTGCCCGACTCAGCCTCCCAAAGTGCTGGGATTACAGGTGTGGACCTCCGTGCCTGGCCAGCTTTTTCTTCTTCAGTACCTTGCCTTGTAAATCACAGTGCCTCGGTCTCTTTGGACTCCCATGTCATCTCAACTTAGGGAGACTATTTTGGACTCCCCTACCTACACTGCAGCCTGGAAACTTTTCAGGCTGTAAGAGGGTAATCATAGGGCTGACTTCTTATGTCTCCCTTCTCTTGAGAATGATTATTTTGTGCTGTCTGGGAAAAACATTGTTTCATGTATTTTGCTGCTTCTTTTGTTGCTTGCTTTGTGTTGTTTAGGGCTGGCATGTAAATCTGGTTCCTTTTATCTGTTTTGGCTGGAAGCAGATGCCAAATGTTTTTCTTTTCATTGTACCTTTTTCTGTTTTCTACAAATGAAATAAATCTAACATATGTCTCTGTGTTGCACTAACTTGGAATCATCCATCTACCTATTAACTAGTGGCAAGTATTCTAAGTGAGGTCATAGTTCTTTGGAAGAATGGAAAAGTCTTCATGCACTTGACCTGTAACACAGACTTTTCTGTATTAAAAGCAGATAGTCCCATTCGTTTCTCTTCCTCAACTACTCCAGAACATTCACCTATTACTCTCTGGCAAATACATGAAACTTCAGCTTCATTTGATCCTTAGTGAAGGAGATGATCCATTTAAACCATTACACAGGTCCAGACTGTAGCCATAAAACAAGCATAACTTACAAAATGTTTTAGAAAGAAAGCCAATATTTACTCAACACATAACATCTGTTAGGGACTGAACCAGGAGCTCTCCCATACATTGTCAATTGACATTTCATGACAACCTTATTAGATGGGCGGCATTATCTCTATTTTATTTTCATTGATATTCATGTCAAATCTTGCAATAGAGGATAAATGCTTTATATATGACAGTTATTATAATGCTTGCTACTGAATTGACAGTAAACAAAGTTATAGTTATGCCTTTACGTGCTTTGATTTTCTACATCAGAAAAGTGAGCGTCATGATATGAAAATTGCCTCAAGGACAATCTGAGGTGAGAAACCATAAGGAAAAAAATAGTGTGCATTCATGCTACAACTATTTGGATCCCATTTACACTATTCCCTGCTGCTGTTTTTCAAGGAAGCTAGTTTGACAAAAGAGTTAATCCCTCCTTTAAGAGAGTTTATTCTCTCTTAACATTGTTTTTTCCTTTCTGCTTCAGAAACAGGCCTATTCATTATCACTTTAAATCAAGGTTATGCAAGACCAGGGAGTTCCAACTTGCAAACTGAAGTTTGGCAAACCCAGTACAATTTCTAGGATAGCTCTAAGCACAGCACACCTGCCTGTACCTTCACCTGAATGCATACTTTGCCTAGTCCACTCACTCAAACTTTGTAGGGATGACAACCAGGACTTGGATGCCTTCAAATCCAAAACAGGGCTTTTTGCTTATGGAATTCCCTACGTGCATACTCATGGGCATTACCACATAGGTGCAGGTGGCCCTTGCCTGAGACTGAAAAGTGAGCTGATGTTTCCTTCCTTGTTTCTCTTTGCTCTGGCTTCAGCATGCTTCCCACCTTCACCTGCAATGTGCAGTGCTTCCCTTTGCTAATTGTCTGCCACAGGTCTTAGTTCAGCTAGGTTATAGCCTGTAGAGATGGATTCACTATGGAGGAAAACCTAACTCCTTTTTGTATGTCACCTACTTAATAGATTACCTTTACTAGGTGACACATTGAAATGAATTAAAGGGAACATTTCTTAAGGAGGCCAAGAGCCAGGCTAAAATCTTTCTCACATCCCACTTTATGAAAGTAGGTGCCATCTCTACTATTTCCACATGGAAGGCCAGTCTTGGTTTTATTGGCAGTTTTTAAAATGTGCTCTGATATCTCACATTTCCTTTCTGAATAATATTTTAAAATTAGCACGTATTGTGGGCTTATTATGTGCTTGGCACTGAGTAAGTAGTTTTACAAGCTCTTATATCTCAAGCCACAAAGACAACTTTGTGAAGTAAATAATTTAATCCTCACTTTATATAGATAAGAAAACTGACACTCAAAGAGGTTAAGTGGCTATCAACGTCCCCCTTATAAGTCATAGAACCATGATTCCAACCCCCATCTAGTTCTTTCCACTACATAGAGTTTGGGAGCAAAAGTAATTAATATGAAGATTCACAGGCTGGTGCATTAAGCTGGCCACTTATGCTCAGCAGGTCTATTATAAGATCATTATATTTATAAAGCACAGGATTATACACACAGTTTGCAGTCAGATACATTCAGAGATCACACTACTTAGTTTGTAGTGCTTTGATCTTAGCAAAGGAAAGACTTTCACTGAATCCACAGAGCAGAACGTGAGGCATACATACTCCTTGGAGGTAAATATGGAGAGAGAGGTGACGTTAGTAAATTTTTAAAAACTAGATATGAAGGGAGAATATTGGTGATAGAATTCAAGCTTTATTACAATGAAGGGGTGGTTTAGTGTAAGTAAAAATATTACAACAGGATGACTTCATGGTTGTTCATGAATGCATTCAATTTCCTTCTTGAGCATGTGCTATTTTTACTGCATGAAGAAATCTTGGTGCTATTTTAGCCTTCTCATGTTCCACTTGCCTTTACATATCCTTATTTTGGGGAGTGATGTTTGCTAGAGATAAAGTTGTAGGTATTTGCATGGGTTTTGCTTGCTTAATCTGTATAGCAGTGTATAGCTCAAGGAAATTCCTTCTGTATACTCATAAGCAAAATGTTTTAGGAAAATGTTAGATTTCCTGAGAAGGCTGTGTTCCATTTTTCTTAAGTAGAGGTAAAATGGTAGAAAGGACTGCACACATATTCTCTGTCTTTATAGTGCTCCAAAATTTAAAATGTAATGTTATAAAATAATTCAAATAAATCAGAGGCATATCTCAGAAGGTATATCATACCATCATATCATCCCTCCCTCTTTCTCTGTCAACTTCTCTTCCTTTCCCAGAGGTGATGTTTGTTAACAATATGGGGTATAACATTCTAGCCATTATTTTTCCCAGCGACTCACCACACACACACCCACAAAACCCACACACAAACACCAGACACAACACATATCATTTAATCAGACCTTGCTATTCATAACAAGGCTTCAACACAGCATTGATTCATTCATATATCTTACTGTTAAAGTTATTAACCATCTCTCTCTCATAAAAAAACTTTTAAGGAGTTCTATGGATCAAAATTTCTGAGAGATTGCCAGGTAGTTCAGGCCTGGATTATTGGATCCATTTGCTTTGATGACTCAGCAGATGGAGTTAACAGGTTATAGTAACTTATCCAATTGTGGTGTTGTTTTGTCTTTATATTCTCAGTTTTAGTGATTTTCAAGCTTTCTTGTTGCCAGTACTGCCATTATTGTTGATTCGAGGAAACTGGGATTAGAGTTCTACATATCATGGCTTTATTGGCTTTATTGTGTGTGTTTCTACATAGAGATGGATCTAAAAGGTAAATCTGTCTTGTGGGTATTTTCCAGCATTTTGGACCACTCATAGAAAATGGCTAGGATGAAATGGTTACCTGCTCAGGCTCTGTTGTCAGGGTCAGCCTCTCTACTCATGAGCTACGGGACTCAATCCTTTCATTTGGTTATGCCCTAAAATCCTAGCGTCGTCTTTGACTTATCTCTTTTACTCATTACCCCATATCCAATACATCCAGAAATTGTTTGGCTCTACTTTTCTTATAAAAACCTACAATTTGACCGCTTCTTACCACCACCACTGTTGCCACTGTAATCTGAAGCATTGCATGCAGTTGCCTGCATATCTACCATCACTTTCTAACTAGCCTCCCTGCCTCTCCCTAAGCTTCCCTGCTCTGTATTCTCAGCCCAGCCCCACAGTGATTCTTAGACTTGCTACTCCATGGACTCGAAGCATAAGCTTTACCTGGGAGCTCATTAGAAAGGCAGAATCCCAGACTCTACTCCAGACCTGAATAAGAATCTGCCTCTCAACAAGATCTCCAGGTACCACAAGACTACATGTGGTGAAAGATCATTAAGAAAACCAAAAAGAAAAAAACCACTCTGAATCATCATGAACTAAAACTTTTATAAAATGCTATAAAAAATGAGTTACCCAAAAATAAAATTTAAAAAACACAGGAAATAGATATAAAAAATATGCACGCCCCAATTTTGTGTTATTTGATTCAACAGACCTAAAACTACTCTGTCATACTGCTATAGAAGTTTCCAAATGCTTACCCCCAATGTCAGGACTAAGCTTTTCATAGAGCAGTTTATGGACAGCTCACTGACCAAGGGCCACTCTCTCATTTTTCTGCTCTAGCTAGTCTGCCCTCCTGGATGTTCCCAGACCTCACAGGTTATGTTTGTCTCTCCCCGGGCTCTTGCTCTGCTGGTTCCCTCTGCCTGGAGCTCTCTTCTATAATTAGCTGTTTGACTAAATCCATCACCTATTCAAGTCTTTACTCAATGGTCACCAATCCATGGCCTGTGTTTTCGATGACCTTGTCAGTTTCGAGGAATACTGCTTAGATGTTTTGTTAAATGTATTCTGACTGGGAATTATCTGCTGTTTTTCTCATGATTGTACTGAGGTTATAGGTTTTGGAGAGGAAGACCACAGAGATGAAATGCCAATTTCTTTACATCATCTCAAGGGTATGTATTATCAACCTGACCTATCACAGTTGATGTTAAATTCATTGCTTGGCTAAGATAGTGTTTGTCAGGTTTCTCCACTGTAAAGTTCTTCTTTCCAATAGTTGGGTGCTGACCCCTTTCCAAGCTGTCAGAAGAAAGTCATTTTGCAGTGCCCACATTTAGGTGTAGAGAGCTATGCTTTACCTCCTTGAGAGTGGAAGATGGACATAAACAATTTGTATTAATAATTCATCTGCATGGGAGATGATCTCTTCCAATTATTCATTCATTTATTTATATCAGTATTGACTCATAAATATTTACTTTATGCTTTGAGTGATAATCCAATTCTACTTTATTTTGTTGCTCCAGTTTTTCCAGCTTTGGACCATTGGGAGCTCATTCAGTTGGCCCTTCTGTCCCTTTGACCTGCCTCCATATTTGTTTGTGTTTTCAGCTGTTTCTGACTTTCCAGCATTATAAGATTTTTCAGACTCATTTTTGTGTATTTCCTGCCTCAGTCCTCAAATCAGCCATTTCTCTGAGAAGCCCTCATTTCATTTAATGGGAAATGGCATTAAAAACCAAGATCTGGGTGGTAAGGGTGCTTGCTGCTCCTGGGGTGCTATCAGTCTTTTTAATCTCATAGAGATTTTAATTTTCTTTTCCTGATGAATAATGAGGTTGAACACCTTTTTACATGCTATTTAGCTATTTGTATATCCTAATTTATGAAGTGTCTGTTCAAGTCTTTGATCCATTTTTATTGCTTTTCTTTTTTTTCTTAGTTTTAAAAATTGAATTGTAGGACTGCTTTGTAGTCTGAATACAATGAATGTGAAACTTTGTCAAATACACACAGAGACACACACATATCGAGATATTGCAAATATATTCTTCAAGTTTGTGGCTTGTCCATCTACTTTTAAATTAATATGTTTAAAATTTACACATAATGAAATGGACTCATTTTGATAAATACACATAATTTAAATTTATATTTAAATTTGTCACTCCATTATTTTTCTTCTACTTGTTTCTTCTGTCTTGTTCCTTGGTTTCTCTTTTATTGCCTTCCTGGGAGTTACATGAATTTTTTTTGGATTCCATCTTCATTTATAATATTTTTAAGTATATCAGTTCGTATAGTTTTTTTGTGGTTGCTCTAGCTATTACAATACATGTTTTCCTTGTCACAGTCAGCTGTTATCAATGTTTTACCACTTCAAGTAAAGTGTAGAATTGTTATTTCAATTTAATTTCCTTTACTTCCCCACTTTTAAAATACAACTGTCTTAAGAATTTTCTCTACATTCATTGAGCACACCTTCAAATGGTGTTAAAATGTTTTCTTCAGCCATCAAGAAATTCATAAGAAGGAGAACATATATTTATTTTATTTGTACCCTTGATTTTACCCATTGCAAACTTATTCTTTCTTTTCTGAAGTTTGAAGCTTTCTTCATTTCATTTCTTCGAATTAGTTCATTTCTGTTTAAAGAAATTTCCTTAGTCATTCTTTAAGGGTAGATTTACTAGTGACAAATTCATTTAATTTTCTTTTGCCTAAAAATGTCTTTAATTCTCTTTTACTCCTAAAGGATATTTTTTGGCAGAGACGAAATTCATGATTGACAGTTCTGTTCTTTCAGAGCTTGAAAAATGTGGTGCCACTTTCTTCTGGCCTTATGGCTTTAGATGAGAAATTGCTGTTATTCAAATTGGTGCTCCTCTATAAGTAATATGTCATTTAAAAATTGTTTTCTTTGTCTTTCATTTTCAGAAGTTCAAATTATGATATGTCTCAGAATACATTTTTGTGTGTGTGTTTATCTTATTTGAGTTTTTTCAGCCTCTGAAATCTTTAAATTTATATCTTTTCAAAATTGAGAAGTTTCAGCCATTATTATCTTTGAATACTTTTTTTTTTTCGGTTTTGCCCACTCTCTTTTTTCCTTCTGGAACTCCAGTGACGTAAATATTGGCTCTTGTTATTATCTCGTAAGTACCTGAGAACTTGTTAAGCTTGTTCAGTCTATTTTGTGACTGTTATTCAGGTTTGGTTAATTCTATTGGTCTGTCCTCAAGTTCACTGATTCTATTCTCTGTTTTCTCCATTCTACTATTGAGCCCATCCAGTGATTTTCTTTTTAATTTTGGTTGTTATATTTTATAGAGACATAATTTTCACTTGGTTATTTTTTATAACTCCTTTTTTTTGGTGTTGAGATTTTCTTGCTTTCTATTTGAGGAGAATTTCTAAATGCATTTCAAGGTATTTTTATGTCTTTAAAATCCTTGTCAGGTAATCCCAACATCCCATCCCTTTCAATGTTGGCATCTGTTGACTCTCTTTCTCATTCTAGTTGTGATTTTCCTGATTGTTGGTATGATGAGTGACATTTGGGTATCCTGGACATGTTGAATGTTATATTTTGAAACTCTGGATTCTGTTCTGTAGAGATATATCACAAGGGCAGAGTTGGCATGTATCTTCAGCTTCCCACTGTGCAAATGTGGGGCACTGATTCACACTGCTCTGTGGCAGATGAGTGAGTTACAACTTTAGCTCCTCCCTTGTTCCCCTGATATCTTGCCAGTGCAAGGGGGCGTTGGCTCAGACCAAGTTTTTGCCACTGAGAGAGAGTAAAATCAGCTCCTGCTGAGTTTGCTGACACCAGGGAAAAGAAGAAGGGGCAGGAAAGGGCAGATCTGTGCCACCTCCCACCACTTTTTTCCACCACTTGATGTCAGGTGGAGGTGAGAAGCTGGACTCCCTTTTGGGTCCCACAGATACAGGGGTTGGAGGTGTACAGCAGAGGGGTGATGAGACCCACCTCTAATTAAGACCCACCATCTAATTAAGTCTCTTTGTTGCCAGGTGGGAGTGGAGGCTCAGCTCAATTCTAGATCCCACTGATGCTCCCTGGATGGGACAAACAGAGCACCTCCCATTTTTGCTGGGCAAGAGAGGAAAGGTCAACTCCCCAGTTGGCCTTGATGCCACTAACATGGCAGCGGATTCAGGGCTTTGCCTGCTCTAGACAGGTAGGCGATGGAAGAACAGCCCTCGGCTTGGCCCTGCCAACACCACTGGGTCAGGAGATTGGAGAACCAGTGTCTGATTCCACTGTGCAAGGAGCTGAGGGAGTGAAGTGATGAGCAAATGGAGAGAAGATAAGCTTCCTTCTTAGCCCAACACGGAAGAGAGAGAGAGGGAGAGTGTGTGTGTGTGTGTGTGTGTGTGTGTGTGTGTGTGTGTGTGTTGAAAGTTGGCTTTTTTATTGGTATTTGTTTTGAATGGGGTGGATATTGTCAAAAAGTTTGTGTTCTGTTAGGTCACTCTTTACTTGATGTTTGAGTATGAGTATCACCTTTTCTTGGAGCTTTTTGTCTGGATTTGTGCCTGTGAGCAGTTCTGCGTTGGAGGCTTCTACAGTATTTTTTCTGGGATGTATGGAGGCAGTATATGGAGACCCAGGGAACTCATCTCCCCATTGTTTCTTAAGTCTCAGGGTTCCCAGACAGTCTGCTTTCTTCTTTCCACATTTGAGAGCCTATAATTATTTGTTATGTGATTCAATGGTAAGAAGGAAGACCTGGGAGGAATGGGCTAATTTATCTTGGTCAGAACTCAAAGTCACCAACAGTATCTCTTGAGGAGTCAAAGTTTTTACGTTTATGAGATTCCAGTTTTCATATTTTTTTCCTTCCTGGATCATAGTCTCACCACTTAATAAGATGTGACCTGTTGAATTTTTTTTTTTTTTTTTTTTTTTTTTTTTTTTTTGAGATGGAGTCTTGCTCTGTCTCCCAGGCCGGAGTGCAGTGGCACAATCTTGGCTCACTGCAAGCTCCGCCTCCCGGGTTCACGCCATTCTCCTGCCTCAGCCTCCCGAGTAGCTGGGACTACAGGCGCCCGCCACCAGGCCTGGCTAATTTTTTGTATTTTTAGTAGAGACGGGGTTTCACCGTGTTAGCCAGGATGGTCTCGATCTCCTGACCTTGTGATCCGCCCACCTAGGCCTCTCAAAGTGTTGGGATTACAGGCGTGAGCCACCTCGCCTGGTCTGTTGATTTTTTTTTTAACACCCTTCATCAGGTTGAGGAAGTTCCTTCTATTCATTCTTTGTTGAGAGTTTTTATTTTTTTCTTTAATCAGGCATTAAAAAAATACCTGTATGTTGAATTTTGTCAAACTTTTTGTTCTACATCTATGGAGATGATTGTATAATTTTTCTTAATTTTTTTAATGTGCTGAAGTACTTTTATTAATTTTTGAATGTTAAACTAGCCTTTTATTTCTGGTGCAAACCTCAGTTGTGATTATATTTTTTGTATTTGTTGGATTCGACTTGCTAAAATTTCATTTAGAATTTTGGCTGCATTTTCATTAGAGATATTGGTCTAGAGTTTATTTTTTCTTGTAATTCTATGTTTGGTATTGGTATCAGGGCTTTCATAAACATGTAGCTTGGTAAAACATTTGTTAACTTTTTTAGATCTTTTGGTGCCCATAAACTTTATTTATATTTTTTGTTTCAGCAGGTCTTCTTTTGATATATTCCTCCCTTGCCAACAATAATTAAAGAATCTGATGGTTAGTAATTAACTCCAAGGTTAAGAATAAATTAGTATACATTTGAATTATAATCTTTTGATTTATGGTGACCCTAAAGTGAAGGTAATTAAATGTTACAGCCATAATCTCTGATCAACTCTTTAAGGATGTATATTTAAGTAGTTCATCTAAATAAAAAACTAGTTTTTGTAGGAATTCTAACTACCATTACCAAATCATTTTTTGAAGTTATTTTCCATTCTGAAACACTTCAGTGGCTATGAATAATGCAAACATGGAACACATTTACACTTGTTTCTGTTTTTTCTGCTGGTTTGACTTTACCAAACTATCATGAGTCAATTATGCGAAGTGGTGGTAATCAATTTGCATCTTTAGACAAGTGAAAGCTTTTTACAAAGGATAGTTATTAAATGTTTGGTATTTCTAAGGAGGATGGAGGAAGAAAAAATATGAGTCCTTATAATTAGAAGAAATATGCGGTTTGCAGAACAAAAGAATGCAAATACGATTCTTTGACCCTGGCTCTGTCACCACAAGGAGATTCTGGTGTATACTTTCCTTGCACTAGTTCCAAATGGTGCAATTCCATTTATCCTTAAATGCGTCAACACCTTACATTTTATATTTAAATCAGGCAATTGTTATAAATTCAATTTTTATTTAAAAAATAAAAACTAGGTATAACATTACCTGATAAGTAGAACATGAATCTTTTAAAGCGTTTCAACATTTTTCATCATTTTTCTTTGCTCATGAAAAGATCAATGCAATTTTAAAAGATTATGGTACTTTTAATGACAATTTCAGGGCTACTCTTTTCAGAAATAATTTTATTTGAAATGTTTCCATTTCCCAATAACTGTGTTTTCCATCTCCATTCTATGCTTTGAAATGTGTCAGATATTTCCTGAGATTTAAAATGCTCTTACTCAAGGTTATGTGATAGTACAGGATAACTTAAATGAGAGCATTACCACAAAATAAGGTGTTATTGAAATCTTACATCTCCGTAGACCTTCTCAGGTATTTCAATAGAAATACAGAGAGAAAGAAGTTTTCCTTAAGGCCTTTCCAATTCCTTCCATTTATTGGCTTTGAGTGAGGGAACTTGTTCCCTCAGACTGAATTTTCAAGATAACAGATCCCTGAAATCTTTCTGCTTTTTGTTTGTTTGTTTCTTTTATTTATATATATATATTTTTTTTTATTATACTTTAAGTTCTAGGGTACATGTGCACAACGTGCAGGTTTGTTACATATGTATACACATGCCATGTTGGTGTGCTGCACCCATTAACTCATCATTTACTTTAGGTATATCTTCTAATGCTATCCCTCCCCCTTCCCCTCACTGCACAACAGGCCCCGGTGTGTGATGTTCCCCTTCCTGTGTCCAAGTGTACTCATTGTTCAATTCCCACCTATGAGTGAGAACATGCAGTGTTTGGTTTTTTGTCCTTGCAATAGTTTGCTGAGAATGATGGTTTCCAGCTTCATCCATGTCCCTACAAAGGACATGAACTCATCATTTTTTATGGCTGCATAGTATTCCATGGTGTATATGTGCCACATTTTCTTAATCCAGTCTATCATTGTTGAACATTTGGGTTGGTTCCAAGTCTTTGCTATTGTGAGTAGTGCTGCAATAAACATACATGTGCATGTGTCTTTATAGCTGCATGATTTATATTCCTTTGGGTATATACCCAGTAATGGGATGGCTGAGTCAAATGATACTTCTAGTTCTAGATCCCTGAGGAATCGCCACACTGACTTCCACAGTGGTTGAACTAGTTTACAGTCCCACCAACAGTGTAAAAGTGTTCCTATTTCTCCACATCCTCTCCAGCATCTGTTGTTTCCTGACTTTTTAATGATTGCCATTCTAACAGGTGTGAGATGATATCTCATTGTGGGTTTGATTTGCATTTCTCTGATGGCCAGTGATGATGAGCATTTTTTCATGTGTCTGTTGGCTGCATAAATGTCTTCTTTTGAGAAATGTCTGTTCATATCCTTCATCCACTTTTTGATGGGGTTGTTTTTTTCTTGTAATTTGTTTGAGTTCTTTGTAGATTCTGGATATTAGCCCTTTGTCAGATGAGTAGATTGCAAAAATTTTCTCCCATTTTGTAGGTTGCCTGTTCACTCTGATGGTAGTTTCTTTTGCTGTGCAGAAGCTCTTTAGTTTAATTAGATCCCATTTGTCAATTTTGGCTTTTGTTGCCATTGCTTTTGGTGTTTTAGACATGAAGTCCTTGCCCATGCCTATGTCCTGAAGGGTATCGCCTAGGTTTTCTTCTAGGGTTTTTATGGTTTTAGGTCTAACATTTAAGTTTTTAATCCATCTTGAGTTAATTTTTGTATAAGGTGTAAGGAAGGGATCCAGTTTCAGCTTTCTACATATGCCCAGCCAGTTTTCTCAGCACCATTTATTAAAAGGGGAATCCTTTCCCCATTTCTTGTTTTTGTCAGGTTTGTCAAAGATCAGATAGTTGTAGATGTGTGGTATTATTTCTGAGGGCTCTGTTCTGTTCCATTGGTCCGTATCTCTGTTTTGGTACCAGTACCATGCTGTTATGGTTACTGTAGCCTTGTAGTATAGTTTGAAGTCAGGTAGCATAATGCCTCCAGCTTTGTTCTTTTGGCTTAGGAGTAACTTGGCAATGTGGGCTCTTTTTTGGTTCCATATGAACTTTCAAGTAGTTTTTTCCAGGTCTGTGAAGAAAGTCATTGGTAGCTTGATGGGGATGGCACTGAATCTATAAATTACCTTAGGCAGTATGGCCATTTTCATGATATTGATTCTTCCAATCCGTGGGCATGGAATGCTCTTCCATTTGTGTCCTCTTTTATTTCGTTGAGCAGTGGTTTGTAGTTCTCCTTGAAGAGATCCTTCACATCCCTTGTAAGTTGGATTCCTAGGTATTTTATTCTCTTTGAAGCAATTGTGAATGGGAGTTCACTCATGATTTGGCTCTCTGTTTGTCTGTTATTAGTGTATAAGAATGCTTGTGATTTTTGCACATTGATTTTGTATCGTGAGACTTTGCTGAAGTTGCTTATCAGCTTAAGGAGATTTTGGGCTGAAACAGTGGGGTTTTCTAGATATACAATCATGTCGTCTGCAAACAGGGACAATTTGACTTCCTCTTTTCCTAATTGAATACACTTTATTTCTTTCTCCTGCCTGATTGCCCTGGCCAGAACTTCCAACACTATGTTGAATAGGAGTGGTGAGAGAGGGCATCCCTGTCTTGTGCCAGTTTTCAAAGGGAATGCTTCCAGTTTTTGCCCATTCAGTATGATATTGGCTGTGGGTTTGTCATAGATAGCTCTTATTATTTTGAGATATGTCCCATCAATCCCTAATTTATTGAGAGTTTTTAGCATGAAGCGTTGTTGAATTTTGTCAAAGCCTTTTCTGCATCTATTGAGATAATCATGTGGTTTTTGTCTTTGGTTCTGTTTATGTGCTGGATTATGTTTATTGAGTTGTGTATGTTGAATTAGCCTTGCATCCCGGGGGTGAAACCCACCTGATCATAGTGGATAAGCTTTTTGATGTGTTGCTGGATTCGGTTTGCCAGTATTTTATTGAGGATTTTTGCATCGATGTTCATCAGGGATATTGGCCTAAAATTCTCTTTTTATTGTTGTGTCTCTGCCTGGCTTTGGTATCAGGATGATGCTGGCCTCATAAAATGAGTTAGGGAGGATTTCCTCTTTTTCTATTGATTGGAATAGTTTCAGAAGGAATGGTACCAGCTCCTCCTTGTACCTCTGATAGAATTCGGCTGTGAATCCGTCTGGTCCTGTACTTTTTTTTGGTTGGTAAGCTATTAATTATTGCCTCAATTTCAGAGCCTGTTATTGGTCTATTCAGAGATTCCTGGTTTAGTCTTGGGAGAGTGTATGTGTCGAGGAATTTATCCATTTCTTCTAGATTTTCTAGTTTAATTGCGTAGAGGTGTTTATGGTAGTCTCTGATGGTAGTTTGTGTTTCTGTGGGATCGGTGGTGATATCCAACTTATCATTTTTTATTGCATCTTTTTGACTCTTCTCTCTTTTCTTCTTTATTAGTCCTGCTAGTGGTCTATCAATTTTGTTGATCTTTTCAAAAAACCAGCTCCTGGATTCATGGATTTTTTGAACGGTTTTTTGTGTCTCTATCTCCTTCAATTCTGCTCTGATCTTAGTTATTTCTTGCCTTCTGCTAGCTTTTGAATGTGTTTGCTCTTGCTTCTCTAGTTCTTTTAATTGTGATGTTAGGGTGTCAATTTTGGATCTTTCCTGCTTTCTCTTGTGGGCATTTAATGCTATAAATTTCCCTCTACACACCGCCTTAACTGTGTCCCAGAGATTCTTGTATGTTGTGTCTTTGTTCTTGTTGGTTTCAAAGAACATCTTTATTTCTGCCTTCATTTTGTTATGTACCCAGTAGTCATTCAGGAGCAGGTTGTTCTGTTTCCATGTAGTTTTGTGGTTTTGAGTGAGTTTCTTAATCCTGAGTTCTAGTTTGATTGCACTGTGGTCTGGGAGACAGTTTGTTATAATTTCTATTGTTTTACGTTTGCTGAGGACTGCTTTACTTCCAACTATGTGGTCAATTTTGGAATAGGTGTGGTGTTGTACTGAGAAGAATGTATATTCTGTTGATTTGGGGTGGAGAGTTCTGTAGATGTCTATTAGGTCTGCTTGGTGCAGATCTCAGTTGAGTTCCTGGATATCCTTGTTACCTTTCTGTCTCGATCTGTCTAATGTTAACAGTAGGGTGTTAAAGTCTCCCAGTATTACTGTGTGGGAGTCTAAGTCTCTTTGTAGGTCTCTAAGGTCTTGCTTTATGAATCTGGGTGCTCCTGTATTGGGTGCATATATATTTAGGATAGTTAGCTCTTCTTGTTGAATTGATCCCTTTACCATTATGTAATGGCCTTCTTTGTCTCTTTTGATCTTTGTTGGTTTAAAGTCTGTTTTATCAGAGACTAGGATTGCAACCCCTGCCTTTTTTTGTTTTCCATTTGCTTGGTAGATCTTCCTCTCTCCCTTTATTTTGAGCCTATGTGTGTCTCTGCATGTGAGATGGGTTTCCTGAATACAGCACACTGATGTGTCTTGACTCTTTATCCAATTTGCCAGTCGTGTCTTTTAATTGGAACATTAAGCCCATTTACATTTATGGTTAATATTGTTATGTATGAATTTGATCCTGTCATTATGATGTTAGCTGGTTATTTTGCTCGTTAGTTGATGCAGTTTCTTCCTAGCCTCGATGGTCTTTACAATTTGGCATGTTTTTGCAGTGGCTGGTACTGGTTGTTCCTTTCCATGTTTAGTGCTTCCTTCAGGAGCTCTTTTAGGGCAGGCCTGGTGGTGAAAAAATCTCTCAGCATTTGCTTGTGTGTAAAGTATTTTATTTCTCCTTCACTTATGGAGCTTAGTTTGGCTGGATATGAAATTCTGGGTTGAAAATTCGTTTCTCTAAGAATTTTGAATATTGGCGCCCACTCTCTTCTGGCTTGTAGAGTTTCTGCCGAGAGATCCGCTGTTAGTCTGATGGGCTTCCCTTTGTGGGTAACGGGACCTGTCTCTCTGGCTGCCCTTAACATTTTTTCCTTCATTTCAACTTTGATGAATCTGACAATTATGTGTCTTGGAGTTGCTCTTCTCAAGGAGTATCTTTGTGGTATTCTCTGTATTTCCTGAATTTGAATGTTGGCCTGCCTTGCTAGGTTGGGGAAGTTCTCCTGGATAATATCCTGCAGGGTGTTTTCCAACTTGGTTCCATTCTCCCCATCACTTTCAGGTACACCAATCAGACGTAGATTTGGTCTTTTTACATAGTCCCATATTTCTTGGAGGCTTTGTTCATTTCTTTTTATTCTTTTTTCTCTAAACTTCTCTTCTTGCTTCATTTCATTCGTTTGATCTTCAGTCACTGATACCCTTTCTTCCAGCTGATCAAATCAGCTACTGAAGCCTGTGCATGTGTCACGTAGTTCTCGTGACATGGTTTTCATCTCCATCAGGTCCTTTAAGGACTTCTCTGCATTGGTTATTCTAGTTAGCCATTCGTTTAATCTTTTTTTCAAGGTTTTTAACTTCTTTGCAATGGGTTCAAACTTCCTCCTTTAGCTCGGAGAAGTTTGATCGTCTGCAGACTTCTTGTCTCAACTCATCAAAGTCATTCTCTGTCCAGCTTTGTTCCATTGCTGGTGAGGAGCTGTGTTCCTTTGGAGGAGAAGAGGTGCTCTGATTTTAAGAATTTTCAGTTTTTCTGTTTTTTCCCCATCTTTGTGGTTTTATCTACCTTTGGTCTTTGATGATGGTGACGTACAGATGGAGTTTTGGTGTGGATGTCCTTTCTGTTTGTTAGTTTTCCTTTTAACAGTCAGGACCCTCAGCTGCAGGTCTGTTGGATTTTGCTGGAGGTCCACTCCAGACCCTGTTTGCCTGGGTATCAGCAGCGGAGGCTGCAGAACAGAGAATATTGCTGAACAGCAAATGTTGCTGTCTGATCATTCCTCTGGAGGTTTCATCTCAGAGCGGTACCCGGCCGTGTGAGGCATCAGTCTGCCCCTGCTTGGGGGTGCCTCCCAGTTAGGCTACTCAGAGGTCAGGGACCCACTTGAGGAGGCAGTCTGTCTGTTCTCAAATCTCAAACTCCATGCTGGGAGAACCACTACTCTCTTCAAAGCTGTCAGACAGGGACATTTAAGTCTGCAGAGGTTTCTGCTGCCTTCTGTTCAGCTATGCCCTGCCCCCTGAGGTGGAGTCTACAGAGGCAGGCAGGCCTCCTTGAGCTGTGGTGGGCTCCACCCAGTTCAAACTTCCCGGCTGCTTTGTTTACCTACTCAAGCCTCAGCAATGGCAGGTGCCTCTCCCCCAGCCTTGCTGCCACCTTGCAGTTTGATGTCAGACTGCTGTGCTAGCAATGAGCAAGGCTCCGTGGGCGTGGGACCCTCCAAGCCATGTGCGGGATATAATCTCCTGGTGTGCCGTTTGTTAAGACCTTTGGAAAAGCACATTATTAGGGTGGGAGTTACCTGATTTTCCAGGTGCTGTCTGTCACAGCTTTGCTTGGCTATGAAAGGGAATTCCCTGACCCCTTGTGCTTCCCGGGTGACGCCATGCCTCACCCTGCTTTGGCTCATGCTCGATGCGCTGCACCCACTGTCTTGCACCCACTGTCTGACAAGCCCCAGTGAGATGAACCTGGTACCTCAGTTGGAAATGCAGAAATCACCCATCTTCTGCATCACTCACGCTGGGAGCTGTAGCCTGTAGCTGTTCCTATTCAGCCATCTTGGAACTGCCCCTGCTTTCTGCTTTTTGAGAGTAACTCCAAAGTTTGGGCTTACTCATTAAACTCTGTTTTGAAATAATTTTTAAATCTTTAGAAAATGTATTTTCTGTCTTTTCAGGGTATTTGAGAATATGAGTTGTTATATGTACTATCTTTATAAAATATTTATCTTCTTTAATATTCACAGTAACTCTGGATGGTAGATAATATTATCTAGGCTTTCTATAAAACAGAGGATATAGCTCATCCTAAGAGAGAAGAAAGTGACAGATCCAAGATCACACAGCTCATAGACAGCAGAGCATATCTGAAATCCCAGCTGTACTTGATTCTATAGCCCATGATCTTTTCTTGAGCAACAGTCAGGATGGTCTAGTGCCCATTTAGAAGAATGTTTAGTTGAGGTGGGGATCATGCTCTAACGTTTAAGAGACTGTGAAGACATGTTCAGAAATCCTTTCTGACATTACCTGACATAACAAATGTTCACTTATGGCAGATGCATAATTGACTATAAAATGAGTGAGTGCCATTTTGCTACTTGCATGAGTTATGGCAGATCTCCTTAGCAGAACTTGACAGATGTAAGTGAAATCTCAGCTTCCTTTTCTACCCAATTAAAATTCCATGAGCTTTAAAATTTCATAAATAACCCATACTATATTTTTTACATGAATAGGTAGTAAAATTAAAATGGAATTAGAATAGTCTGAAACCCTTGCAAAATAGTAAAAGCTACCCCCAAATATCATTTATAACTTTAAAAATCTCTTGCCAAAAAGTATAGCTGCATGACTCACATTAATAGGTAGTTTTGTATTTCTTATACTTAAAGCTTTCGTGTTATTTATTTATTTATTTATTTATTTTTGAGACAGAGTCTTGCTCTGTCGCCCAGGCTGGAGTGCAATGGCATGATCTCTGCTCACTGGAATCTCTACCTCCCAGGCTCAAGCAATTCTCATGCCTCAGCCTTCCGAGTAGCTGGGATTACAGGCATGCACCACCACATGCATGGCTATTTTTTTTTTTTTTGTATTTTTAGTGGAGACAGGGTTTTGCCATGTTGGCCAGGCTGGTCTCGAACTCCTGGCCTCAAGTGATACACGTGCCTTGGCCTTCCAAAATACTGGGATTACAGATGTGAGCCACTGCACCCAGCCTATCTTCTTTATTGAAAGAAAACTGTACTGTCATTTTAAAATCATTAGACAATTGATTTTTTTTTTTTTTACTCAGAATCTTGTAGAAAAATGGGATCGTAGATAGGATAGGCAAGATAGTCAAGAAAGTTACAACCTTTTATATCTACACATGTCTCAAAGGGCCTAAAGGTTCTCATTAGCCTTTAAATTTACCAGGCAGTCACAAAATTTGTTTGATATAGATTGAACACTGGTTCTTAATAAACGCCATAAAAGAATCTTATGGTTTAGTGTACTCTTTTGACGTCTCTCTCAGAACCTGGGGATTCCTTTGAAGGCTGCTGTTGTTGCTTCTGCTAATACCTCACATGAAATCCTTTGGACAACTGGAGCCATCTAATTCAAAGGAGGCTGAGGGCTATGCCAGAGTTGTTTCTTGACTGGTAAATACCTACTGCCTTGCCTCCAGGAGGGAGATAGCAGCCTGGTACAATTACAGAAACAGGCTGAGGCTAGGTGCACCAGAAATCAATTTCCTGCTTAGCTTCTCTTTTACATCTTACTTCTTTAACTCCCACTGGTCCCCCCAAGAGCATTTTCTTAAAAACAAACAAACAAAAACCAGCCTAAGAATCCTAGCCTCAGGACCTGCTATTAGGGAAGTAGACCTGAGACATGTCACAATTCAATCAACAGGAATTATCTCCCTTGCTTGTGTTTCAAGAGTGTGCTTGTATTGAATTTTGGAATACATTGATGAGTATATATTAATTTAGCTTGCTGGGTGTGTTACTTAACTCTATAGTTCTCTTTTCTTTGCCATCTTCTTCCAGTGGTGGAGGAATACTAGAGTTATCTATTGTAAACATTATAATAAATTTTATTGAACAGTTGATTATTGAAATAAATGACTTATATTATTGATATTTGAGAAAAGTTACTAAAAGTATGATGCATTGGAAGGTCACAATTAATGGTAATCACCTTTTCCCTTCTTGTATGCTTTGGAAATAATTTTATAATCAAGTTTATGTCTTTTTGCTCCAGATTTTATTGTCTCCCACCCATCTCTCCTCTCGGCAGCATCTCACTGTGTTTTATGATTGTCGGTTGTACCAGACTGCAAATACAACAGATATGAAACGGAAACCTATGTTTTTCCCATCTGATATGGACACTGTTAATTCATAAGAAAGCTGTTTTGCCATTATTAGAAAAAAAAAAAAAAAGAAAGCAAACAGCTGGTTTGATGGAAAAGCTGCCCTAATCCCTAGAGAATGGGAAGTTCAGACGTGATATAAACTGACAGAGGGTGAAAAAATAATCTTCAGGCTGATAATTTAGTGCAGCTATCATGGGCAGGACTGGATGGCATTTGCCACAGCAGAGAAAACAGGGTATCCTGTGGTTGTACAGCATACTTAGAAAAGGTGACACTGGGAGATAATAATCAGCTTACCAATGTTTACAGTAATGAAAGAGTGATAAGGAATGGAGAACTGAGATTTTGGAATAAGTTCACATGTAAAGGAGGTTTGCCTGCTTAGAATCTTCCTACAATTATTGTTCTGTCTCAGTTGATATTTTCCTAAACACCAGTAGAGGCCTCCAGACACTTCATTAAGTAAACAAACATACCAAGATGCTAACACCATCCACACACGGGGGAGAGCTGACATCCATCGTGTCCACTGACTCTGTAGAGCGCAAATGAAATCTTTGATGATGATTTCAGTGAGAATCAGCTATAATTAAGGGAGGTGCTAACCTTTGTGGTAAAACCTGCCCAAATATCCGTTAAAAAAATACTTGGTCCAGAATGGAAATAAGTCATGGTAAATATGATTGTTATCTTAGATCACATTTAACCCAATATCATAATATGAGAATTTTTGTTAGGCTTTCTAAAAAGCCTATTTTAGATCACATTTAACCCCATATCATAATATGAGCATTTTTGTGAACAATTTATTGTATTGTTAATAACAAGTTCTCTCAAGCTAACTAATGTGTTCAGCATTGGAATCAAAAGACCAGAAGTGGAGAAGAATCAAAATGAGGTAATGCCAAGACCCCCAGCCTGAGTTATTTAGCAAGTACAACTTTTCTTCAACACATTTTGAACTGAGTATAATCCTAGCAAAAAAGTTTGCTAAATAGTGACTAGCCATGACAACTTTATAGAAAATATAACTAATGTAACTCATAAACAGCCTACTCGTAGTAGTCTAAGGCACCTATTTTATTTGTGTATAAATGCATTTATACGTGTGTTTGCAAATAAGCACCTAGCTCTACATGATGACTGTTGATAAACTAACTACATGTTTTAATGAATAACCACAATGAGAATCATCCAAGTGCTACAACATCCCAGGGTGTCCGCAAATACAGGACAGAGGCTGCCTCCAAGGTAAATCTCCCTCAGATTCTGGGTGTCATTGATAAAATTCTCAAAGCATCAGCCCCTTCATAACTGCTTTAAGAAACTCCAGCAGCTTCTTTATATATTTCCCACTTCTCTGGCTATACCTTTCGCTGACAGTATAAATACATTCATTTTGCTGTCACATTAATTGATTTTAGCTAATTAGGAGCATTTTTTGGCCCTAATTTGATAAGGAAGTGTGAATGCATTTTTTCCCCCACAGCAGGCTTGTTATTTGCTGGAGTATTAGGAGAGTGTTAATTAGGCACAGTTCTTCTGTCACCTTGATGATTTTTAAGCAGCATTTACCCTATAGACTAAACTGATCAGAGAGGAAGCTGGGTTTCAGCCATCGGTGATAAATGTTGAATTAGGTTAGTTACCTGTGGAATAGAAATCTGAAAGAGGGGACTATGTGTATGACAAAGAAATACCATATTTTTTCTTTCTATTCACAAATGTTCCTCATGGCTGACCTCCGCACCCCCACCTGCATTTCAGACCCTCTCAAGAGGCTGCAGGAATCCTCCTCTGTCTTCAGTCATTGAACATTCCCTCAACCCTCCAGCATCCAGTTGGGTGTTCATCCTGACCCTTCTTAATTTTAAAGCAAAAGGCACAGGTTTTGAAAATTCACTGGCCCTAAAGTGTTTGCAGAAGGTCTTTTGAACAGTTTGGACCCTGGGATTTCTTTGTTCAATCACTTCTGCTGCAGGCAAAGCTGGGCCGACTGTCTGCTGTCTGCTTGCAGCAGGGAAGCAAAGGGAAACAAACAACAGAGCAGTTTGAAATTCCTGCTAGGAGCTTGTTTGGAGATGGAGCCTCTACAGTGTCTTTTGTTTATTTGTGGAGCTTTTTGTAGGGAAGAGCTGGGATATGCATAAAAAGGAGCTTGAAACAAGTAACCATTTAGGAAAGGAGGAAAAGATGTTTGACAACAGTATTTTTAATTTTAAGGTGGGGAGAAATGCTCATTTATCTAATGTGAGTCTTCTCTAAAGATACAGTTGCTCTCTGAGGCACGTGCTTTGTTTTTTTCTTACAGCTTTACACTAATCATTTAAACATTTGTCTCCCATCCTGCTTGTGACCAATCTATAAATAATAGAAGTAAATAAAATAACTGAATGTCTTCCAGTTTTTTCATTCTACCATTTGGATTCCGCAAATCAAACCTTGAACGTTAGTCCCACTACCAAAAGACCGATTTGATTGTTACAGTGTTCATTGGAAATATCTGCTGGTGCCTGCTGTTTATAACTATCTTTGAATCATAGAAAATAATAGGATGTAGGGAGGAGCCCTTTAGCAGAATACATGGTTTTCAGAAAGAAGTGATAAAGTGGAAAGAATATGATATTTGGAGATTCTACCCGTCACTTGCTTCTAAACTTCATTACCTGGTCTTAATGAGTCTTAGTTGTTTCCTTTGTAAAATGTAGATAATAATGCCTATCTTCTAGCATAGTTATCTATATTTTTTTGTCATGCAAATTTGTTACATGGGCATATTGCATGATATGGAGTTTTGGGGTACAAATGATCCCATCACCCAGGTACTGAGCTTAGTAACCAATAGTGAGTTTTTCAACCCTTTCCCCCATGTCTCTTTCACCCCTAATAGTCCCCAGTTTCTATTGTTGTCATCTTTATGTCCATTAGTACCCAGTGTTTAGCTCCCTATTAGTAGTGAGAGTATGTGATATTTGGTTTTCTGTTCCTGCATGAATTCGCTTAGGATAAAGGCCTCCAGCTGCATCCATGTTGCTGCTAAGGACATTATTTTATTCTTTTTTATGGCTGTGTAATATTCCACAGTGTATATGTAGCACATTTTCTTCATCTAATCCACCATTGATGGGCACTTAGGTTGATTCTATGTCTTTGTGAATAGTGCTGTGATGAACATACGAGTGCGTGTGCACTTTTTGGTAAAGTGATACGTTTTCTTTTGGATACATACCCAGTAATGAATTGCTGTGCTGAATGATAGTTCTGTTTCAGTTTCTTTGAGAAATTTCCAAACTGCTTTTCACAGTGGCTAAACTAATTTACATTCCCAACAACATATAAGCATTCCCTTTTCTCTGTTGCCTCACCAGCATCTGTAATTTTTTGACTTTTTAATCCTAACCCATTCTGATTGGTTTGAGATGGTATCTTGTTGTGGTTTTGATTTGCATTTCTCTGATGATTAGTGATGTTGAGCATTTTTTCATGTTGTTAGCTTCTTTTATGTCTTTTGAGAAGCATCTGGTCACGTCTTTTGCCCAATTTTTTAAGGGGGTTGTTTCTTGCTTGTCCAATTGCTTACATTCCTTATAGATTCTAGATATTAGGCCTTCATCAGATGTGTAGTTTGCAAATATTTTCTTCCATTCTGTAGGTTGTCTGTTCACTCTGTTGATAGGTGTTTTTTTTTTTTTTTTTTTTTTTTTGAGATAGAGTCTCACTCTGTCACCCAGGCTGGAGTGCAGTGGTGAGATCTCCACTTACTGCAAGCTCTGCCTCCTGGGTTCAGGCCATTCTCCTGCCTCAGCCTCCCTAGTAGCTGGGACTACAGGCACCCGCCACAATGCCCGGCTAATTTTTTTGTATTTTTAGTAGAGACAAGGTTTCACCATTTAGCCAGGGTGTTCTCGATCTCCTGACCTGGTGATCCACCTGACTTGGCCTCCCAAAGTGCTGGGATTACAGGCATGAGCCACTGCGCCTGGCCAATAGTCCCCCCCACCAGCCTCCTCCTGCAGAAGTGCTTTAGTTTAATTGGATTCTACTTGTCAATTATTGTTTTTGTTGCAATTGTTTTTGAGGACTTCCAACGCCAGTGTCCAAAATGGTGTTTCCTAGGTTTTCTCCTAAGATTCTTATAGTTTGAGGACTTACGTTTAAATCTTTAATCCATCTTGAGTTAATTTTTTTTATATGGTGAAAATAGGTGTCCAGTTTCATTCTGCATATGGCTACCCAGGTATCCCAGCACTATTTATTGAATAGGGAGTCTTTTTCCCATTCTTATTCTTGGTGACTGTCAAAGATCAGATGACTGTAGGTGTGCAGCTTTATTTCTGGATTCTCCTGGCACTTCTTAATTTTAAAACAAAAGTCACAACCATTTAACACTGGTTGTCAAGGAGTAGGTAATCAATAAACATTTGCATGTGTAGCATCATCTCATGTATTTATTTGTTTGCTTATGTGATTATTATCCTTTGTCCCCCATTAATATAAGCTTCATGAGGATAGGCCTGTGTCTTATTCACCACTGTGTCCCCAGCTCTTGGCCTGTGACAGACAATAAATATTTATTGTATAGTTTGATGAAGTGTCAGCTATTAGGAACCTAATGTTAATATTGTTGTTATTTTTGTAGTTAAAATTCACTAGCTAAATAATTTCCAATACAGATGCAAATTATATAAAAACATAAGCAGTATTTCCTAACAGAAAGTTACTGAGTAAATAGAATGCTGGAAATGAATTCTGTAAACTTCTATGTTAGGAACACAAGAAAAGATAAGCAAAGCAAAGCCAAAGGAAATAGAAAAAAGGAAATTCTAAAAGTAAGAAATCAATGAAGTAGTGTTTTTATAACAATCAAATAAAATTTGAGAAACCAATGAAATAGAAAACTAATATGAAACAGAGAAAATCGACAACTAAATTAGATTTATTGAAAAGGCTAATATAATTGATAAATCCTTTACAAAACTGACCAGGAGAAAAGAGAGAAAAAAATTACAATTTCAGAAATTAAAAAGTGGTTATTAGTATGAATGCTAACAACATTTAAAAAGACAATATTGAAAAACTTTAGTCATCTACTGTATAGATGAAACGGAAAAATTTTATGAAAAACAATACTTACCAAAAGTGATACAGTCTAAATGATCATAGTCTAAATGATCTGTTGAGGAAATTGAATATATTATTATCTTAAGTGATCATTATAAGAAGGTAATCATTATTTAGTGCTAATAAGTAAAAATACATAGTCATGCACTGCTTGATGTTAGCAATATGTTCTGAGAAATGCATCATTAAGCAAGTTTGTCATTGCGTGAACATCAAAGAGTATACTAACAAACCTAGATGGTATAGCCTACTACACACCTAGGCTAGATGATATAGTCTGTTGCTCCTAGGCTACAAACCTGTACAGCATGTTACTGTACTGATTACTGTAGGCAATTGTAACACAATGGCAAGTGTTTGTGTATCTAACCCTGTCTAAAACATAGAAAAGGTGCAGTCAAAGTACAGTGTTACAATCTTATGGGACCACCATTGTTAACCAAAATGTGATGCAGCATATGACTATATTATCATTTTTAATATGCAAAGAGTATTATATGTATTATTAGACATATTATAAGCCATTTATAAACCACTTTCACTAAGACATTTTAGGTGGTTTTCAAATTGCTGCCATTCTAAACAGTACCTGGGCTCCTTTTAGAATGACTATGGTGTTCTGCTTCTGGCTATCTGTCATATATGTTCCATTCCACCATCATTCCCTGCCAGTTGCACACTATTCACATGACAGTGAGAAATGCCCTCCCAATACATGCAGTGATCTTAATCATCTGAGAAATCCATTTTCCCAAGACAGCATTTCATAAGCTTGTTCTAAAATCGTATTCCTACAGACCATTCCTGTTCAGAAATTTTAGAAGGTCTAGGTAAAAAAAAAAAAAATTAAAGATTTATTACTTAGTTTCTTCTGTATTAACTGAGGAAGCTAGGAACCATGGGGCAGTTGTTCTAGGACTTTAATTAATATTTTGTACATTTTTAACCTAAACTGTAAGGTGCTCCTTTTGTAAGCATAATTTAAATATTTACTAATGCTTAAAGTTTTCAGGTTTTCTTATTCTAATAGAATCACCAAATTCTGGTTAAGAAAAGAAAGAAAAGCAAATATTTGAAAACATATGGGCTTTTCATTTTTCTCAACACTATTTCCATCTAAGTGAATGCAGATTAGACTTTCAAAGTATTAGATAGATGTTCATAATTTATTACTTTATAGTTCAAAAGCAAGGGCAAAATTTATTTCTGCAGCACTATATATGTAAATGAGAGTAAAAGAGGGCAATTCTGAGCTCCCTGCAGGAAATTATTCACAAAAGGAAAACAGAATGGTCCTTCTTCACTGGAGATGCAACATCCACACTCGTGAATGCGGTTGACTCCTTGTTGTAGCTCTCTAAGACAGAGATAATAAAGAGGAGATAAATCTGTTGAATGAATTGCACAAAACAGACCTGGTCGGGGACTCAAACCGTGTAAAATTTAATTGGAGTCAAGCAGGGAGAGAAACTTCCACCTCAAAATATATGGTAGATGGTATCTTCTTTCTTTAAAATGTTTTGGCAAGAGAAGCCAATTCATAACAATGTTCAATGTCACTTTCCCAGGAAAATATGTCTTGGGATATGATTAATTCAGTTGCCTTTTGATAAATAAAAAGTGGTCTTGCATCCATTTCATTCCCTTTAATCTGTCATTTTACTCTGGTTTATAGTGAGTCCAATGCTTGGAGGTATAAGACAAAATTTATAAAAACAAAAGGAATAGAGTGGAGAAATGTGTCATCATGCATTTTTATTTTTCCATGCTTTTAAGAAAACTTCTTACTGACTTTGTACTGTAGTACCAAAGTAACATTGGGTAGCCATCATTTGGGGGCAATTTGCTCTGGCAAACTTGCCCACTAACCATAGACATTTGCTAAAGTGTTTTTTTTTTTTTCCTCCAAAATTGAAAAGCCACAATAGGATTTTCCTAATGTAGAGATAGAGCTGCTTTAAGTCCGAAGAAAGGTGACAGTATAGTAGGATAAATTCACTAATTGTTTTCCAAATAAAATCTGTGAAAAAAATTTAAATGAACATCTGTTTGAAGAATAGAGCTATTAAAGAGAATGTTCTGCACAAACAATATGCCATGCAGAATAGTTGTACAAATAATGCTGTGAAATTGTTTAATTAACTCATAAAAGAGGGAATCTAGTAGAGGAAATGTATGCGGTACACTATGGAGCTGTTTGACAGTCTTCAAGAGCAGATGTGATTATGATTATAATTATTTTAGTAAATCGAGCCATAATTTCTCTTTCTGTTGTAAAATAAGGTGAAGTATATTATGAATCCTAAGTAGGACCAATCTTTAGGCATAAATAATTCATGGAAATTCTGACTTTCGTTGGAGCCACAGCATTGCTATCATTTTCTTCTTTTCATCGAGGTATACCTTTGTAAATACAATGGAGAAGAGCAAGTATTCAACGCGTGGCTCAGAGGTAAAGAGGTTGAATTTTATGTGTGCTTTGTGGAAATTGGTTTCAATATTTTATAGATATGTATGCTTTTCATCATAGATTTGGATGTCCACAAACCAAATGTTTTTGCTTCTAGGAAGTACCAGTTACTTATAAAATCATCATATGTAGTGGGTATGGAGTAATATTATTTGCTTTATTGCCAGGAAAATGCAATCAGAGACCTTACATTATTGAACACGAAAGGCTACATCAGCAGTTTTGTGTGTGTGAGGTCAACCAGTGTTACTTGAAGTAGATTCATTGACCATATATTACATATTAAGTTTGTTTAATATTATTATGCAAATGTATCAGATGTATGCAACTCCATTATTTTTCATCCTTTCCCATTTTGGAAATTGCATAATTTTATATTCATAACTTTAGTTAGTAATTACGGGAATTTTACGTTTTCTGTGTATTGCCTTTATCTCTCTTATTAACTGAAATTACTCCTGGAAGGAAATTAATCAGACAAATTAGTATGCTTATTCATGAAACCTAGATTATAGTAAACCCTAAGATTAAGACTAATGAAACAATTACTTATTTAATCATTAATGAAAATAGGAATATTGCTCAGATATCTGACAGTAAGTGTAGCAAGCTTTGGAAGTAGACAAATGAATGTGTTTTTCTTGACTGCTCTTTCATGAAAGCAAGATTATCATCACTTGCTGGGAATTTTGCTCTCATATGCAACATTTTCCCTAGGAAAAAGTCCCTTCTTACAAAAGAGAAATCCAATTTCTCCAATAGACACCTCTCTATGAAACTTAAGCTATTCTGACTCTTACATTTCAAAATGTAAGATGTATATGAATGTATTCGTAAGCCGAGGTTATATACACTTATTATGGGCACAATTCTTCTGACACTTTCTAAGAATAAACACTGTGAACTCAGAAAATCTGAGCCAGGTCTCAGTTAATTTAGAAAGTTTATTTTGCCAAGGTTGAGGACCCACCCGTGACACAGCCTCAGGAAGTTATGACGACATGTGCCCAAGGTGGTCAGGGCACAGCTTGGTTTTATACATTTTAGGGAGACAGGAGACATCAATCAATATATGTAAGAAGTATATTCCTTGGGTCTGGAAAGGCAGGACAACTTGAAGCAAAGGCAGGAGGACCACAAAAGGGGAGGGAGTTTCCAGGTCACAGATAGGTGATACACAAGCGGTTATTACATTCTTTTGAGCTTCTGATTAGCCTTTCCAAAGGAGGCAAATCAGATATGCATCTATCTCAGTGAGCAGAGGGGTGACTTTGAATAGAACAGGAGTCAGATTTGCCCTAAGAAGCTACCAGCTTGAGTTTTCCTTAGTGATTTCGGAAGTCCAAGATATTTTCCTTTCATAACACTGTACTAGAAGTAAAATTATCCGGTCAAGACATTTTTAAAAAACAAATCTAAAATTTTTAATCTAAGTTAATAGATATTTTAAAAAGCAAAATATACAACAAGGCTAGCATGAAAAATCCACAATCTTCTCGATATGTCATTTCAACCAACTTTTTGGTGCCCAGAAACAATTATTATTCAGTTGTTTCTCCTTTAAGTTTTCCTGATGGTTGCCGTGATGTCGGGCTGCTTTTCTTGTTTCTAAACTTTAGATGCTAACAGAAAGTTAGTGACTTTCTGCTATAATAGCTGAAGATACTATTCAAAGCACTTTTCACATCCTGTTTCTTCTATCTCTAAAAAAGCTCTGGATTAATAACTTTTTTACCTGATTTAAATATTATATTTAAAATATCAATTTCTTGTTCTATCAAATCCAGACACCACCTCTTGATTCTCCACATTGGAAGATGAGAATATCAGCATTCCTAACATTTCCTTACCCTGCTTTCCCTCATATTTGGTTGACTGAAAACAATTTAGGACACCCAGTTAGATTTGAATTTCAGATAAACAACTAATTTTTTAGATAAGTATGTCTTAATTTTGTATGGCATACACTTATATTCAAATATTTTCATTTGGAAAATAATAGATAAGCAATATTTGATGAATTACACCTAAGAAAGAATAATTTATTTGGAGGTATATTAAAAACAAGCCTACCAATTCATGTTGCATAACTCCCAAAGTCTTAGCATATTTTAGATACTTCTAAACTGAGCTTAGACACTGAAGCCAAAATCCGGAAGATTGGTGGAAAGTTCTATCTAAGGAGGAACTAGACTCCCAGATTATTTCCCCAAGCTTTCACAACTAGGTAAAAAATTCTAAGTCCCACCCTAGCAGAGAAAAAGAAGTTCCTCTTTCTTTTTTGCGAAGTCAATACAGGGAGGCTTTTATTGCAGGGACAGCAGACAAAGCTAAGGGCAAGGTGTGACCCTGAATTTGAAAGAAGACTGAATAAAAGTCTGTATTCTGTCTGGAGAGTCCCATTTTCCTTTTTCACTCTCAGGATGCTGATGGCAGCATAATTTAGCAGGAGGGTTCCTATCCTTGCCTCAAAAGATTGGGTCAAATAAAAAAGCTTATAAAAACTGTAATTGGGACTCCTCAGGTGAAATAGCGTGGTCCCTACCTTATCACTCATGGAGAGACCTATCAATCCACAACTTTCGTTACCCAAGCAGAGTTTTCGATCCTTTTTTTTTTTTCAGGACTGCATTCTTAAATACAGATTGCTGGCCAGGGAAAACCAGACATTTGAAGCCTCTGATATGAAAGATAAACTCCAAAATTTAAAAGTAGAAAAGGAGGACTCAGAGGAAACAAAGTTCATAAAATAATAAAACTTAAAAAACAAATGAACTACAATTAAAGTTATCAGTAAGATAAGATACTGCATTTGAAACAAGAACAGGATCTTTTAACAAGAGAGCATTCCTGAGCAAGATAGATTTCTTGCATACTACATGCAGGCTAAGAGAAACCTTCAAATCAATTAGAAGTTTAGAATATGTATATTTGAGGTAATCGTCCCAGAATAAGAATCAAAAGACAAAAAATAAAAAATTTGGAGGAAAACTTAGGAAAATAATATTTTTCATAAAGATACAAAAACTGAATAATATGAATTCCAAAAAAGAAACAAAAAATCAAAGGAGAAAAGTTTTCAAAGAAGTAATATATTTCCTACAATTGATGAACACAAGTCTTTAGACTGAAAGAGTTTACCAGGAGTTTAGGAAGAAAAAAAGTCCGTGAAAAAATACCAGTACTAGAGAAATGGATCATGAAATGTCAGAACATCAGGGAAGAAGAAAATAAATCTTTAAAGTTCTGAGAAAGTGAGAAACAGAGAAGGAAAGAGGAGAGGAGAGAGAGAAATAGAGAAAGAGAAGAAGAAAAAAGAGGTGGAGGAGAGAATCATATCAAATAATTCAAACATGAATAGCATTAGCTTTTCAACAGAACTATTGAAACCTGGAAAACAGTACAGCAGTGTGTAAAAATCTTGAGGGGAAATAATTTTCAACCTGGAATACCATATTCAGATAAATTATCAATAAAGTGTAATGGCAGAGGCCAGGCGCAGTGGCTCACGCCTGTAATCCCAGCACTTTGGGAGGCCAGGGTGGGCAGATCACCAGGTTGAGAGATCCAGACCATCCTGGTCAACATGGTAAAACCCTGTCTCTACTAAAAATAGAAAAATTAGCTGGGTGTGGTAACGTGCACCTGTAGACCCAGCTACTCCAGAGGCTGAGGCAGGAGAATCCTTGAACCCAAGAGGCGGAGGTTGCAGTGAGCTGAGATCATGCCACTGCACTCCAGCCTGGTGACAGAGCGACACTCAGTCTCAAAAAAAAAAAAAAAAAAAAAAAGTGGCAGAAATGAAAACTTTTCAGTCATTCAACATCTCAAAAATGTACTTACCATGCAACCTTTTCCAGAACACCATTGAAAGATTTGCTAGCAACAAAGTGAAATAAACCAAGAAAGAGTAAAAATGGGATCCAAAACACACAGGCCAAACAGAAGGAAGAGGAAGAGAATTTCCAGAATAATGATGAAAGAAAATCTGAGGAAAACTGTTTTAGCAAGTCCAAATTGGAACAAGGGAGAATATTGAGTAGGTATTGAAAGCTTATCTATCTGTTAACTAGCTTGATTTAGCCATTCCACACTGTATACATATTTCAGAACATCATGTTGTACACTATAAACATATGTAATTTTTTGTCAATTTAAATAATTATTTTTTAAAAAGAAAGCTTACCTGATTTGTGCTACACTCATAATTAAGGCATACTTTTAAAGTTCTGTTTGAAAGTTTGTGGATGAACTACTGTTACTTTAAAGCAAAATGAATTAAAAAAAAGAGAGGCAATTACTAACTCTAAGACAAATAAAATGTTGGCCAGGTGGGGTGGCTCATGCCTGTAATCTCAGCACTTTGGGAGGCTGCAGTGGGCAAATCACTTGAGGTCAGGAGTTCAAGACCAGCCTGGCCAACATCTCTACCAAAAATTCAAAAAAATTAGGTGGGTGTGGTGGCATGTGCTTGTAATCCCAGCTACTTGGGAGGCTGAGGCAGAAGAATCACTTGAACCCAGGAGGTAGAGGTTGCAGTGAGCCGATATCAAGCCACTGCACTCCAGCCTGGCTGACAGAGCAAGACTGTCTCAAAAAAAAAAAAAAAAAGTTTATAACAAAGGAAATACGTACACAGTGTATTGTCTGTATGAGCTATAAAATATTTATAGAAATGGCCGGGCGTGGTGGCTCACACCTGTAATCCCAGAACTCTGGGAGGCCAAGGTGGGTGGATCACGAGGTCAGGAGTTCAAGAGCAGCCTGGCCAAGATGGTGAAACCCTGTCAGTACTAAAAATACAAAAATTAGCTGGGCATGGTGGTGGGTGCCTATAATCCCAGCTACTTGGGAGGCTGAGGCAGAGAGTTGCTTGAACCCGGGAGGTGGAGGTTGCATTGGGCCAAGATCATGCCACTGCGCTCCAGCCTGGGCAACAGAGCAAGATTCCATCTCAAGAAAAAAAGCATTTATAGAAATGATTATCTGTTAAATACTAATTTGATAAAATGATGATGATATAACTAGATTGAAAAAATATTGAGAAGTTCAGAGAGAGGGAGAGATAAAAGTGAAAGTTTGCATAGCAGAATCAAATCCTCCGCTTGCATTATTGAAAGGCCTTAGACAATATAAAAAAACTGAAAAATCAAGATATAGATACATATTTTGTTTGTAAAGAAGAGGCATAACATGGTTTGGATATGTGTCCCTTCCAAATCTCATGTTGAAAT
The DNA here is from genome assembly GCF_000001405.40 of Homo sapiens. Lineage (NCBI taxonomy): Eukaryota > Metazoa > Chordata > Mammalia > Primates > Hominidae > Homo > Homo sapiens. The sequence goes on from NC_000002.12 coordinate 149,811,873, forward strand.
GTGATCCCCAATGTTAAAGGTGGGGTCTAGTGGGAGGTACTGGATCATGGGAGTGTATACCTCATCAATGGCTTAGTGCCATCCCCTCGGTGATAAGTGAGTTCCTGCTCAGTCAGTTCATGCAAGATCTGGTCATTTAAAAGAGTTTGGGACCGTCCCCTTCTCTCTCTCACTCCCTATCTCAGCATGTGTTACATCTGCCCCCCTTTCACCCTCCTCCATGATTGGAAGCTTCCTGAGGCCCTCACCAGGAGCAGATACCGCACTATGTTTCCTCTACAGCCTGCAGAACCATGTGCCAAAATAAACCTCTTTTCTTTATAAATTACCCAGTCTCAGGTATTCCTTTATAGCAATTCAAATGGACTAACACAAAGTGAATGCCAGGAAAATACAACTCCAACAAACGAAAATGATGGCTTGTGCTGATCAGGACTTGGGAGTAGAGAGGGGTGGAGCAGAAGTCAACTTTTTTCTTTTGTTAGTTACCTATAAAGGTATTTGACATTTATTATTTTATATACATTAAAATAATGTATATAATATATAATATACAATATATAATTAAATGACCAAATAGATGAAAGTATTACATGTTCCTTTTTTTATAGAAAGGGAGAAAAGAAACCAATTAAGCCATATAAACCAAGTAAAATAAAGCATCAGAGTAGCTCCAAGTGTGGACACATGGAACAATTCATAGTATAATTTGCAAGCTTATTAGAAACATGAGGTGAGCCACAGACAGGGCAGGTTTCTTCTTTGTGTTCACAGCCCTAAGGCTTTTCAGGGGAGCTGCAACAGGCTTATATGACAGATATAAGCTCCGGTGGAGCGGAGAGGCACCACCGGGCTACTGTGGTAATAGCCGTAGACGCTCATGATCCAGAGGTTGATGCATTGCATCTTTCTTCTTCTTCTTCTTTTTTTGTTGTTGTTTTTGTTTTTTGAGACAGGGTCTGGCTGTCTCCATCACACCTGACCTATTGCATCCTTCTTGGACACTGTTTTAAGAGCCTGGAAAATATATCACTACCAAAATAAGAATGACATTGTGACACTTTGCAGACCAGGGCAATTCTTTTGACTTCCACCATTTGAAGTGATCATCAAACATCATAGAAACACCTGGTTTTGGGCTGGTCATGGTGGCTCAAGCCTGTAATTCCAGAACTTTGAGAAGCTGAGGCAGGAGGATTTATTGAGGCCAGGAATTCATGACCAGCCTGGGCAACAACAAAGTGAGACCTTGTCTCTAAAAAAAAAAATTAAAAAATTAGCCAGGTGTCGTGATGTGCTCCTGCAGTCTCAGCTACTTGGGAGGCTGTGGGAGGGTCTTTTGAGCCTACAGAGAGCTATGATTGCACCACTGCACTCCAGCCTGGGAGATAGAACAATATCTCATCTCTAAAACAAACAAACAAAAAATAGACCTGGTTTTGTTTGGAAAAGCTTTGAAGGCAAATAAAAATCAGAAGGAAAAGAAGAGGGAAAAAACCCTGTATTTTGTTATGAGATAGGCCCCGTTTAAGACACTTAAACGTATATTATGTCACATATATATTTTGAGTCAATAGGAATTAAATATAGTTACTTACATACAGCAAAGAAAATAACTCATAGATTTCCAGGAGCTATCATAGCTTTTATAGGAATGTGCCTAGCCCATTAGGATTCAATTTTTTATGGGTTTAGTAGGACATCACTAACAATGCAAGGGTAAGCTACACTAACAAAATTATGGGCCCAGATCAAGGATGATAATGGTTTCACTGTACTTTGTTTGCGTCATACCACATTTGGAGTGCTGTGGGATTTGGATGTCATATGGGGACACAGGCTGAATGAGAAACAATGACTGTGAGGAGAACCAAACCCAGACTGTATAAGGAATAGGTGAAAGGACCAAGGCATTAAGCCTGGAGGAAGAGAGGCTTACTACAGCACGTTATGGCTATCTTGCCGTATTTTAAGTACACTTAAAATACAGAATAGAAAAGGAATGGATTCCTTCTGGATTGTTTCTGAGATTGGAACTGGTACATGGATAGAAGTTATAGGAGGCATTCAACAGAAGCATTTTCTAACAAGTAGTGAATGATAGAATATCATGTCTCACAAATTGCTTTCTGATCCTTCATTGGAAGTGTTCAAGGAACAACCAGATTGTCCTCAATTAAGCACTTTAAGAGAGGATTCCTGCATTGGAATTGAAGTTGGACCAGTTTGGATTTAAAGACTGATAAAGGTCTAATACTCTTAAGTTTTTAGATATGACAATCTTGAAATTCAGTCTCCAAATACTGATTATTCAATAAATAAACATTGGCAGCTTTCTATGTGTCAGGAAACGAGAGACATTGTTCCTGCCTAGTGAAGCATTACATCCAGCAGAGGGGATAAGAATTAGGCAGATGACTGGATAAATAATTGTAATTGTAATAAGCATGATGCAGAAATAAAGATTATATGGCAACATATTACACAGGCTCTAATATAGGCTGGAGGGTATGGGAAGGCTTCTTTAAGAAAGTGATGTTTTAAGTGGAGACCCAAAGGCTGAGTTAGCTACTAGGAAACTACTTTTGATTCAGTGTCAAGGTCTAGAAAAGTGTCTTTTATTAGAAAACAACACATATTGAAAAAGAATTCTGCCTTAGCGTTCAACCAGTCTTGAAATGTCCTTGAACACCTCCCATACTTATTGACATTAACTATTGGCATGCTATTAATATTGGCTAAAGGTTGACCTTCTTCTTTATGGGAAGTTCTCCTTTGCTTACAAGCCAGTCAGTTTGCTTTGGATTTATACTTTGGGTCCTTTTAGTTTGAGTGAGTGATTTGTGTTGTTGTTATTGTTGGCTCTAACTGATACCAGGACAGACTATTCTATACTTGTAGGCACCCAAAAGTGTCAGATTCTGAATTATAGTCACAGAGGTAAGTGAAGTTGCTTTTTTGCCCTTGACTTTAGAGCTCAAAAGACTGTTTAAATGCCACTTGAAAAACAAAGAAGGAATGAAGAATGGTTCTAGGAGTAAATGAACTCATCCTTCTCCCGAGCATATTTCAGAAACCTAGAGAGAGAAATCTTTTATCTAAATTAAAGACGGACCCTCACAAAACCTCAAAGAGATCTGATGATATAAATGGAGTAGCCAGGGCTTATGAAGTGCCGGTGGATAATTACAATCTGAGATTTATTGGTGACCACTCTTGTGTCAGTGAAAGGTTGGCTGACCAGATAAAACCAGGCATTGGCTAGAGGGAGGACTCTTGAACCACTCAATCTTTTGAAATTTCTAAGGAGTTTTCCAAGGGGTAAATCAGCATTCACATGCTATGTAAGAAGATCTTTACATACAGCAGATGGATTCAGCTGGGTTAGGTTGCTTCATTGGACAATGTCCAATTCAGTATCTGAGAAACGTCATCATGCTTTAGGTCTTAGGGATATCCATCATGCCTACTAAGAGTAAAATGAGCATTTCTATGTCTATGAGGTATGTTATTGAATCCATCATGTTAATTATCTTCAGATCAATTAAGGAATACAGCATTGGCATTTGACATGGACCATGTAATCAGTGTCACCTAAAACATGATTATGAGGACACCCTTGAATGAAGTTGTAGTTTTCATAGTGTGAGTCATGGTAAAACACTAAGATAGTGGCTTTTGTTTAACACTTGTTAGTAGTGGGGCTACTAAGATGCTATGCGCATACAGTAATAACGTGGGTCTTTTCCTTATCATAATGCTCTATCTTCTAGTTGATACTGGATCTGTAGACCAAGTGACTGTGGCAGGTAAATGGATGAATTTAGGGGGGAAAATTATGAGCATACTTTTTAGGAATAGTTAGGTAATCAAGACTAATGGGAACTTTTGTTGATCAACATGACTGTACCCTGAAATGTGTCTTTGGGCTTTCAGAAACACGGTATAATTTCTTCCTCAAAGATCTGCTTGCTATGTTACATGGGTACAGAGCCTTGGGTGTGAAGATGACAACCATAAGAAAGAGACAAAAGAATCTGGCAGCAAAAGCAACCCCAGCAAAACAAAGCAGAAATTAGAGAAATTAATAAATTGAGTGAAATTATATTACTCAAGTTCTTCATTTTCTAAATAGGCTTTTATTTTCCATGAAATTACTTTACAGTTTTAACTAACTTTTTACTATCATTTTATCCAAGAGGCTTTGGCTGGAAGTGTGCCCTGGTAGGTCTAATGTTGTTAATCATTTGAATTCTTCTGCATAACTTTCAGGTTTGGTTACTCATTGATTGACTCTTCAGACTTAAATGAATAGTTGAAAGAATAAGGCAAAGCGTAGTTTTTTCTTTTTTTTTTTTTTTTTTTACCAGACATTCTTTTCATTATGGTAATATGTACTATGATATCATTGGGCAAGGAAACATTGCCTTGATATTTCCCCAGAGTAAAATAATTTTTGATTAGGCATTATTGATTTCTCAATTTCTGCAAGGAATATGAGCCTCATTCTTGAAGAAAGAGGTGACAGAAAAAACATAATATTATATAAATGAGGTTTCTGAGTCAAAGATTAGGTTCATGCAAGGATCCCTATTTTGTTAATTTTTTATTGAGTGTCCAAATTAATGTCAATATAACAGAATTCAAAGGCAAAGATAAAAGTCCACAGGCTCAATTCTAGCTACAGCACATGTCAGTAGTTCAGTGTCTGCTATGTGGAAAGACTGAGAAAGTGTCTTAATCAAAATTTCTACAAATCTTTGATATCGCCTTATTTATTTTCTGCAGAACAGGAGCCTCTTCATGTTTGATGTCCCAGAAGCAAGGGCCTGTTTCTGTTGAGTTTGATTATAGAAGAGAGGACTCCTCCCAGGTAGCACAGCTGGATGTATCCTGCTTGTTGCCTTAGTTTCTTTTATGGAAGGAGATAAAGGAGGAAGAAGACCACATTATAAAATTGGTAGTTGTTTGTAGTGCTGGCAGAGTCTCAAATGATATATGATATTTGTTGTGTTACAGTCATTTCCAACCAAAGGATTCATTTTTGCAGCAGACGAAAGATGGACAGCATGCAAATGCTTGGATTAGACACAGTCCAATGCTTTGAAATTCCATGCATTGGTGTCTGTTATATGTGTTGTTTTTTGACATATTTTACTGCTGTTACATGGGTGCTTACTTAGAACAATTAGTAAGAAAACCCAACAGGATTTGTCTGTAGTCCTTACCAAATATTTGAATAGGAGGTGACTATTACAGTGGGAACAAAAAGTGCAAAAGTTTAGGATTTGGCCTTGTTTCAAAAACTGTTAAGTTTTAATGACTCTGATAATGTGTTCAGTCTCTTAAAGGTTATGGGGCTGACATTTTCCACTTTTTTATGGAAAGAGAATTAGATTAATTGTTAGGGTATGTCACTGGGGAGCTTTTGCTTAAGGGCTACTTTTGAGTTTATTCCTGGAAAGGAATGAAATTGGCAGAAACAAGGTCAGTTTTCTATTATGTCTGATGACTGTTTCCAGGAAAGTTTGGTTAGCCAAACCACATGGATTTTTGGTCTCTATTGTAAATTGCCAAAAGGGACATCCACCCACAGAAATTGTTACACTTTCTTTTATAATGTTGGCATCTGTAAGCTCTTCATGGTAAGAGGAGTGAAATTTTGAGAAGAAGTCTGAAAAGGTATAACTCCTGAGATCCAGCAAATGAAAAACACTGTCTTTCATAAGTGGAAGGTCTATCCCCATTGGATATGCTAGAAGATTGGAAAATCATTCTAGAAGTGAGAGAGACTTTGTGGAGGTGACTCAGCCTTCATAATGGTCTCTGATGAAGCTGGATTTGATTTTTTATAATACATTCTAATTTAAAATGATAATCTTATCAGCCATTTTTATAGTCACTTAACACCTGAGACATTAAAATAAGAACAGTATTAACTAATTCATATATTTATTTCATGCAACAAATATTTATTAAGCACCTTGCAAGGGGCAGAAACAGTGAGAAAAATGACCAAGATAAAAATATTTCTACTTTCATGAAACTTTCACCTTAATGAAGTAATACATTATGGGAAAATGTGTTTTTTAATGTTACACTTTATATTTCAAAAGGAAAGCATTTGGAAAACTTCAGCAGACCATGCAATCATGATATTTCTGTATTGGTGGGGATATACTCTTGTTGATTCCTGCATGTTCTTCATTTTTGCAAACTTGTGATAACATAAAGCCTTTTTGAGACAGGTGGCAGACTTTGCCTAATGTTAGTCTTGAATGCAATAATGATAACTTACTTACAAAAGATTTAACTTAAGGATGCTACTCACTTGTAGTACTAATTGGATTTCTTTCCTGACCCAGTGAAATTTAGAATTTACTAGATACTCATGATTATACAAAGTTATATCAGCCTGTCCTTTAAATATTATGTTATCCCTTTTGTGGAGATACAATCAGGCATTTTGTATCTACTCATTGTGGATATTCTTACTAATAAATCTGAAACTTATTAGTCAAATAGTTGATACAATTAATTTGTTTAGGTCTCAAAAGAAAGGCAAAGTTTTGATAGTTTGCAGAGCATTTTAGCATTATTGGTCATTTCATTTCCAGATGTTATTACTCTTGAAAACACATGTGACCATGGCTATTAGCATATAATATATCGTACTTCTAGTTTATTTTTATGATGCTGTTTAAAAAACATACAGGTTACATCTATGTGTTCAAAGTGAGATAACAACTCTGATGATTATATGGTGCCTACAACTAGTGCAAGCCGGATATTCTCCATGTTATACTACATAAATGAGTCTTCGATTACTTCTTACCTCTGATGCTACTGATTACTTTACCAAAATGAAATATTAAAAGTTGTGAATATTTAATTTTTAAGACAAATTAGAAGAATTCAAGGCTACCCATATAATATCATTAATTACTATGCATTATACATTATGATGTATTTCTTGAAGAGGCAGAAATGAAATTGTTTATAAAACTGGGAATGCCTATGGGAGTGCATGTATATGTGACTTGCATTTGTCCTATGTATATGGTGGATACTCATATGATAGCCCTTAGTCTAGGCAGACCTTGGCCTGGCCCAAATCATAGCCTAGTACTAAATGATCTGCTTCTCTGACTGTCCTACAGCCTCTCCCTCCACCAACATATTTTCATCTCATATTGTTCTGACAAATGTATTTGAACTATTTTCATTAAATATTCAGATTCAGAGTTAAAAATTTAATTATTTAAATTTAAGAGTTTAAAATTTTAAATTATTTTTATTAACTAGTAGATTCAGAGTTAAAAATGCCCATTACAAACAAAACCCATTTAATTTACAAATTTCAAGCCTTATATATGTCTGCCTTTCAGTCACCACATTTACCTCTTGACTTAAATATATTTCAATTTTTTTGGTAGAATGGTCCTTGCCTTTATTGTAAGCTGCTGCAAATCCCTTTGGGGAAGAGGTTATTTATCATTTGTAGCAGTAGTCAGAGTCTAGTCAGGAAAACACACAGTACTCTAGGTATCTCAAATAGAGGACTTTTTTCCAGGCAATTAGTAACACAGGTGAAAAAAGAGCTAGAAAGCCAAACAAAGAACAGAGGAAACCCAAGAATTTGCAGCAGCAGGAAGTAGCTACCACACCTAGGTTTGAAGGGTGAAAATGCAGGGAGGGGGTGGTTTACCAGAATCCAGGTGCCCAAGCCATCTGGCAAACCTGTCTAGTAGAATCTGAAGCAATGCAGGTCTCCAGAATTTCTTCTTGGGAATGGAGAGAGGAAAATATCCTGATTTCTCCCATCTTCCCATCATCCCCTTCCCTGACTCCCAATCCATTTCCAGTACCTCCTTTAGACCAAGTCTGGCAAGAAACTAGCACACACACAGTCTTGCTGGGGTCGACCGTGTGGTGACAACAGAACAGAGCAGGGGAAGAGTGAGAAATGGTTCTATAAGCAAACAGGACAAAGGCGAAGATATGGGTCAAGCAATCAAGACAAATAATCTTTTATTCATATTCATGGTATCCTCCTGAAAAAATAAACTGATAATTGCTAATAAAAAAGCACTGTATTACTTGATTAGCTTGATTCCTTTGATTAGATTACAACAAGCTCGTAGTCTCAAATTATTAAGAGGTAAACAATAGGTTTTATTCACCTACTTTTTAATACAGCATCTCTTAGCTGAACATAAAACCTAGAGAATGTATTACTGCAGAAACTGTGTTGAATTTTTTTTCCTTCTGAAGATGTTTGAAGAAAAGTTACAGAGGTATTTGTTTAAGCAGTCTAAATATAATTCTACTTAGAATCCAATTGATCTTCACAGATGGTAATTCCAGCACTATAAACTTATGTTATATCCACTAATATAAGTTTGTAATTCGATGATTCTTAGATATTTACTTCTAGATAGGAATCAATTAGATAGACCTGAAGGAGTTAGAAAGTATTCTGAAAAATAAAGAAATATATATGAAATACGTCTGGATTTGTTACCTTCTTAATATAATGTAACCTGTCTAGAGATTTCCAGAATGAAAAACATAAGGTTGGAATGACTTTCAGTACTTATTTTTAGGAAAAATATACCTCTTATTAGTTTAATAAGAAAAGATGTATCCTATAAAATATGATATACAGTTTTTATGAAGTTTGAATGATTAAAATTAAGCCTTGGCTGGATTTCCTCAAATTCAATGTGGAGCTTTGGAGACTTATTGAACAGTTCTTTCCTTAGATAATTACCTTGCTTAGAAGTGCTTCCTATTCAGACAGAACACCTGATTTTTTTCACTAAGAGAAGTCTGTGCCTCATGCCTTTATAGATGGAGTAAAGCATGAATACCTTTTCTAGGAAGAGGGATCTTGTTTATCAGAATCAAACTATTTTGAGTAGAATTATAGTAAGGAAAGATTCTAACCACAGTGATATTTAAAATGGTTTTATTCTATAGGGAATCCTTTCTCCATTTCTTGTTTTTGTCAGGTTTGTCAAAGATCAGATATAGATATGTGGCATTATTTCTGAGGGCTCTGTTCTGTTCCATTGGTCTACATCTCTGTTTTGGTACCAGTACCATGCTGTTTTGGTTATGTGATGCCTCCAGCTTTGTTCTTTTGTCTTAGGATTGATAAATGGTGCTGGGAAAACTGGCTAGGCATATGTAGAAAGCTGAAACTGGATCCCTTCCTTATACCTTATACGAAAATTAATTCGAGATGGATTAAAGACTTAAATGTTAGACCTAAAGCCATGAGAACCCTAGAAGAAAACCTAGGAAATACCATTCAGGACATAGGCATGGGCAAGGACTTCATGTCTAAAACACCAAAAGCAATGGCAACACAAGACAAAATTGACAAATGGGATCTAATTAAACTAAAGAGCTTCTGCACAGCAAAAGAAAGTACCATCAGAGTGAACAGGCAACCTACAGAATGGGAGAAAATTTTTGCAATCTACTCGTCTGACAAAGGGCTAATATCCAGAATCTACAATGAACTCAAACAAATTTACAAGAAAAAAACAACCCCATCAACAAGTGGGCAAAGGATATGAACAGACACTTCTCAAAAGAAGACATTTATGCAGCCAACAGACACATGAAAAAATGCTCATCATCACTGGCCATCAGAGAAATGCAAATCAAAACCACAATGAGATACCATTTCACACCAGTTAGAATGGCAATCATTAAAAAGTCAGGAAACGACAGGTGCTGGAGAGGATGTGGAGAAATAGGAACACTTTTACACTGTTGGTGGGACTGTAAACTAGTTCAACCATTGTGGAAGTCAGCGTGGCGATTCCTCAGGGATCTAGAACTAGAAATACCATCTGACCCAGCCATCCCATTACTGGGTATATACCCAAAGGATTATAAATCATGCTGCTATAAAGACACATGTACACGTATGTTTATTGCGGCACTATTCACAATAGCAAAGACTTAGAACCAACCCAAGTGTCCGACAATGATAGAATGGATTAAGAAAATGTGGCACATATACACCATGGAATACTATGCAGCCATAAAAAATGATGAGATCATGTCCTTTGTAGGGACATGGAAGAAGCTGGAAACCATCATTCTCAGCAAACTATTGCAAGGACAAAAAACCAAACACTGCATGTTCTCACTCATAGGTGGGAATTAAACACTGAGAACACATGGACACAGGAAGGGGAACATCACACACAGGGGCCTGTTGTAGGGTGGGGGGAGGGGGGAGGGATAGCATTAGGAGATATACCTAATGTTAAATGACGAGTTAATGGGTGCAGCACACCAACATGGCACATGTATACATACGTAACAAACCTGCACATTGTGCACATGTACCCTAAAACTTAAAGTATAAAAAAAATGGTTTTATTCTCTTCCTTAGCTTTTATCCGTCTCCTTTTGTAAGCCATATACATTCGAACAAACTAATAATAATAGTAAGATCTAGTTTCAAGGTAGTGGACTGCAACATTGAAGTCTGTAGACTTCTTTGCCAAGAAAAATGTTTCTTGGCATTAACAGTTTTTCCATCAAATACAAAATTCTGAGTGAGATACATCACTAGAGAGTATATGAGTTCTTCCACTCTGGTCGGCTTATTCTACGGAGTGAGACTGATACTACTGCTTATCTCATAGTTTTGTTATGATAATATTTATTAAAAACTCAGACTAATGTTTGACACACAGTAAATACTAAAGAAATGCTTACAGAATAAATAAATACATTCATAAATAAGTCAATCTCTGTTGTAGTCATGTCATATTAATTATAATCCACATGCTAGAGTTTGTGATATTCTCTCTGCCTGGTTCCCCAACTCTCTTTCTATTTATTTAAATCTTCTTCAAGGACTGTGCAGATCCCACCTTTCTAAGCCCTTCAGGACAGACAACTCTGGACTCTACTAACCTCATGTTTCTCCATCACTCGTTTGCACTTATGCACAAATATCCTATTTGCTTTATTTAGTCTTTACCATCGATTGTTAACTAGGCAAAGACATTAGAATTCCCTGGGTTGCTTTTCCAAAATATATATCCCTAGGCCAAACCCCTAGAATTTTTAGATTCAGTGAGTCCTGCCTGGCACCAAAACATGCACATTTTGATAAGGTTCTTCAGCAAAGCCAATTTAAGCCACTAGTCAAGATACACTGATCAAAATTACCTTTTGTTGCCAGTATGTAGATTTTCTTTATCAGCGCAATTATAAACATCTTGAAGACATAGACCATGCTTTGTTTTTCTTATGTAAACATGGCCACTACTGAATAACAGTCCTCTTTCGTGTTTCATTGTAAGATCTCTGAGAGTGGCGCCCAAGTTATGCCTTGCCAATGGGTTGGGGAGTGTATTAGTTCTCATGCTGCTAATAAAAATATACCTGAGACTGGGCAATTTATAAAGAAAGAGAGGGTTAATGGACTCATGTGGCTGAGGAGGCCTCATAATCATGGCAGAAGGTGAAAGGCACATCTTACATGGTTGCAGGCAAGAGAGAATGTGAGCCAAGCAAAAGGGGAAACCCCTTATAAAACCATCAGATCTCGATGACTACCATGAGAACAGTATGGGGAAAACTGATCCCATGATTCAATTATCTCCCAAATGAGTCCCTCCCACAACACGTGGGAGTTACGGGAGCTACAATTCAAGATGAGATTTGGGTGGGGACACAGCCACACCATATCAAAGAGGGACAAAGAGATCCACAGGTAGATCATTCAGCTGTTGCCACAATTATGTTATGTCATGAATAACCAGAAATCTTCAGTGATATACCAAAAAAGGCACTCTTGTTCATGTTTCTGGAATCAGCAGGAATAGACTAGGCACCTGTGCTCATCCTGGCTGGGCTTTTGCACATATTTGTGGAGTCAGCTGACTGCTGACTGGGCCCACCTAAATGTCTGCTGTTCAACAGCTCACTCATGTATCTGTGAGCTGACTCTGTTCCACGTTACTTTGGTCTTCCTCCTAAGACCAGAAGGCTAGTCAATGCAAATTTTGTCTTGGCAATAATGGAGGACAAGAAGGCAACCCCAGATGTGCAATCTCATTTTAAGCCTCTATCTGTATTGCATTGGCCAAAGCAAGTCATGTGGTAAAAGCCCCCTCATGGAAGGTGAGTACTGTACATTACATGACAAAAGCTGTAAGTACAAGGAGGTGGGAAGAATTGATGACATTTTCTCCACATGAAACTCTTGTTAATGTCTCTTTTCTGCACAGCACCCACTCTGGTGCCTTCCTGCAGGTCATTTCTTACTGCTTATAATTCTGATAGAATGTCTTTAAAAAAACCTTATCACCCTGAGTAAGCAAGTAAGGAATCTTGTTCAGAGAAAAAATGTTGCAAATAAACAATCACATTAATGCTATTTCATTTGCCATTAAATAGAAAAATATCACCCTGTATTCCACAGACTTGACATCACCAGAATAATATGTCACACTTCATTAGACTAGAACATCAAATGCAGAAAACAAAATATTTGCTGTTCAGTAAGATTATCTGCTACTTGAACAAGGTTTGAGGAATTGTCAATATGATGTGTTTGAATCCAGGAAATTAAACCAAGAATGGTGACTGAAAAATATGTTAAAAATCCCACACATTTGTTTTGAAAGGACACAGCATCTTGTTATCACTTGTGATTTGACCGTTGGTTCCATCTCTATTACCTGTGTTGTTGCTTAGTGAACTGCTGCAAAGCAACCCATGAAGTATGTTATAAAAATTCAATTTACTAATACCAGAGAATCACCTTGGGGAAGAATGGGAGTTTTTGCTAAGTTCCCTGGGATCTAACAAGGCCATGCCATCTTTTTGTCTAAGGGACTTTATCTCTTAACGGATCAGAAAATTACAATATAGTATGGCATAACAAACTATATCTATAGACAAACAGTAAATAGCCAAAATAATAGATAAATTACTATAGCCATTTTTCTAAATTAATGTGCTCATTTTCTATATTTGATTCTTTACTTGCTCTCAGGTAGGTACTTCATTGGCTCCTGGTGAGAGATTGATCAGATATTTGAATATTAAATAAACTATTGTGAGGGAAATTGCTTTACAACCCTGCTTTGTCCTTATTCTTCTGTGGAATTTCAGGCAAATCACTTAGCTGATTGATATTCTTATCTAAAAGAAACAAGTCAATTTGGATATATAGTTAGCAAGGGCCCTTGCCTATGTAGCTGAACAACAGATAATGGGCCTGAAGTAAACTGTAAGTCTGTCAAATACACACCTTTGTTCAGAATCACAATGTATGGGTAGGTTCATATTTTATTAAAGCTGTGCTGTTTTATTTGATTTATCTTTCTAAAAGGAAGAATGTTAACTTTTAAAATAAAACAAAAGGCAGCATAGAGATGCAGACTATGTGGTTTGGCTGTGTCCCCACCTAAATCTCTTCTTGAATTGCAGTTTCCAAAATCCCCACGTGTTGTGGGAGGGACCAGGTGGCGATAATTGAATCATGATAGCAGTTTTCCCCATCCTGTTCTTGTGATAGTGAGTTAGTTCTCACAAGATCTGATGGTTTTATAAGAGTCTTCCCCGTTTGCTGGGTACTCATTCTTCTCTCCCCTGCCACTTTGTGAAGGACATATTTGCTTCCCTTTCTGCCGTGATTGTAAGTTTCCTGAGGCCTGCCCAGCCCTGTGGAACTGTGAGTCAATTAAACCTCTTTCCTGTATAAATTACCCAGTCTCAGCATGTCCTTATAGCAGCGTGAGAATGGACTAATATACTAGGGTGTGGGCTTATGCAACATACTTAGTACAGTTCAATCTCATTACCTTACATTGATGGTGAGATTCTCAGTCACAACTACAGAAATAACTAAAGCAGGTGGTGATTTTTATATAACTGAAAAGTTTCTTCTTAGACTATAATTGCTAGAGGAGAAAAACGGAGAAGCATGAGAATCTTACATGTGTAATTACAAAGGAACATGAGAACAGGTCAATTTTCCTAGTAAGTCAGAAACCATATTTCTCCACAGCATTAAGAACTCTCTCCCTCTTGCACAAATGCACACATATATGTCCACTTGGTTTTTAGGCAATAGCCCAGCGGGATCAGGCTGGGCACAAAGTTGGACCCTCAGGAGAGTGGGTCTAGTTTCCCTTTCTTAAATGGAAAATGCTGTGAAACTAACATTGTAATTTCTCTCATAATCGGAAAGGAGAAATAATAGCTTTGGGATTCAGTTCTTTTATGAACTCTTTGGTCAACTATGTAGGTAGTGTGACTTGCAGTAAGGAAAATTTAGCCAGCTCTTGGATGAGCTAAGCTGGGCTTAGGACACTATATAATTAAGAGATGTTAGCAGAATGTTTCTACAGGAGGATGAGGGGAGCAATGGCTGGCCCTGACTTGGGACCAGCCCACATTCACCTTGGGAAAGTGAAGGGTATAATGGAGACAAAGCTAGTGGTGGAGAATAAATTATTTCAGAATGTTTGTTATCAAGAGAGTTTGAATCTTTGTGCCTTGTATGTGGATAAATAGGCAATGAGTAGAAAAGCACGGTGCTATGAATGTTTAATAACCAAATGATAGTTTCATGTCAAAGCTACTGATAAGTATTTGCAATTTTAACTTCATTTGATTGCAGCAGTAGGACAAGTGAAAACTGAAACAATAACTTTCAGGATTTAAAAGTTTAAAAATTCAAGCTGCATAGTATTGTCTTAGAATGGAGCAGTGAGGACAAAGTCATTCTTGTAATGGCAAAAAAAAAAAGATGAGTCATGGAAAAATGGTTAATTAATGCTTAGATTCATAATTTGATGCTCAGCTGTGACAAAGATCACCAATATATTCTACAAGAAAATAGAATAACATATTTTTAGGAGGTATCCTGTACATGAGGAAAAGCGTTCCATTTAATTTTTGGTTGTTTCTATAAAAATAAATATTGTGAATCAATACAGGATTGATGGTGCTGTTGAGAACATTTGGTATGTGACTCATGCTTTAGAACAGCACTTTCCTATCAGGCAACTAGCCAGAGATCCTCCTACTGCTGGAAAATGTGTTTAATCAGAAGACAGGCTTTAATTAATTAGGATCATGCAGCTTGCTAACTGTCCATCTTTAATTTTCCAGGAGCCATTTCCTCATCATAAAGATGCAGTAGCCATAATTATTCCAATCATCCAAAAGAGAAGACTTTAAAGTACAGTAGTTAGCCATCAAAAAGAGAAGGCTAATATCCAGTTATGAGAGCATTTTCCCAAGGTAAATATTCCTTTTGTTCTGGATAGATGTATTTTTGCCTATTTCTACCTTTGTTGGACTCCATTTTCTTGCCCTTGAATAGCTAAGTTCTCTCCTAACTGTTCTGAATTCAATAACTTTCTCTACTCCAGAAACCTTTCCAGCTATTTTTAAGCTCTAGCCAAATTGTCTACATTGCCTAAATAAGTAAAAAGATGGCACATGAAATAAAAATGCCCAGCAAAAAATTTGGAGAAATCTCTCATGATATGTGGAATTTTAATAGATGTAAAGTAAAAAAAATTGATTGTCAAATATTTGGGCAATTATGAGCTAAATGAACAAAATTTTTGCTTTAGGATTTATCAGTGTGTTTGCTCTACTGATATATGTAGGCACGTTTATGAAGCAGGTTCACTGTGCACTGGTTACCAACTTGTCTGAGTCTGGTGAGGCCCAATACCCACACACACAGCAAGCTGCATGAAGTGGGTTTATTAAGTATAGATGGGCAGCAAGAGACAAAAGAATTCCAGTATTCATTGCCAGCTAATCCCATAAGCCTCAGGAAAGCTACCTGGGGTAGATGGAGTTTTTACGGCATGTGCCCCACTTGCATCACAGCTGGTGGTCCCCAAAAAGCAGCCCATCCTGGGTAACATGACATGCTGGGCTAAAGCATTGAAGGACATCCTGTTTCAGGGTTGGGGGTAGTGGGGAACTGGAACAGAGCCCAGACTGTTCCAGCCAATTTCCTCCTTATCTCAGGATTTTGCATTCGCAGCACATACTGCAGTTATTCTTGAGAACTACATGAGAAAAAGGGAAGAGAACTGGATTGGGTCCCAGCCACCTGGAAAGCTGTCCAGCATCATTGGCATTAGACTTCCTGGTCTTTCCACCTCCATGATATTTTCATGGGAAAAGGGAGTATGGGGGAAGGAGTTTCCTCATTTGAGTAACTAGTAATATTACCATTTTATTTCAAAACCGTCATAAGATCATACCTTCCCACCATGTCTCCTATTACAAAAAGTTTGAAAATGGCTTCATGATTCCCACTGTAAAGGAGAAAGAAAACCTGATTCCATATGACTCACAGCATACATTAAGCCTATGTTAGTCAAAATAAACTAGGCAAATGGGGGTGCCCAATCTCTAAGTTTTAGCCCCTCAGCCTTTACTTTTTAGATACTTTGATGATATAGATAGTCATAGCCCAATGGGCTAAGAATTGTTCATTAAATTTTAACATTTTTGGGGGATTATACAAGTAAATGAAAACAAAGTTGCTTATTTGACATTATTTTTTAACCTGGAGCATATAATATTTAACTATTGATTATTTGATTGGTGCATACTGAAAACTATAATCCATATAAATATTTGGCTTTAATCCATGCTATCATCTCATTTGCTAAGCCTTAGCTTAAGCTACTATCATCTCTTTCCTGACAATTGTAATCATCTCCTGTTAGTCTCCTTGTTTATACCCAGGTCACATTACAGACTTCTTCACCCAGCAGCCAGGGGGATTAATTTAAAGCACAAATGAATCCAGACCATGTTCTTTGCTGCTCTGAATCATCAAATGATGTCCTGTGGTATGCAGAATTCAAAGATGGCCCTCAGATTTCTACACCCTCATGTAAAACATCTTGTATAATTATTTGGAAGAATAACCTCTTGAACGTTAATGGGACTTGCAAATATGATGGGATTTCACTCAAGATTGTTACAGTATATCACAAAATGGATTTTGTAAATGTAATTAAGGTCCCAATTCAAACCTTGCCTTCAGCTAATTAAAAGGGGCATTATCCTGAGCAGGCCTGAGCTAATCGAATGAGCCCTTCAGAGAGATCCAGGTCTTCCTGGAGGTCAGAGAGATTTGTTGTCAGCAAGATGTTCCCCTGGTGTCCTGGAAGAAAGCAGCCATGTTGATGGAAGGAGGGAAGGAGGGGACAGTTGGCAAAGATCTGAGAGTAGCCTCTAGGAGCTGTGAGTGATCCTTGGCTGACATCCAACAAAAAGATGGAGACCTCAGGCCTACAACCACAGGGAAATGAATTCTACCAATGACCTGAATAAGATGAAAGAGCACCCCAAGCCTCAGATGAGAGCATAGTCCCTGCCAACACCTGGCTTGTAGCCTGGCCAGACTCTGAACAGAGAGCCTTGCAATGCCATGCTAGATTCCTGACCCATAGGAACTGTAAGTTAATTTATGTTGGTTTAAGCTTTTATGTTTGTAGTAATTTGTTATGTAGAAAAATAATATACTTCTATCTCTAACAGAAGAATATATGCATGGCTTTAGTAAGGATTTTGGATTTTATTCTGGGATCTGGCCTTCTCTTTGTCATCATCTTCTGTTCTGTCCATTGTTCACGCAGCTTTAGCCATACTGCTCTCACAGCTCTTAGAACACTGTGGTGTGCTCTTGCCTAAGGGCCTCTGTTCTTACTGTTTCCTATTCCTGAAGCCCCCTGCGCCAGGGCATCCACATGGCTTCCTATCACACATCATTCAGATTAGTGAGAATAAGCTAACTTGTCTAGTCAGGATAGGTGGGGGTTTTGTTGTGCCAATAAATAATCCCCAAATCTCAATGACTTAAAATAACAAAAGTTTGTTATTCCTTTTTCCTATATGTTTAGTATAGATCAACAAGATGGCTCTCCTTATCACAGGAACAAGGGTCCCAGGCTGATTGAGGCTTCCCATCTTGTAACGGATTTTTAAAATTAATGTTAGCATAGTATATATTTCTCTATCCCTTTACTCTCCTGGATCCCATTACATTTAATCTATTTGTGTCTTTATATTGAAAGTGGATTTCTTATAGACAACAAATAGTTTGGTTTTTCCTTTTTAAAATCTGACAGTTTCGGTCTTTTAATTGTTATATTTAGATCACTGACATTTAAAGCAATTATTGGTATAATTGAATTAATATCCACTATGTTTGTTACTATTGTCTATTTTTGACTTTGTTCTGTTTCTTTCCCTTTTTTATATTTGTCTTGTGTCTTCTTCTGCCTTCTCTGCTTTTAGTATATGATTTTCTCAGCATATCAATTTTATTATTTTTTAACTTTCTTTAGTAATTTTCCTTGAGTTTGCAGTATACAGTTATAACTAATACAAGTCCACTTTTAAATAACAGTGTGTCACTTCATGGGCAGTACAAGTACTTTATAGCAAAATATTCTCAAGTTCTGCCTCCCACTCTGTAATATTACTGCCATTCATTTATCTATAAGCTATAATTACTAAATATATGGTAGATATTGTTTTAAACAAGCTTTTTTTGTTAAATTCAAAATAAAATATTTTATTGTACCTTTATTACTTCTCTAATGTGCTTCCTTTTTTATGTAGATCTGAGTTTCTGACATATTCTTTTCCTTCTTTCTGAAAAATTTCTGTTTTATATTCATTGGAAAGTAGGTCTACTGGTGAAAATTTTCCTCAATTTTTGTTTGTCTGAGAAAGTCCTCATTTCTCCTTCACTTTTGAATGATAGTTTGATAAAATACAGAATTCTAGAGTTTTTCTCCAACACTCCAGTCTCTTCTTGCTTAATGCCTATGTGGTTTCTGAAAATAAGTCCAATATGATTATTGCCCTTGATCCTCTACAGATAGGATGTTTTTCTCTTTGGCTTCTCTCAAGATTTTTTCTTTGTCTTTGATTTTCTGCAGTTTGAATATGATATGTGAATACACACACATACACACACACACACACAGATATAGGGGTGTGTGTGTGTGTGTGTGTGTATTCTCCTGCTTGGTATTCTCTGAGTTTTCTAGATCTTTGATTTTGTGCCTATCATTTGTTTAGGAAAACTCTTAGTCATTGTTACCTAGATTTTTTCTTCTGTTCTCTCTATTCTCTTTCTCATATTCCCATGATGCATATATGATACATTTTGTAATAGTTTAACAATTCTTGGATATTCTGTTCCATCTTTTTCTACTCTTTTTTCTTTCTGTATTTTACTTTTAGAAGTTTCTTTTGACACTTTCTTCCTGCTCATGATTCTTTCCTTGGACATATCCAGTCCATTGATGAGCTCATAAAAGACATTTTCATTTATTATAGTATTTTTGATCTCTAGCATTTACTTTACATTTTTTCTTAGAGTTCCCATCTCTCTGCTTTTATTATCCATATGTTCTTGCAGGTTGTACACTTTTTTCCCTTATAGCCCTCAGCATATAAATCAAAGTTTTAAATTCCTAGTCTGATATTCCTACATCCCTGCCATGTCTGCATCTGTTCTGATGCTTGTTTGGTCTCTTCAAACTGTTTTAGCAAGCCTTGCGATTTTTTTTTTGTTGTAAGCTAGACATGATGTACTGACTAAAAGGCAGTGAGGTTAACTCACTTTTAGTGAAAGGTTTATCTAGTTAAGAGGTAGATTGTATTTACTGTTGGCTGTAACTGCAAGTGTCGGAGGCTCAAATTTCCTTTGTTCTCATTTTCTCTCCCCTGTTGCCTTTGCGTTTCCTTAGAAACTTCTAAAATAAGGTCAGAAGCATGCAGTTCTTTCCATTGTATTCCCCTGTGTTATATGGCAGCCCTATTGATATGATGGTAAGGTGTGTGGAGAGAGGAAGCATTCTCTAACTCTATGCTTTGGTCTCAGTCCTTTAGTGAGCTCGTGCCTGTGCAAGTGCTTCCCAGTCTCCCTTCCTTTTAGTTGATGTGGGAAAGATAAAGGGGTCTGGGGTTGGGTATTTCCATTTTTCCAGGTCAGTTAGATTCTGGTAAAACCTTAGTCAGTTAGGCCCTGGTAAAATATGTTCTCTTGAGGGCATGCCTTGTTAATGAGAACAGAAGGCTCTGAGTATATTTCAAAATAGCTACTCTCTTCTTCCTATGCAGGAAGTACCAGAGGATTTTTCTTAGATATTCTCTGTGAAAACCTGGTGAGTCCTGTAGGTGAAATTCCCTGAAATGTGGAGTGCCCCTAAGATTGAGCTTCGCTGGAGTTTTTAACTCTAAAACTTGCTTACGTTGTGCCTCCAGCAATTCCATCAATTACCATTTCGGTTTCCCTGCCCCAGTACTGGTTCCCATGGAGATTTCTACACCTTCTGTAAGTTGTGGTTCTCTGTGTCACCTATCGGTCTCTCTGGTTCTGGGGACAGGGATTTGCCCTGTGACCTCAGTTTTCTGAAGGATCTAAAAATAGTTGTTGATTTTTAGTTTGGTCAGCTTTCTTCTTGCCGAGTGGACAGGAGGAATGACTTTCAAGATCCTTTCCTGCTGGACTAGAAACCAGAAGTGGTAATACCACTATGGGACTGAAAGCTTTGACACAGCATGGGGAAACACCTTAGAGAACTGCACACTGGCTCCTAAATTCCTCAGCCTGACAGCGATACATCATTTCTATTCATATTTCACTGGCCAAAGTAAGTCATATGGTCACATCCAATTTTTAAAGTGTGAGTAATCTAACCCTCCTGTGTTTGTTGAAAAAGAGAACCAGAAGTGCTGGGGAACATTATTAAAGTTGAGCAGAGGACTCTATATAGGGTATTGCTAACTCAGTCTACCACTTTGCTTTCTTATCATATAATATTTTCTCCTGGCATTTGACAATACCACATTTTACGATAGGATATTACAAAGAAACCCATTATGCTAGATACTCTGTTTGTTGCTTGTCTCCCCACTCCCATCTACACCAGTGTGAGCACCATAGGAACAGGAATTTTGTCTTTATCCCCAAAATAATATCCCCACTTTAATCCCCTGAACACAGGATATTCCAGGCTCTGTACACATTGGGTGAATGACTTAGTGAATGTTTGTTTGTTTAAACCCTGAGAACCCTGAAAGATAAATTCTTGCTTGAATTCACTATAATAGCCAAATCAGGCACAGAAACTGTCTCTATGACCAGAATGAAGCTTATAGAACTTGGGAGGAGCCTTTGTCACACTGGCTGGGTGCATCCTTTGCTATCAGATAGCAAGGAGAGAATGAAAATGCCTCAGAAGTTCCTTAGGAATACGGTGCTATTTTAAGACCAAGGCATATACAGCCTGAGGAAAAACGAGATTGAAAATAAGCTTAAAGTTTTAAGTAATGCAGGCAAAAAGTGTCAATAACTTGAAAAATGGACAATACTCAATTTAAAAATCTTCCCATCTCAGTTTTATGTTGATAACCAAGGATATGCAGCTTTCATTTCTCACTAAAAAGCAAAAAGCTAAATCATGTCTTGAATATGAAATGTGGATGTGGTGCTTGGAACATTCTCCTTCTCAAGGAACAGAACTGCCAGATCCTGGGGTGCTTGAAATGCATGCTTCCTGCAGGTTCAGTCTCACCCTCTTTGTGCTTCTTTATGCTTATTGTTCACTCTGAGCTTAATGAGTGCATTCAGGCATGTAATGAAGAACAACACTATCACACAAACACTTTATTGAAGTCCAAAGATATGGTGGTTTTATCAGTTATATTATTCAGTAGGGTAAATTTGCAATTTATTTAAAAATACATCCATTGGGTGACATCTGGAACACTGGTGCATTGACACAATATTAGCAGCCATGCTATAAAAGAAAGTCTTAAATGGATGGCATTTTGTTACAGTGAGTGTACAGTTTTTGTCTCTCTATTTACTAGAGGAAATAGATGAGAGCAACGCAATTGTGAATCACAGGTCCTTCTGGTGTGAAATTTATCCTAACTAAGCTTAAAACATTTGATAGCCAAAGGCATGAGCCTCCATGGCAAATAGTTCTCATTTTCACTTCTGTTAGCCTTTGTTAATGGAATGAATATATGACTAGAGGGCAGGTGAACCCTGCTAGCTATCCAAGAGTAACTTGATCTAAGCAATTCACTCGTCTTATTTTTTTTTTAATCTTTCTTTTCCTTTTCTTCTTTGGTTAATTTTTATGTATTTATTTTTTTTATTGCTTTTTTATTATACTTTAAGTTCTGGGATACATGGGCAGAACGTGCAGATTTGTTACATAGGTATGCATGTGCCGTGGTGGTTTGCTGCACCCATCAACCTGTCATCTACACTAGGTATTTCTCTTAATGCTATCCCTCCACTAGCCCCCTACCCTGCAACAGGCCCCAGTGTGTGATGTTCCCCTTGCTGTGTCCATGTGCTCTCATTATTCAACTCCCACTTATGAGTGAGAACATTCAGTGTTTGGTTTTCTGTTCCTGGGCTGGTTTGCTGAGAATGATGATTTCCAGCTTCATCCATGTATCTGCAAAGGATATGAACTCATTCTTTTTTAAGGCTGCATAGTATTCCATTGGTATATATGTGCCACATTTTCCATATGCAGTCTATCATTGATGGGCATTTGGGTTGATTCCAAGTCTTTGCTATTGTGAATAGTGCTACGATAAACATATGTGTGCATGTGTCTTTATAGTAGAATAATTTATAATCCTTTGGGTATATGCCCAGTAATGGGATTACTGTGTCAAATGATATTTCTGGTTCTAGATCCTTGAGGAATCATCACACTGTCTTCCACAGTGCTTGAACTAATTTACACTCCCACCAACAGTATAAAAGTGTTCATATTTCTCCACATCCTCTCCAGCATCTGTTGTTTCCTGGCTTTTTACTGATGGCCATTCTAACTGGCATGAGATGGCATCTCATTTTGTTTTTGATTTGCATTTCTCTAATGACCAGTGATGATGAACTGTTTTTCATATATTTGTTGACCACATAAATGTCTTCTTTTAAGAAGTGTCTGTTCATATCCTTCCCCCACTTATTGATGAAGTTGTTCTTTTTCTTGTAAATTTGTTTAAGTTCTTTGTAGATTCTGGATATTAGCCCTTTGTCAGATGAATAGATTCCAAAAATTTTCTCCCATTCTGTAGGTTGCCTGTTCACTCTGATGATAGCTTCCTTTGCTGTGCAGAAGCTCTTTAGTTTAATTAGATCCCATTTGTCAATTTTGGTTTTTGTTGCAATTGCTTTTGGTGTTTTATTCATGAAGTCTTTGCCAATGCGTGTGTCCTGAATTGTATTGCCTGAGTTTTCTTCTAGGGTTTTTATGGTTTTTAGGTCTTACACCTTTAAGACTTTAATCCATCTTGAGTTAATTTTTGTATAAGGTGTAAGGGAAGGGATCCAGTTTCAGTTTTCTGCATATGGCTAGCCAGTTTTCCAACACCATTCATTAAATAGGGAATCCTTTCCCCATTGCTTGTTTTTGTCAGGTTTGTCAAAGATCAGATGGTTGTAGATGTGTGCCGTTATTTCTGAGGCCTCTGTTCTGTTCCATTGGTCTATATATCTGTTTTGGTAGCAGTGCCATGCTGTTTTGGTTACTGTAGCCTTGTAGCACAGTTTGAAGTCAGGTAGCGTGATGCCTCCAGCTTTGTTCTTTTTGCTTAGGATTGTCTTGGCTATATGGGCTCTTTTATGGTTTTGCATATAATTTAAAGTAGTTTTTTTCTAATTATGTGAAGAAAGTCAAGGGTAGCTTGATGGGGATAGCATTAAATCTATAAATTACTTTGGGCAGTATGGCCATTTTCATGATATTGATTCTTCCTATCCATGAGCATGGAATGTTTTTCCATTTGTTTGTGTCCTCTCTCATTTCCTTGAGCAGTGGTTTGTAGTTCTCCTTGAAGATGTCCTTCACATCCCTCATAAGGTGAATTCCTAGGTATTTTATTCTCTTTGTAGCAACTGTGAATTGGAGCTCATTCATGATTTGGCTCTCTGTTTGTCTATTATTGGTGTATAGGAATGCTTGTGATTTTTGCACGCTGATTTTGAATTCTGAGACTTTGCTGAAGTTGCTTATCAGCTTAAGGAAATTTTGGGCTGAGACAATGGGGTTTTCTAAATATACAATCATGTCATCTGCAAACAGAGACAATTTGACTTCCTCTCTTCCTATTTGAATAGACTTAATTTCATTTTCTTGCCTGATTTCCCTGGCCAGTACTTCCAATACTATGTTGAATAGGAGTGGTGAGAGAGGACATCCTTGTGTTGTGCTGGTTTTCAAAGGGAGTGCTTCCAGCTTTTGGCCATTCAATATGATATTGGCTGTGGGTTTTTCAAAAATAGCTCTTATTTTGAGATACATTCCATCAATAGCTAGTTTATTGAGAGTTTGTAGCATGAAGGGGTGTTGAATTTTATTGAAGGCCTTTTCTTCATCTATTGAGATAATCATGTGTTTTTTGTCATTTGTTCTGTTTATGTTATGGATTATGTGTATTGATTTACATACGTTGAACCAGCCTTGCATCCCAGTGATGAAGTGGACTTGATCGTGGTAGATAAGCTTTTTGATGTGCCACTGGATTGGGTTTGCCAGTATTTTATTGAGGATTTTTGTATCGATGTTCATCAGGGATATTGGCCTGAAATTTTCTTTTTTTGCTGTGTCTCTGCCATGTTTTGGTATCAGGATGATGCTGGCCTCATAAAATGAGTTAGGGAGGAGTCCCTCTTTTTCTATTGTTTCGAATAGTTTCAGAAGGAATGGTACCAACTCCTCTTTGTACCTCTGGTAGAATTTGTCTGTGAATCCGTCTGGTCCTGGACTTTGCTTGGTTGGTAGCCTATTAATTACTGCCTCAATTTCAGAACTTGTTATTGTTCTATTCAGGGATTTGACTTCTTCTTGGTTTAGTCTTCAGAGGGCGTATGTGTCCAGGTATGTATCCATTTCTTCTAGATTTTCTAGTTTATTTGTGTGGAGGTGTTTATAGTATTCTCAATGGTAGTTTGTATTTCTGTAGGTTCAGTGGTGATATACCCTTTATCAATTTTATTGTGTCTATTTGATTCTTCTCTATTTTTTCCTTTTTTAGTCTTGCTAGTGGTCTATGTATTTTGTTAATCTTTTCCAAAAAAAAACCAGCTCCTGGATTCACTGATTTTTTTGAAGGGTTTTTTGTGTCTCTATCTCCTTCAGTTCTGCTCTGATCTTAGTTGTTTCTTATCTTCTGCTACCTTTTGAATTTGTTTGCTCTTGCTTCTCTACTTCTTGTAATTGTAATATTAGGTTGTCAATTTTAGATCTTTCCTGCTTTCTCCTGTGGGCATTTAGAGCTATAAATTTCCCTCTAAACACTGCTTTAGCTGTGTCTCAGAGATTCTGGTATGTTGTGTCTTTGTTCTCATTAGTTTCAAAGAACTTTTTTATTTCTGCCTTCATTTCATTTTTTACCCAGTAGTCATTCAGGAGCAGGTTGTTCAGTTTCCAACTACAGTTTCCACAACTGTAGTTGTGCAGTTTTGAGTGAGTTTCTTAATCCTGAGTTCTAATTTAATTTCACTGTGGTCTGAAAGACTGTTATGATTTCTGTATTTTTCATTTGCTGAGGAGTGTTTTACCTCCAATTATGCGGTCAATTTTAGAATAAGTGCAGTGTGGCGCTGAGAAGAATGTATATTCTGTTGATTTGGGGTGGAGAGTCCTGTAGATAACCATTAGGTCTGCTGGTCCAGAGCTGAGTTCAAGTCCTGAACATCCTTGTTAATTTTCTGTCTCATTGATCTGTCTAATATTGACAGTGGGATGTTAATGTCTCCCACTATTATTCTGTGGGAGTCTAAGTCTCCTTATAGGTCTCTAAGAGCTTGTTTTATGAATCTGGGTGCTCCTGTATTGGGTGCATATATATTTAGGATAGGTAGCTCTTCTTGTTGCATTGATCCCTTTTCCATTATATAATGCCCTTCTTTGTCTTTTTTGATCCCTGTTGGTTTAAAATCTGTTTTTTTTTTTTGTTAGTTTTGTTTTTTGTTTGTTTGTTTGTTTTGTTTTTGAGACAGAATCTTGCTCTGTCACCAGGCTGGAGTACAGTGGCATGATCTCAGCTTACTGCAACCTCCGCCTCCCACATTCAAGTGATTCTCTTGCCTCAGCCTCCCGGGTAGCTGGGACTACAGGTGCACGCCACCACACCCAGCTAATTTTTGTACTTTTAGTAGAGATGGGGTTTCACAATGTTGGCCAGAATTGTCTGTAGCTCTTGACCTTGTGATCTGCCCACCTTGGCCTCCCAAAGTGCTGGGATTATAGGCGTGAGCCACTGTGCCCAGCCTAAAGTCTGTTTTATCAGAGACTAGGATTGCAACCCCTGCTTTTTTTGCTTTCCATTTGCTTGGTAAATATTCCTCCATCCCTTTATTTTGAACCTATGTGCATCTTTGCACATGAGATGTGTCTCCTGAACACAGACTCTGATGGATCTTGACTCTTTATCCAATTCTCCCATCTGTGTCATTTAATTGGGGCATTTAGCCTGTTTACATTTAAGGTTAATATTGTTATGTGTGAATTTGATCCTGTCATTATGATTCCAGCTGGTCATTTTGTCCATTAATTGATGCAGTTTCTACATAGTGTTGATGGTCTTTCTTTACAATTTGGTATGATTTTGCAGGTGCTGGTACCAGTTTTTCCTTTCTATATTTAGTGCTTCCTTCAGGAGCACTTGTAAGGCAGGCTTGATGGTGATAAAATCTGTCACCATTTGTTTGTTTGTAAAGGATTTCATTTCTCCTTCTGCTTATGAAGCTTAGTTTGGCTGGAGATGAAATTCTGGGTTGAAAATTCTTTTCTTTAAGAATGTTGAATATTGGCCCCCACTATCTTTTGGCTTGTAAGGTTTCTGCAGAAAGATCTGCTGTTAGTCTGAGGGACTCCCCTTTGGGGGTAACCTGACCTTTTTCTCTAGCTGCCCTTAAAACTTTTCCTTCATTTCAACCTTGATGAATCTGACAACTTTTGTATGCTTCATGAAGTTCTTGTGCTATGTTTTTCGCTCCATCAGGTTATTTATGTTCTTCTCTAAACTGGTTATTCTAATTAGCAATTCCTCTAACCTGTTTTCAAGGTTCTTAGTTGCCTTGCACTGGGTTAGAACATGCTCCTTTAGCTCGGAGCAGTTTGTTATTACCCACCTTCTGAAGACTACTTCTGTCAGTTTATCAAACTCACTCTCCGTCCAGTTTTGTTCCCTTGCTGGTGAGGAGTTGTGATCCTTTTGAGGAGAAGAGGTTTCTGTTTTTTGGAATTTTTAGCCATTTTGCACTAGTTTTTCCTCATCTTCATGGATTTACCTACCTTTGGTCTTTGTTGTTGGTCACCTTTGGATGGGGTTTCTGTGGACATCTTTTTTGTTGATGTTAATGCTATTCCTTTCTCTTTGTTAGTTTTTCTTCTAACAGTCAGGCCCCTCTGCTGCAGGTCTGCTGGAGTTTGCTGGAAGTCCTCTCCAGACCCTGTTTGCATGGGTATCACCAGTGGAGGCTGCTGAACAGCAAAGATTGCTGCCTGTTTCTTCCTCTGAAAGCTTTGTCCCAGAGGGGCACCCACCAGATGCCAGCCAGAGCCATCCTATATGAGGTGTCTGCCAACCCCTGCTGGGAGATGTCTCCCAGTCAGGAGGAACAGGGGTCAGTGACCCACTTAAGGAGGCAGTCTATACTGGGAGAGCTAGGATGCTGTACTGGGAGAGCCGCTGCTCTCTTAGAGCCAGCAGGCAGGAACGTTTAAGTCTGCTGAAGCTGTGCCCACAGCTACCCCTCCCTGCAGGTGCTCCGTCCCAGGGCGATGGGAGTTTTATCTATAAGCCTCTAACTGGGGTTGCTGCCTTTCTTTTAGAGATGCCCTGCCCAGAGAGGAGGAATCTAGAGAAGCCTCTTTTTCCTTTTAATAAAATATTTTATGGAGTTTTCAGAGCATGCTCATATTCATCTCATCTGATCTTTACAACATCTCAGTGAAGTTAGTTAGTCAAGGGTTCTCACTTCCATTTTTAGATAAGGGACACATGGTTCTTGGGGAGTTGAGTGGGATGGGGGACTGGGGTTTTGACTCTAAGCCCTATGCTTTTTCTTTTTTTTTCATTATAGTGCAATGATACTTTAGGTCTCTGTTTCCTTACTTCAAACTAATGATAAATATACCTAGTTTGCCAAGTTATCAAGTTGTTGTAGGAATGACAAGACATTGCTGAGTTTTGACAACTATGACTAATCAAAGCCATATGTAATTGTGAAATAATTTTCTTGCTTTTGTCAAACCCAAGAGCTCCTTTTTTCAGATCAAAAAGTCTTCCTCTACTTTCTTCAACAGAAAATGGCCAAAACTGATGCATGTGTACAGAGTCCTGGAGTTCCCCATGTGAAAACATTTAGGAATAAACTCTCTTAAAGAAAAAATGGAAGGTCATTAAAAAGCAACCAAATAGTAAATCCGATTTGGCTTTATACAGAGACTGTGATCAAATTTATTTTTTAATGATGAATGATTGGTTTGCTTGAATGTAGTTCTATTTTCTCACTCATTGATAAATATTCCCCTCTTACTTTTGAATTAGTTCTGCTATATAGGATTATGATTTTTAAGAACAGAAGTACAAAAATAAACAGATATTTTATATGCCAAAATTGGTTATGACCAGAGCCTTGTTTTCAAAAATTAGAGAAATTTTCCAATAAAGGACCAGAAATATGGTCTCTGTCAAGAATTCTCATGTCTACCATTGTAGAGTGTAAAAATAGCCATGAGAAATATATGAGTGAATGGGTGTGTTCCAAAAAAACTTTATTTATGAACACTGAAATGTGAATTTCATAAAATTTTCATATGTAATGAAATGCTATTTATTTTTTCAACCACTTAAAAATGGAAAAACCATTCTTAACTTATGGTCATACAAAAACAGATGATTGGCTGGATTTGGCACATGGGCCATGTTCAACACTAAACTAAAGCACCAAACA
Source organism: Homo sapiens (assembly GCF_000001405.40). NCBI lineage: Eukaryota > Metazoa > Chordata > Mammalia > Primates > Hominidae > Homo > Homo sapiens. The sequence goes on from NC_000002.12 coordinate 149,840,923, forward strand.
CTCATTGTTGCTGGAGACACTGCTCAGTTCCAATTATTCTTGGAGCTGGAAAAGGATTTCTAGGGAGTTTTTTCTCACAACACAAATTTTCAGCACTAATGTCAGCAAAAGCAATACTTTAAAGCAGGGATCTAAAAGTTAGTTGGTCATCTTGTTGTAAGAAAAGTAGAAGTATTTCCTTGTCAGTAAGTTAGAGATCCCAGCTTACATTCAAAAGAGAAAGATTATTGAGCATAATTTGGCATAGAGCTGGCAAAATCTTGGAGCAAAGGCTTTAACAATCTCACAGGGCTTAGTGCATTTCCACTCTCAATTTGGTGCTCAATAAGTTTCTGTTGAATTAATTGGAATTCCCACGAAGTTTCTAAGTTTTTGCTTATAATGTAGAACAAAGTGAATATAGACTATAATTGTCTGTTTAGAAGACAAAGGGTTAATGAAATGAACCTTTTGGTTCATTTAGAAATGAACTCTTTACTGCCACTTGATGAAGGTTGATTAAGAAAGACTTAAATGACAGTGAGGTTTTACAAAACTGCTGGCAGTAGGGCAAGGTGTGCACAATATCTAAATGATTAGCTATTATGAGCATGATAATACCCATGACTAAGCTAATTTGTGGCTATAAATTGGATATTTATGGAACCTGTTAAATTATTTCAGATCTCCAGTGTGTAATTCAATCACAATGAAGCAGCTAATTATTGCTATGTCCTATTATCTAAGAAGTTCAAACCTATTCCAAACTTCTTTGACTCACAGTCAATACCATGACATTTTAGTACCTAACTTATCTTTGTGTTTTTCATGTGCGTTACTTTTATTTGTTCAACTACATCACAAGTTTCTTTTGAGCAGGGTCATATTACATAAATAGGAGCAACATAATGGTTAGGAGCAGGGCTGTAAACTCAGATTGCTAGGGTTCAAATTCTGCTTTGGCATTTACTAGAAATGCAATCTGGAGCACATTACCTAGTCTCTCTTTGATCTTAGTTTATTTATTTGTAAACAGCAATAATAATAAAGGTATCTACCTGACTGAGTTGGATTGCTGGGAGAGCTAAATGTATCAATGCATGTAGGCACTCAGAGCAGTTGCTGGTACACGGTAAGTCTTAGATAAATGCCGGTTAAAAATATGCCTTTGGGTCCTAGTCTGAGGCTATAAAATCCTATTTATAAGCTGATGATTTCTCCAGTCCTGATCTTTCCAGTGAACCCCATATAAGTTATCCACTTGGAATATTTACACATCTCCACTTGGAAATCAAATACACATCTCAAAAGTATCATACCCACAAAACACACTTGATTTCTTTTCCACCCCAAACCTATTCTCCCTTAGTGTTTCCCATCCTGATATAATCCACCCCAAACCTATTCTCCCTTAGTGTTTCCCATCCTGATATAAAGACCAGCTTTAGACTTCAGGCTAAAACACAAATACAATCCTGCAATTTCCATCTTTAACCTCTTTCTTTTTCACATATTCCATATCCTCTCCGTTAGCCTATTCTGTGAGTTCTATAACATATATCTAAATCCAACTAACGCATCAGTTTGCCTATCCTGCTAGTCTGTATCATAATGATTTCTTTCTTAGGCTATGATTGCAGGCACCTCCTAACTGGTCTTCCTTCTTCTGTCCACAATCCTCTACCATTGATTTCCCACACACTAGCCAGAGTGCTGCATGCACAGCACCCACACAGTCACACAGTTCCTGGTACATGGTAAGAGTTCAAACTGAAGGAATGTTTGATTGGAATATTTGGAAGCTAATTTATGTATAACCATATGATAGGCACTAAGAGAATTTGATTAAAAGTGATGTAAAATTCTCAATAGTCTCTGCCTTTTAAAATTATTGAAATAAGTAATTCCTTTACAAGTGAAATCAGAAGAAGATAGAAATGCGTAATTTGGAAGGTTTCTTCAGACTATAAAATTCTGAGTCCATGATTTGTTAAAAGCTGCAAGGCTAAGAATATGACAGATAATTCAACCTAGATGAATTTTTTACTGGAATATTCTTGAAAAGAGTACTGGATTGGGAAGCTCTTGTTTAACAAACCCTGCATTTGTACAAGAAAGGTTAATTTGTGAGTCCTACACTTACACCAAACATATATATTTTATATTCATGCAGTTTGTCAGGACATATTATTTTATAAAAAAAGAAAAGAAAAACTCCTTCCTTAATTAGATCTTTCAGAAGTTAAGGTAGAAAAACAATTTGTGTCAAATTATGAATCTCCAAATATTTTCTTTTGCAGTACTGCTCTAGCCTATAAATCTTTTATTCAAGTATCTTTTTAAAAGTTAAAGTGTTTAGTATAATTTTTTAACTGTGAAGTTTTTCATTTTTATGTATTTATTTTTAAGATGATGTTTAAGTGTTTAAAGGCTTAGGCCTAGGATGTTTTAAATATTAAGCCCTGATTCTCCTCATTTCTCTATAGTGAATTTTGACCAGACTGAGACATACTACAAAGGACAGTTGCCAGAAACAACACCCAAAGGTATATTTTAAGCTGGCATTTATTGATGGCTAGAGAATAAGGGGCTTGTTAGGTCATAGCATGCTGCTGAGGGCTGATAGGTCTATATCTCTTCCTGGGACACTTTCAGTCTGCAGCCCCTCTCCTGTCTATCCCATTTTTTCTTCAGTGCCAGAGAGAGGTACATGATTTTTGTATCCAGAAAATCCAGAGACCCTTTTCTTTTGACTATAAGTAAGGAGACTATGAATAGACATGGGGGAAAAATGAAAATTAAAGGAAGAATGGAAAAAGATAAGGAGAAAATGGTAGTCAGAAGAGGAAAGAAAAACAAAGAAAAGGAAGAAAGAAAATAGATTAGCTCTCAACTTCTGAACAATATAGATAAAACTAATTATATGTTTGTGTGTGTGTATATATATGTGGTGTGTATATATGTTTGTGTGTGTGTGTGTGTATGTGTGTGTGTGTGTGTATATATATATATATATAATATATATATGGTGTCTGTGTGTGTGCACACAAGTAGCCTACCTCTGTCTGCCTAGAGACCTTGAAACAATGCTGTACCTATAGCAAAGCACACACCTAGAACCCAGATGATCTTGATCTATAATCATAATCTCCACTAAAAGGAATCAGATCCAGGGCTTCTTGGAGAGATGACTGATTGTGGAATTTGGGAAGGAAAGAACAAGACGAGCCTGGAACATTTTGTGACAGACAGTAAGAAGATGTCCAAGGAATGACAGACCCATGTCAAAAGAACATAGGAACCAGCTCGAAGGGACTTCCACTGGACAGATTTGAGAACGATTTCAGCATCAAAATATAACAACAACAATAATAATTGTAATAATTACAATTCATTATATAAAATAAGAATTCACGAGTCCATTCTTATATTAATTTCCAAAACATGCAAATAGATAAGTGAAAGCTGCTTTTCTTGACAGTAGAGTGCCAACCAATTAATGTAGAAGAAATGGTGGATGCTAAAACTGGTGGATAAAATTCTTGACAAGAACTGGTATATTTGCATAGGCTTAAAGTATCCCAAACAAATTCTTTATTAATTACAAAGACAAAAAAACTTTTCAGTGGAAAAAGTGCTGTATACCAAAGTAAGCTTTGTTACTACTGGGCACACTAACATCAAATATTTTCAGATATGATCAAGAGAAGGACAAGCTATCACTTCCACAGAAGTCTTGCCAAAGCCAATGACCTGAATTTAATCATGAGGAAACATCAACCAAACCCAAAGCAAGAAGCATCCTATGAAGTAATTGACAAGTACCCTTCAAAATTGTCAAGCTCATGAAGGATTAAAAGACAGAGGAAAGCTTCTAGATGAACGGAAATTAAAGAGATTTGACAACTAAATAAAATATATGTTCCTTGGTTGGATCCTCAACTTAAGGAAAAAATGGCTGTAAAGAACATTATTGGAACAATTGAAAAAATTTGGATATGAATTCTGGATTGGTATCTTAGTATCTGTGGGCTGCCACAACAAAATACCATATTCTGGGTCGTTTAAACAACAGAAATTCATTTTTTCACAATTCTGGTGGCTAAAAGTCTAAGATTAGAGTGTCGCCTGGTTGTTTTCTGATGAGGGCTCTTCCTTTGGGTTACAGAGCCACCATCTTGCTGTGTGCTCACATGACCTCTTCTTTGTATGCACAGGCACACACACACACACACACACACACACACACGAGAGAGAGAGAGAGAGCAAGAGAGAGTCCTGGTTCACCAATCTCATTGGACCAGGGCCCCAGGGCCTCATCCTCATAACCTCATCTAAGCCTAACCACCTCCCAAAGGCCCCATCTCCAAACACCATCACATTGAGGGTTAGGACTTCAACATATGAATCTGTGTGGGGGACACAAGCATTCGGTACATAATCTTCAGGTATCAAAGTTAAGTTTCTTGATTGTGATAACTATGCAGGCGTTCTGTAAGAGAATGTCCTTGCTCTTAAGCAAATCACCCTAAAATTTTTAGGGGTAAAGAAACATATTGACTCCAGCTTACTGTCATGGTTCAGAAAAAAAAATGTACATATACATACACAAATAGAAAAAAAGAAATTAGGCAAAAAAGTAAATACTTGTAGAATCTGGGTAATGAGTGTAATGGGATTTCCTTGTACATCAAAATAAAAGGTACAAAAAATGTTATTCAAAAGGATTCTTGGAGCTACAAGGTAGATTCTTATTATCCTTCATCAACCAACCTATTACTACTTATCCAGGGAGTTAGCAAGCTTTCTCCATGTTATTTAATCTTCTTTCTGAAAATGTTGATTAATCTTCTGGCTTTCATAGAATAAAAATCTGAAAGTCATCAGGTTCTCAGCATCTGTGATATTAGGTTAACAAGAGTAATGCAACACTTTGATAAGATATAATTTCATAGAAAAAATACAAAGTCCTGCATTTGAATTTAAAAAATCAATTGTTTTGGAACAAAATTAAAGATAGCTAACAACTGCTCACCTGAAAAATCAGAGTTCATAAGCAAGTGCAATATAAAATATTAAAATGTATATGTAATTGTACATGTGAATGTACATAATGTAATTTTCTATGTGAATGTAATTATACTTAGTCATAATTTTTGGATTTTCTTTTAAAGGCATCAGTGTATCAGTTAGTACTTGACAATAATTCTTTATGGCATCGTTGTTTAGTCTTTTTTGTTTTTTTTGAAACGGAGTCTCACTCTGTCGCCCAGGCTGGAGTGCAGTGGCGCAAACTGGGCTCACTGCAAGCTCCGCCTCCCAGGTTCACGCCATTCTCCTGTCTCAGCCTCCCGAGTAGCTGGGACTACAGGCCCTTGCCACACGCCTGGCTAATTTTTTGTATTTTTAGTAGAGATGGGGTTTCACCGTGTTAGCCAGGATGGTCTCAATCTCCTGACCTCATGATCCGCCTGCCTCAGCCTCCCAAAGTGCTAGGATTACAGGCTTGAGCCATTGCGTCTGGCCCACTGTTTAGTCTTAATGTGATTATTCACATATTTCTATTTTCATTGAAAATGTAATTCTTAATAAAGCACCTTTCTTTCAAAATATAAACATTTTTTCTCTCTCTGTAGAAAACAATAACATACAAAAATAGGGGCTTACTTTCACCTTTTTTCAAAATCTTAATGACTTACAAAATTATGTAGTTTATTTTCTATGCCTTCTTTTCAAACTACATGAATTTCAAATAACAAGAATATATGTATCCTCATTTTCTATTTGAGATAAATGTGTTGGGTCTTAAAAACATAGAATATATATATTAAACGAAGTATTTATGTGAGCTATGGATAATCACGTTTATGCCCACACATGGTGGACTACTTGAAAAAATTGATTCCTCCCTAGGAGGAGAAAGGAATGATGGTTCTAGATTTTGCCTTAAGTCAGTAGTTCCAAATACAGATCTCCCTTGTACTGTCTTGAGGTCCCGAATGCTGTGCGCTCAATGCAGGGTTAGCTATTGAGGAGGTTTGGCAAATAGTGAGCTACTTTTTGAATTGAGTGTTGAAAATGATCTCAGCTACCCCAAATATGGCCTATAGTTCCATTGCTCTCCCAATCACCTTGCAACAGATAGAGTTTTATTTCATGGATTTGAGACCTTGGTGAGTTAAATATGGAAGGAGATGCAGTAAAGATTAGAAATGGGGGAAGGTATCCAGAAATGGCAGGATGGGTGGATGTGACAATAGTGTGAAGTGTGTGAACAGCAAGAGGACAATTCAGTATGTCCACGCTGCCAAGGAGGAACCCAAGGAAGAAAGGTGGATATGGAATTAGTGCAGGGTTTGCCCTAGTGAAGGGCTTGTGGAACAGAGATGCCCCACATCCAGCACACTTTGTGCTTTCAGGAATCATGTAGTCAGATGCTACCACTCGTGAAGCATTGGCACCATTGTAAATACATTGCCCACTTCGCATGATTCTTTATTAAAACATCATGTGCCTCACAGAAGTAATATTTTATCTTTAAAATGCCTGTCCTGTCAACTTTGTCTCCTTAAACTTCCTATCACATCTTAAGATTTTTGCTACTATCTTTATTAGGCACAAATATCAAAGTTATACCTGCCTTATAAAAAATTGAACAGTTTTTCTTGGCTTTTAATATCCTGAGACAATTTAAAGAACATTGGGACTATCTGGTCTTGTTTTTGCTTGTCAAATCATAATTGTATACATTTATGAGATATAATGTGATATTTTGATATTTGCATACAATGTGGGATGATTAAATCAAGCTAATTAACATATCTAGCACCTCATTTACTTGTCCTTTTTTATGGTGAGACATTTAAAATTTATACTGTTATTATTTTGAAATACTGTATACAAGACATTCTTCTTGACTATAGTCATCCCGCTATGCAATAGATCTCAAGGCCCATTTCTCCTGCCTATCTGAAACTATGTAACTCATTTTCCTTCTGTTTTTGCAGATACTTCTCCCCTGGACCTTGTTCCCAGGCTCCGTGTGAAGCTGAACACTCCGCATGATCTCCCTGCCACCATAGCAAGCTATGAAGTTCATTACACATGCAGGTAGCAGACAATACAGCTCTGCTTCCATTTCTGAGCACCTACGGTAGACTGCCATTATTCAGTGTGCCAGCCTGTTTCCAAGCCTACAATGTATAGTTCCTCTAGTACGTAAACTCATTTTTTTTCTCAGAGAGCCAAGTAGAGACACAGGCAGTTTTCTTCTCAAAATGTGCCAGAAATTCCAAAACAATCTCAAAGCATTAAAGGCTATGTGCACAAAGTACATGCAGTTGTAGAGTCCCTCTTTTGCAGAAACTTGCACCTCAGCCCACCAGCATTTCCTTGGTGCTTCTCCTCCTGACCCTCATCCTCATGCACAGACCATTGGATATTACTGCACTCACGTACTTGTGTACTTCTTTCTAACAGCTGACTGAAATCTTTCCTACATTTTCAGGGTGATGGGCAGAAAGTTTTTCTCAGGAAACATTGTAGGGAAGCTGGCAGGGGACAGTTATATATATGGGGAGGGTCACATTCTATTATTCATGGGTTTCCGTGGTCACAGGGAGTCAGGGCCAGTTGGAAATGGAAAGGAAAAAGTTCATGTTAACACAGCTGAGGGCAAGGCTATGCCGTAAAGACCTGAGATGCTCCAGGAAAAGGTTCAGGATGCTTCCTTTTTGTCTTTCGATGAAACCAAAATCTACCATTTCTGTTTGAGAGTTTTGGGAAAGAGATGGCAGGTGAGGAGGTTAGGGCATAGATGTGTGAATACTGCCACTATGAACCCCAAAGCACATTTGCCATGATTGGTCTAAAAATAAGATAATAATCCAAATGTAGCTAAATATAGTCTACTATCTAGTTTCTCTCTTTTACGGTCTTTGGCTACCAGTGATCCTTTTTGCCTATGCCTTGGGGGACTTGGGAAGGACAAAGAAGAGAAAAGAATCAGTGTAACATTTAAACAACAGTGCAACCGTGCTGTGAGAGCCATCTCAACCTGATGTCCTAAGTAGCCAGTGTTTCCTTCGCAACACAACAATGGTAAACAAAGATGTTTTCTGGATGGCTGAAGCAAATGTGATTTTTATGCTCAGACCATCCCTCTGCCCTTAAGCCCCTACCATGGGTTAAAAAATTTTTTTTTTCTTTTTTCTTTTTGCTATGAATTTTCTACATGGAAATAGGTGAAGTGAGACATTATTTTCTTCTTCTGTTTATTTTTTGTTACCCAATTTCAAAATGCTGGAAATTTTGTTGAAACACCACTCACTGCAGAGAATATAAGCTTGCATAATGAATTCTAAAATCCCCCTGTTGTGTGGCATTGCTAAGAATGCATGAGGGGAAATTCTGTTGTGTGAAATCCCAGGGTTATGACAAGTTTGACAAGATGAGCTTGATTGACCTTACCACATGTGGTTACACAGACCAATCTACCATCGAGGTTCTCAAAAACAGATAAGGCACATGAGGAATGGCCCTCTTGAGAAGAACGCTGATTTGTTGTAACCTGAGTAGAAAAAATTAATCTGGGAGATTTTAAAACATTGTTTAATGAGTAAAATAATGTGATGTGAAGAATGATGGAGGACAGGGAAATATTTGGGGTTTTATAATTCCTCTCTAAGCCCCACAGTAAAAATTACAAATCATTATTGTTTAGTAAAAATCATATGCATTTTAAAAAAATTCAACTGGGGCAGGAGGATGGGAAGAAATAAGTATATTCATTAAAATGTTTATTCGTGAGCTGTGGCTGTTTTTCATGAGCCACTGACATCTATTCTAATACACAGACAAAGAAAATCCCCAAAGGCAATGCTCAATGAGATCTTGGCAATATTTTTCACTTAGGAAGGATTAATTTCTATGAAGGAAAGCTTTTTAAAAACATGAAATAATGAGCTCTAAATGTATGTCCTTGTCAGGCACATTAGCACAAATGGCTTGGACTATTTCCTAGAGGAAAATTAGATGCTTGGTGGGATGTAGGAGTAGAAGGAGTACATTTTGACTGGAGTCAAGATTGGGGAAAAATGATTGGGATTTAGGATTGGGTGAAGGTGAGCCTGAATGATCCTCAACTAACAAGCCAGGGTCAAAGACTGTGATCTGTAGAGAGAAAAAACTGCAAAGGGGAAGGAACTAGAGACCAGCGTTGTGTAAACCCTACTGTCCAGGATGAAGCTAATTTCTCTGCCTGCTGAATTACAGCCTAAAAAAGCAAATTCAGTTATTTGCAAGCTATGTTTCCCAGTCAAACTACTAAAACCCAATTCTATGATTACAAAGAAAGGGAGAAAGACAGAGACTGACTTTTGGCATCTAAAAACACAAGTCTCCCACTACTCAATTGTGACTGCTCAGAGAGAACAACCCTCTGTCAATGGAAACTGAGAGGTTGTGGGAAAAATAATGTGATGATGGGCAACAAGATGACAAAAAGGAGGAGAGGAGTTCGTAGAGATAAGAAGTGATCAGAGAAAAGAAAAACAAGGAGGGAGGAGCCAAGATGGCTGCATAGGAACAGCTCCGGTGGTGAGCGACGCAGAAGATGGTGATTTCTGCATTTCCATCTGAGGTACCGGGTTCATCTCACTAGGGAGTGCCAGACAGTGGGCACAGGTCAGTGGGTGCGTGCAAAGTGCGCGAGCCGAAGCAGGGCGAGGCATTGCCTCACTTGGGAAGCGCAAGGGGTCAGGGAGTTCCCTTTCCTAGTCAAAGAAAGGGGTGACAGACGGCACCTGGAAAATCGGGTCACTCCCACCAGAATACTGCACTTTTCCGGCGGGCTTAAAAAACGGCGCACCACGAGATTATATCCCGCACCTGGCTCGGAGGGTCCTACGCCCAGGGAGTCTCGCTGATTGCTAGCACAGCAGTCTGAGATCAAACTGCAAGGTGGCAGCCAGGCTGGGGGAGGGGCACCCACCATTGCCCAGGCTTGATTAGGTAAACAAAGCAGCCGGGAAGCTCGAACTGGGTGGAGCCCACCACAGCTCAAGGAGGCCTGCCTGCCTCTGTAGGCTCCACCTCTGGGGGCAGGGCACAGACAAACAAAAAGATAGCAGTAACTTCTGCAGACTTAAATGTCCCTGTCTGACAGCTTTGAAGAGAGCAGTGGTTCTCCCAGCACGCAGCTGGAGATCTGAGAATGGGCAGACTGTCTCCTCAAGTGGGTCCCTGACCCCTGACCCCTGAGCAGCATAACTGGGAGGCACCCCCCAGCAGGGGCACACTGACACCTCACACGGCAGGGTATTCCAACAGACCTGCAGCTGAGGGTCCTGTCTGTTAGAAGGAAAACTAACAAACAGAAAGGACATCCACACCAAAAACCCATCTGTACATCACCATCATCAAAGACCAAAAGTAGATACAACCACAAAGATGGGGAAAAAACAGAACAGAAAAACTGGAAACTCTAAAAAGCAGAGCGCCTCCTCCTCCTCCAAAGGAATGCAGTTCTTCACCAGCAACGGAACAAAGCTGGATGGAGAATAACTGTGACTAGCTGAGAGAAGAAGGCTTCAGACGATCAAATTACTCTGAGCTACGGGAGGACATTCAAACCAAAGGCAAAGAAGTTGAAAACTTTGAAAAAAATTTAGAAGAATGTATAACTAGAATAACCAATACGGAGAAGTGCTTAAAGGAGCTGATGGTGCTGAAAACCAAGGCTCGAGAACTACGTGAAGAATGCAGAAGCCTCAGGAACCAATGCGATCAACTGGAAGAAAGGGTATCAGCAATGGAAGATGAAATGAATGAAATGAAGCGAGAAGGGAAGTTTAGAGAAAAAAGAATAAAAAGAAATGAGCAAAGCCGCCAAGAAATATGGGACTATGTGAAAAGACCAAATCTACGTCTGATTGGTGTACCTGAAAGTGATGGGGAGAATGGAACCAAGTTGGAAAACACTCTGCAGGATATTATCCAGGAGAACTTCCCCAATCTAGCAAGGCAGGCCAACATTCAAATTCAGGAAATACAGAGAATGCCACAAAGATACTCCTCGAGAAGAGCAACTCCAAGACACATAATTGTCAGATTCACCAAAGTTGAAATGAAGGAAAAAATGTTAAGGGCAGCCAGAGAGAAAGGTCGGGTTACCCTCAAAGGGAAGCCCATCAGACTAACAGCAGATCTCTCAGCAGAAACCCTACAAGCCAGAAGAGAGTGGGGGCCAATATTCAACATTCTTAAAGAAAAGAATTTTCAACCCAGAATTTCATATCCAGCCAAACTAAGCTTCATAAGTGAAGGAGAAATAAAATACTTTACAGACAAGCAAATGCTGAGAGATTTTGTCACCACCAGGCCTGCCCTAAAAGAGCTTCTGAAGGAAGCGCTAAACATGGAAAGGAACAACCGGTACCAGCCGCTACAAAATCATGCCAAAATGTAAAGACCATCAAGACTAGGAAGAAACTGCATCAACTAACGAGCAAAATAACCAGCTAACATCATAATGACAGGATCAAATTCACACATAACAATATTAACTTTAAATGTAAATGGACTAAATCCTCCGATTAAAAGACACAGACTGGCAAATTGGATAAAGATTCAAGACCCATCAGTGTGCTGTATTCAGGAAACCCATCTCACGTGCAGAGACACACGTAGGCTCAAAATAAAAGGATGGAGGAAGATCTACCTAGCAAATGGAAAACAAAAAAAGGCAGGGGTTGCAATCCTAGTCTCTGATAAAACAGACTTTAAACCAACAAAGATCAAAAGAGACAAGGCCATTACATAATGGTAAAGGGATCAATTCAACAAGAAGAGCTAACTATCCTAAATATATATGCACCCAATACAGGAGCACCCAGATTCATAAAGCAAGTCCTGAGTGACCTACAAAGAGACTTAGACTCCCACACATTAATAATGGGAGACTTTAACACCCCACTGTCAACATTAGACAGATCAACGAGACAGAAAGTCAACAAGGATACCCAGGACTTGAACTCAGCTCTGCACCAAGCAGACCTAATAGACATCTACAGAACTCTCCACCACAAATCAACAGAATATACATTTTTTTTCAGCACCACACCACACCTATTCCAAAATTGACCACATACTTGGAAGTAAAGCTCTCCTCAGCAAATGTAAAAGAACAGAAATTATAACAAACTATCTCTCAGACCACACTGCAATCAAACTAGAACTCAGGATTAAGAATCTCACTCAAAGCTGCTCAACTACATGGAAACTGAACAACCTGCTCCTGAATGACTACTGGGTACATAACAAAATGAAGGCAGAAATAAAGATGTTCTTTGAAACCAACGAGAACAAAGACACAACATACTAGAATCTCTGGGACACATTCAAAGCAGTGTGTAGAGGGAAATTTATAGCACTAAATGCCCGCAAGAGAAAGCAGGAAAGTTCCAAAATTGACACCCTAACATCACAATTAAAAGAACTAGAAAAGCAAGAGTAAACACATTCAAAAGCTAGCAGAAGGCAAGAAATAACAAAAATCAGAGCAGAACTGAAGGAAATAGAGACACAAAAAACCCTTCAAAAAATCAATGAATCCAGGAGCTGGTTTTTTGAAAGGATCAACAAAATTGATAGACCACTAGCAAGACTAATAAAGAAAAAAAGAGAGAAGAACCAAATAGACGCAATAAAAAATGATAAAGGGGATATCACAACCAATCCCACAGAAATACAAACTACTATCAGAGAATACTATAAGCACCTCTACACAAATAAACTAGAAAATCTAGAAGAAATGGATAAATTCCTCGACACATACACTCTCCCAAGACTAAATCAGGAAGAAGTTGAATCTCTGAATAGACCAATAACAGGATCTGAAGTTGTGGCAATAATCAATAGCTTACCAACCAAAAAGAATCCAGGACCAGATGGATTCACAGCCGAATTCTACCTGAGGTACAAGGAGGAACTGGTACCATTCCTTCTGAAACTATTCCAATCAATAGAAAAAGAGGGAATCCTCCCTAACTCATTTTATGAGGCCAGCATCATTCTGATACCAAAGCCAGGCAGAGACACAACAAAAAAAGAGAATTTTAGAACAATATCCTTGATGAACATTGATGCAAAAATCCTCAATAAAATACTGGCGAAATGAATCCAGCAGCACATCAGAAAGCTTATCCACCATGATCAAGTGGGCTTCATCCCTGGGATGCAAGGCTGGTTCAATATACGCAGATCAATAAATGTAATCCAGCATATAAACAGAGCCAAAGACAAAAACCACATGATTATCTCAATAGATGCAGAAAAAGCCTTTGACAAAATTCAACAACCCTTCATGCTAAAAACTCTCAATAAATTAGGTATTGATGGGACGTATTTCAAAATAGTAAGAGCTATCTATGACAAACCCACAGCCAATATCATACTAAATGGGCAAAAACTGGAAGCATTCCCTTTGAAAACTGGCACAAGACAGGGATGCCCTCTCTCACCACTCCTATTCAACATAGTGTTGGATGTTCTGGCCAGGGCAATCAGGCAGGAGAAGGAAATAAAGGGTATTCAATTAGGAAAAGAGGAAGTCAAATTGTCCCTGTTTGCAGACGACATGATTGTATATCTAGAAAACCCCACTGTCTCAGCCCAAAATCTCCTTAAGCTGATAAGCAACTTCAGCAAAGTCTCAGGATACAAAATCAATGTACAAAAATCACAAGCATTCTTATACACCAACAACAGAAAAACAGAGAGCCAAATCATGAGTGAACTCCCATTCACAATTGCTTCAAAGAGAATAAAATACCTAGGAATCCAACTTACAAGGGACGTGAAGGACCTCTTCAAGGAGAACTACAAACCACTGCTCAAGGAAATAAAAGAGGATACAAACAAATGGAAGAACATTCCATGCTCATGGGTAGGAAGAATCAATATCGTGAAAATGGCCATACTGCCCAAGGTAATTTACAGATTCAATGCCATCCCCATCAAGCTACCAATGCCTTTCTTCACAGAATTGGAAAAAACTACTTGAAAGTTCATATGGAACTAAAAAAGAGCCCGCATCGCCAAGTCAATCCTAAGCCAAAAGTACAAAGCTGGAGGCATCACACTACCTGACTTCAAACTATACTACAAGCCTACAGTAACCAAAACAGCATGGTACTGGTACCAAAACAGAGATATAGATCAATGGAACAGAACAGAGCCCTCAGAAATAACACCGCCTATCTACAACTATCTGATCTTTGACAAACCTGAGAAAAACAAGCAATGGGGAAAGGATTCCCTATTTAATAAATGGTGCTGGGAAAACTGGCTAGCCATATGTAGAAAGCTGAAACTGGATCCCTTCCTTACACCTTATACAAAAATCAATTCAAGATGGATTAAAGACTTAAACGTTAGGCCTAAAACCATAAAAACCCTAGAAGAAAACCTAGGCATTACCCTTCAGGACATAGGCATGGGCAAGGACTTCATGTCTAAAACACCAAAAGCAATGGCAACACAAGACAAAATTGACAAATGGGATCTAATTAAACTAAAGAGCTTCTGCACAGCAAAAGAAACTACCATCAGAGTGAACAGGCAACCTACAAAATGGGAGAAAATTTTCGCAACCTACCCATCTGACAAAGGGCTAATATCCAGAATCTACAATGAACTCAAACAAATTTACAAGAAAAAAACAAACAACCCCATCAAAAAGTGGACGAAGGATATGAACAGACACTTCTCAAAAGAAGACATTTATGTAGCCAAAAAACACATGAAAAAATGCTCATCATCACTGGCCATCAGAGAAATGCAAATCAAAACCACAATGAGATACCATCTCACACCAGTTAGAATGGCAATCATTAAAAAGTCAGGAAACAACAGGTGCTGGAGAGGATGTGGAGAAATAGGAACACTTTTACACTGTTGGTGGGACTGTAAACTAGTTCAACCATTGTGGAAGTCAGTGTGGCGATTCCTCAGGGATCTAGAACTGGAAATACCATTTGACCCAGTAATCCCATTACTGGGTATATACCCAAAGGATTATAAATCATGCTGCTATAAAGACACATGCACACGTATGTTTATTGCGGCATTATTCACAATAGCAAAGACTTGGAACCATGCCAAATGTCTCACAATAATAGACTGGATTAAGAAAATGTGGCACATATACACCATGGAATACTATGCAGCCATAAAAAAGGATGAGTTCATGTCCTTTGTAGGGACATGGATGAAATTGGAAATCATCATTCTCAGTAAACTATCGCAAGAACAAAAAACCAAACACCGCATATTCTCACTCATAGGTGGGAATTGAACAATGAGATCACATGGACACAGGAAGGGGAATATCACACTCTGGGGACTGTTGTGGGGTGGGGGGAGGGATAGCATTGGGGGATATACCTAATGCTAGATGACGTGTTAGTGGGTGCTGCACACCAGCATGGCACATGTATACATATGTAACTAACCTGCACAATGTGCACATGTATCCTAAAACTTAAAGTATAATAAAAAAAAAAAAGAAAAACAAGAATTCAATAGTTTCCAAATGTCTTGTCTGTTTCTTCTTTTATCCTGTCTCCTCTCCACCTACCCTTCCATGATTGCTGCATGTACACACATAGAGTACTTTAATTTGTGAGCATCTGTTCACCCGATTTGAATTCCATATTCTCTAGGGGAAATACTGTTATGCAACGAGCATAAAATGAGTTGCAGTACCATTAGTAGCAACAAAGGTGGGGAGGGGGGTCTCTTACCTGAGGTGCTGCTTTGAAAACATCCTCTAATACTCTTGGCTTTCCTAATTAAGTGCTATCACCTCTGCAGATGGTAAAATTATGTATGTATTTTGCTGAATTCCCTTAGCAAGGATGCTTTCATTGGGGGAGTTTAATAAGAATGATATTCTTTGAGGGAAAAAAGAAAAACACTGGCTACTTATGATATCACATTGAGATGGCTATCACGGCACGATTGCAGTGTTGTTTTGTTTAAATGTTACATTGATTTTTGTCTCTTTTCTGTCCTTCCTAAGTCCCCTAAGGGATAGGCAAAAAGGACTGCTGGTAGCCTTTCCCCACTGAAACCTGGAAATTTAATTCAATAAGATCTCACTGGAATCTGAACATTTAAGTCCAAGTAAATATCACCTAAAAGTTATTTTTAAAGGGCTACATGAATTTTTAAATTATGCTAAAAGATTGAGTATCATAATGAAGAAACATGTTTTTAAGGGAGATTTAAAAGGAGGAGAAGTCTAGTCCAACTCTAAACTCCTGCCCTTCTCCATAATCAACACATTTACCAAAAGCCAGAAACATACATAATTTCTACTAATTTTCAGAGAAAAAAAATCTTACTATAGTTATATAATTTATTATCTAAATTTGGATATTTAAAAAAACATAAGTGGGAACTTTTTAAACATCTATTAAAACAACATGCATAACCTAGAACTGTCCTAAGCAAACTAGGTAAGTAGAAGTATAGCCGCCCTACTTACCTTCATCCTGTAGATACACACAGTTGGTTCTGGAACCATTGCTGCAAATCCTTCTCCAGCTTGGTGGAGAAGTCACTATGGAGCTGGCACATTGCTGCTGAGTCATCCCCTCCTTCACCTCATAACTCATCATCTAATTGTGTTTCTATGTTTTCAGAAAGTTGAGGCTCAGGAAAAGTAAGCAACTTTCTCTCCACCTCTCAGCAACCTATGCACTATACTTCCCTTATCTTTTATAAGTATCCATCCTGTAGTTTCTAGATCCTCAGTGAATTATGACATCACTAACACTCCCAGGGATGTAGTTTGAAGAGTATAATTTTTTTCCCCTAGCACTCAGTACTTATACTAATTTCTAGATCTCGAGACCTGATTGATTGTCTTGAGCACTTTCATATTCAGAGTGATCCTCAACAGTGAAGTTTTAATATTTCTTTCTTGATAATAGGAGATAAACTAAATATGTGTTTCAGTATACTCATGGAGATAAAGTCTTTTAACAAGCCCAAGTTCAGGAACTGTGGTTATCAACATTGTTTCTAGATGATGGCTTCTTTTGCTCCTTCTTGAATGGAGTTTTAATGTTGTTAGTGTTTAGAGAGAAAGGTCTAACGTTTAGGACTCTTGGCCCTGCCAAACTTCCTTCCCTTAAGAGCAATGCCAGGAATAAACTCTTAAGAACAGAGGGGCAAACTAACAGTAAAGGCACAAGGGGCAATGCTTAAGCTGAGTCTTAAGGGACTAATTTTCCTCATCTTTAGAATCCTGCATAGACAGAGGTTCCACAGCATTTAGGAGAATATTGAAAACTGGGAGCTTCTGCAAGATGAGTGAGGAATTTGTGGGGACTGGCACTGAAGGAGCCCAAGTAACATGCTAAGAAGCTAGACTTTATTCTGTGTCCACTAGGGAATAACTGAGGAATGTTAAGCAAGAGAGAGATGTATATATAGTATGCAACTTTTAAAAAGAAGTCAGGAGACTGTGAAGAGCTGGATTGTAGGGTGTAACATGATGCCAGAAGTGTAGCTAGGAGACTCTTGGAAAAGCTTGGATAAGAGGACAGATCTGAGCTAAACATCTGACTGAGAAGATTAATAGAAATGCATGAATCAGCAAGAGATTCAGGTACTAAACTTATAGGTCTAGGTTTCTGCAAAAAAAAAAAAAAAAAAAAAAAAATGTAGTGAAACTATATAGAACCACTTAAGGAAGCACTGTATTACCAAAAATAGAAAAGAAGAAGATGACTAGCAGATTTCTGGCTATGGAAACAGGGCAATTGTTGGCATTTTAAACTGAGGTAAGGATTACTGAAAAAAGAGGGACTATTGGTAAGAAATGAGTAAAAATGATAAGTGAAATCTGAATGTATTAATTTCATTTGTTCATATGACACTGGACACAGATGTCCAGAAACTTATTCGTAAGTGTCATCAAGTCCAATGCTCTTCTTTAAATGCATGATAATACTAAGATTAAGAGGAAGGAAGTAAATTTAGAAAGATCACCCAAAGTCTTACAGAGCTGGAATTGAAACAGGAAGCTTCCGAGAGTCAATCCAGAATCTTTTTCTCTGAGTCAAAGCTTACCATGTCTTGCTGTTGTTTATTTAGTTAGTTAAAAGAAAAGTTGGTTGACCTAATAACAGGATTTTAATTCCAGGAAGGATTTTGCTTGAGTGTTGCCTTTTTGCCTAAGTTATTGCTATGTATGCTAGCTGTGTTTCAGCATTAATTGCATTTAGAAATGGTATAAATCCTGCTTTTGGAGCAAAATTCTATAAGAAGATGACACATCTCTGTGATGTCACAGTATCCTGAGAGGGTTTCTAAAGGCTATTGCTGAAAGAGTCATAATGTTCAGTTTGGGTGTCCCCATTTCCTCTTTTGTTTTATTCTGTTCAGCTGTTTTGGAATCAAGCAGAGGAAGTAACCCAAAGTGCATCTGGTTTAGAAGGATTCTCGAACTTCCCTCTCCAACATCTGCCTTGCTATGGGATCATTAAACAGAAGGCGACCTCACAAATAGCCGTTTGTCAAACAAGCAGCCTGTTTTTCTCGTGAGAAATGCCCTTTTGCCTAATATGGGTGTTGAAACTGTCGCTCATCAAAAGTAAAGTGTTTGCCCCTCATGGGTGAGCACTAGTAATGGGAATGTGACTAGTTCTGCAAAGTGAAGGCAGATGTTTGCAGAGAGGAGTCAACATTGAGAAAGTTTTTTAGAATCACATAAAAATATTATTAATAAAATATAACCTTTCTTAAGAAATAAAAAGCCCACAGCGGATCTTTCAGGCTTCAGTGAGGGCTGTTTATTTCAAAGGGTATTTTTCACAGTTGTTTCCATCCCAGTGATTCTAAAATGATACTTATTTAAAGTTATGGTGACTCAACGACATTTCTTTGGTTGTTTTGTTGTTTGAAGATTATTAGAAAATGGCAACATCTTAGCGTATTAGGTTCAATTTTAGTCAGTGGTATATTTTCATAATCCCATTTTTATAAGTATCAAAACATGTTGTAGATATTTAGATTGATATCAGACAGTGGCTTTGTTCAAGTTGGATGAGCCAAACAGGACTTGCACATTTTAAGGTGTCGGTTTTGATTTTTACCTTGTAAGTCTCTTTGTCTTTGGCTTCTGCCCATGAATTTCTGCTTAGCCAGAAAACATTGTGTGTTTGGTATTTTGTTGTTGTTTGGTTTTACTTTGTGTTATTGGCTATAGTTAAGGCAAACCTAGATGTTCATATTTATTCAATGTATAACCTTGTTTTGGGGTAAATTCTTTGGCTGAATCACTCCACACCAAATGCACAAACCTGTATATATCCACCCTGAAGCATGTCTCTACTTTAGGGTGATACAATCTTGACCTGTAACAAGTCTTTCTTTCCACTCGTGACATCAAGGTTATGAGTCCTACAATCACTTTAGTTGATGGAGTTCTCCACAATGTGTTGCAGGGCCTGGTGGTTAGGACTATGTTCCTATATTAGCCTCTCTGCGTGGCATGCTTACTAAAATGTGCACCAGTGGCTCTGACCTCTTTGATCACATGACGAAAGGGAAGGGGAGAGAGAGGGAAGGCTCTGTGATTATCTGATTCCCATGGAAGTTTTCCTTGTTTTGTTGCTGGAGCACTACAAGGCAAATGCTACTCACTTCTTTCAAGAAATCCCAGCTGCAGAGGAGTTGCTGACCACAACAGGGGCTGTTGCCAAAACACTCTACTGGAGTGCTGCTGTGGCCTAGAAATAGCTGCAAATAATGAGAAGTTCTCAGAAAAAAAAAGAAAAAAGAAAAACAAAAGCTCATGGAAAGATTTTAAGATAAAAGGAGTCTTATCTGTGGTTATGTATATACAAACACAGTTTGTGGGTTTGGAGACCAAGGCCATACTTTGGTTCATACTGTTCAGGCTCCTTTGTTCTAGCTGGATTAGGAAAACTTTTTCTCTTGGCTTAGATGACATCAGGTCTTAATTGGTGGCTCTGTAGTATTTTATTTTTAAAATGTACGAACTATAAAAAGGTAAGCTGCACTTAATAATTTGGTTACCGTATTAGTCCATTCTCACATTGCTATAAAGAACTACCTGATATTAGGTAATTTACAAAGAAAAGAGGTTTAATTGGTGAACAGTTCCACAGGCTGTACAGGAAGCGTGGCTGGGGAGGCCTCAGGAAACTAACAATCATGGCAGAAGGCAAAGTGGAAGCCAGCATGTCCTACATGGCTGGAGCAGGAGGAATAGAGAGAAAAGGGAAGTGCTACACATTTTGCAACAACCAGATCTCAGGAGAACTCACTCACTATCAGGGGAACAACAAGGGGAAAGTCCATCCCTGTGATCCAATCACCTCCCACCAGGTCCCCACTCCGACACTGGGGATTATTATTTCCCACAAGATTTGGGAGGGGACAGAATTAAAAACCATATCAGTTACTTTTTATAGAGAAGGTAAACTTTGATATCATAGCTGTGGTTAGAATATACAGGTTGTTCAGTTGTTTTGCTCTAATCCATGATGTTATATCTCTGTGTTGCTGAAAAAATTTCTTCAGATCTTGACATGTAACAAGTCTTTCTTTCCACTTGTGACATCAAGGTTATGTTTTCAGTTTACTTTGACTCTAAACATGTCATTAATCCCAGCCTGTAAATGGAATATGGAATAGGGAAGAAAAAAGTATTTAACTGGGTGCATCACTATTATTTCTCCAAGCTGTAGGCATGACCTTGGGATGATGACACCCAAGAAGAAGAGGATGAAAAGCTTCCTCCATAAAATGTGCAATAATAGAAGTTTTTGGTGAATGGGTACTTGGGGCTTTTAGGAAATCGATAAATAATGTCCTTTTTTTTTCTCCTGAGTTTGGAAAAATAAGACAGAAGCCAAACAAGTGAAGAATAAAAAATTACTTTCATTATTCATAAAGATTGAATCAGAGAATACAATTTAATATGTAGCAAAGTGGACATCTAATATTTTCTGTACTTTCCGTAATGGATTCAGTCTAGCACTCAGAACTCTAGGCATTCCTCTTGCAGGAATCGGGGCAATCCACATGGTTGAGAGCAGGACACAGCGCCCTCTCTGTACACATAGCCATCCCTATAAGAGATCAAAGCCCACAAGGCCTTCCTTAAAACTCACATCACATCAACTCATTCTTCCACAAGGAAGTATGGAAAAGATTGGGAACAGAGGCCAGAGGAAAGCACAGAAAGTCCGTTATGGAAATATGAGGCAAGGGAAGTTGAGACCCTTTAAACATTCATTAGCAGCATAAAGATAGAAGTGAATTATAGTTGGTAAAGGGAGAAAAATGTCAGCATCTTAGAAGTTCTAGGAGTGAGGTAGACCATGAACCTACTAGGTAAGGAGGTTAAAAATGGAGGAGGACAGCCAGGTGTAGTGGCTCCCGCTTGTAATCCCAGCACTTTGGGAGGCCAAGGTGGGCGGATCACCTGAGGTCAGGAGTTTGAGACCAGCCTGACCAACATGGAGAAACCCCATCTCTACTAAAAATACAAAATTAGCCTGGTGTGGTGGCGCATGACTGTAATCTCAGCTACTTGGGAGGCTTAGGCAAGAGAATCACTTGAACCTGGGAGGCGGAGGTTGCGGTGAGCCAAGATCGCACCATTGCACTCCAGTTTGGGCAACAAGAGTGAAAATCTGTCTCAGAAAAAAAAAAAAAAAAAGAGGAGGAGGACAACAGAAGGTGGTGAATAAAGGCCAGTTTTTAGAGCCACCTTTGCTGATTCAGATGGGCAAGTAGAAGGCTGAACCGATTGATGGATTTAAGGGGCTAAGAGTACAGAAGTTGGAGTCCAAGTTCTGTTGAGGAGCAAATCCAGGTGGCCCTTGCTTTTTTCAGGTTTGAAACTCTTGAAGGGCTGCACCCTAGGAGAAAGGATTAACTAAAAGTTAACAGATTCTCACAGAAACTGCAGCTTATTTTGGAATTCTCTTAATTCCTATACTTAAATTGAGATGATTTTAATTTGCACATGCTCACAGGCGTGTGGCAGAAATAAACAAAAATACTCCCTAATGGATGATAACACCATATTAGTTCTGAGTTTACTTTCACAAACAATATTACAAATACAATTTCTGGCTGATAATAAAACATTCATACATACTAAGAGACAAGATAACATGAATGGGAACAAATTGAAACACTGAACAATATAAATAGATCTTCAGGTTTCCAGATATTGGTGTTATCAGATACAGACCTTAGCATAACTATGCTTTCTATTGCTCAAGGGAAAAAGAGACAATATGCAGAATTATGTCAAAAGTAAAAAATAAAACTTTACAAGGAAACAATAGTGAAGTTTTAAATTTTAAAAATACAGTAATCCAAATTAGGAACTCAATAGATGAGTTTAATAGCAGATTAGATGCACCTACAGAAAGAATTAGTAAAATGAAGTACAGGTCAGGAGAAAATATTCGGAATGAATAGAGAGACTAAACGAATGGAATATAGAGAAAAGAGAATAACAGAGTACACAATGAGAATGTGAAATATTTGTAATGGAAATCTTAGAAGAAAAGGAGTGAGAAAACAGGGGAAAATAAATATTTAAAAGAGAGTGGCTAAGAATTTTCAAAAACCTGATGAAAGACACAAAGCCTCATCCACAAACCCTGAAAACCCAATCACCATAAATAAATAGAAGGCATATCTAGATAAGTAATTATAAAATTATTGAATAAAAAGGCATAGAAAAGTAAATTCTCTAGGGCAGGATTGTTGTTATTGTTAGTGCTAAAAAGACAAAGTAAATGTAAAGGAACAACAATAAGGCTGAGAGCTGATCTACTTAACATAAACAATGCAGCCAAGAGGAATTATACCTTTAAAGTGTTGAAAGAAAATAACTGCCAACCCATAAACTGATACCTAGTGGGAATAATGCTTAAAAAAAGAAGGTAAAGTGAAAACATTAAGGTGCTTCTTCATCAGCAGGCCCACAATGAAATAAATATTAATGAGTATACTTTAAGCAGAAGAAAAATGACTATATCTGGAAGTTCAGAGGTGCTTCCAAGAGCAACAAAAATGGCAAATATATCATTCAATAAATTAATACTCTCTACACAAAATAAAGTCTGTCATTTAATATTTATACATGACAGATTTAAAAATAAATGAAACCATGTCATATGATATGGTTAGGTTTTGTGTTCCCACCCAAAGCTTTTTTTGAATTGTAATCCCCAGTTGTTGAGGGAGAGACCTGGTGGGAGGCGACTGGATCATGAGGGCAGTTTCCCCCATGCTGTTATTGTGATAGTGAGGGAGTTTTCATGAGATCTGATGGTTTTATAAATGGCAGTTCCCCTGGGTTTTTCTCTTTGTTTCTCCGGCTGCCTTGTGAAGAGGTGCCTGCTTCCCCTTTTGCCTTTCATCATGATTGTAAGTTTCCTGAGGTCTCCCCAGCCTGCAGAACTGTGAGTCAATTAAACCTCTTTTGTTTATAAATTACCCAGACTCGGGTAGTGTCTTTATACCAGTGTAAGAATGGAATAATACAACATCTAAGTTGGGAGAATCAAATAGAAATAATATACATTAAGATTTTTACAGATGCAGAAAAGGCCTTTGACAAAGTTTAACAGCCCTGCATGCTAAAAACTCTCAATAAACAAGATATTGCTGGAACACATCTCAAAATAATAAGAGCTATTTATGACAAACCCACAGCCAATATCATACTGAATGGGCAAAAACTGGAAGCATTCCCTTTGAAAACGAGCACAAGACAAGGATACCCTCTCTCACCACTCCTATTCAACATAGTATTGGAAATTCTGGCCAGGGCAATCAGTCAAGAGAAAGAAATAAGGGATATTCAAATAGGAAGAGAGGAAGTCAAATTGTCCCGGTTTGCAGATGACATGATTGTATAGTTAGAAAACCCCATCATCTCAGCCCAAAATCTCCTTAAGCTGATAAGCAACTTCAGCAAAGTCTTAGGATACAAAATCAATATGCAAACATCACAAGCATTCCTATACACCAATAATAAATGGAGAGCCAAATCATGAGTGAACTCCCATTAACAATTGCTACAAAGAAAATAAAATACCTAGGAATCCAACTTACAAGGGATGTGAAGGACCTCTTCGAGGAGAACTACAAACCACTGCTCAAGGAAATAAGAGAGGACACAAATGGAAAAACATTCCATGCTCATGGATAGAAAGAATTAATACCGTGAAAATGGCCATACTGCTCAAAGTAATTTATAAATTCAATGCTATCCCTATCGAGCTACCACTGAGTTTCTTCACAGAATTGGAAAAAACTACTTTAAATTTCATTTGGAACCAAAGAAGAGCCCACACAGCCAAGACAATCCTAAGCAAAAAGAACAAAGCTGGAGGCATCATGCTACCTGACTTCAAACCATACTACAAGGCTGCAGTAACCAAAACAGGGTACTGCTACCAAAACAGATATA
Source organism: Homo sapiens (assembly GCF_000001405.40). Taxonomy (NCBI): domain Eukaryota; kingdom Metazoa; phylum Chordata; class Mammalia; order Primates; family Hominidae; genus Homo; species Homo sapiens. The sequence goes on from NC_000002.12 coordinate 149,865,443, forward strand.
TAGTCCAATGGAACAGAACACAGGCCTTAGAAATAACGCCATACATCTACAACCATCTGATCTTCAACAAACCTGACAAAAACAAGCAATGGAGAAAGGATTCCCTATTTAATAAGTGGTGCTGGGAAAACTGGCTAGTCATATGCAGAAAACTGAAACTGGACCCCTTTCTTACACCTTATACAAAAATTAACTGAAGATGGATTAAATACTTAAACATAAAACCTAAAACCATAAAAATCCTAGAAGCAAACCTCGGCAATACCATTCAGGACCTAGGCATGGGCAAAGACTTCATGACTAAGACACCATGAGCAATGGCAACAAAAGCCGAAAATGACAAACGGGATCTGATTAAACTAAAGAGCTTCTGCAGAGCAAAAGAAACTATCATCAGAGTGAACAGGCAACCTACAGAATGGGAGAAAATCTTTGCAATCTATCGGTCTTAAAAAGGGCTAACATCCAGAATCTACAAACAACTTAAACAAATTTACAAGAAAAAACCAACCCCATCAAAAAGTGGGCGAAGGATATGAATAGACACTTCTCAAAAGAAGACATTCATGTAGCCAACAAACATATGAAAAAAACCTCATCAACACTGGTCATTAGAGAAATGCAAATCAAAACCACAATGAGATACCATCTCATGCCAGTTAGCCACAATGAGATACCATCTCATGCCAGTTAGAATGGTGATTATTAGAAAGTCAGGAAACAACAGATGCTGGAGAGCATGCGGAGAAATAGGAATGCTTTTACACTGTTGGCGGGAGTGTAAATTAGTTCAACCATTATGGAAGTGTGGTGATTCCTCAAGGATCTAGAACTAGAAATATAATTTGACCCAGCATTCTCATTACTGGGTATATGCCAAAGGATTATAAATCATTCTACTATAAACACACATGCACACATATATTTATTGCAGCACTGTTCACAATAGTAAAGACTTGGAACCAACCCAAATGCCCATCAATGATACACTGGATTAAGAAAATGTGGCACATATAAAGCATGGAATACTATCCAGCCATAAAAAAGGATGAGTTCATGTCCTTTGCAGGGACATGGATGAAGCTGGAAACCGTCATTCTCAGCAAACTAACACAGGAAAAGAAAACCAAACACCGCATGTTCTCACTCATAAGTGGGAGTGGAACAATGAGAACACATGGACACAGGGATGGGAACATACACATCGAGGCCTGTTGGGGGTTGGGGAGGAATAGCTTTAGGAGAAATACCTAATGTAGATGATGGGTTGATGAGTGCAGCAAACCACCATGGCATGTGTATACCTATGTAACAAAACTGCACGTTCTGCACATGTACCCCAGAACTTAAAGTATAATTAAAAAAAGATTTTTACATTGACTAGGACATAAGTCAAAGTAACCAGTGAATTTAGCCTTTCTTAAGCTCTAGGGTAAGCACTAAAAGAAGAGTAAAGTAGCACCTGACTTTCAACCTAATGAAGGAGGTAAGAAAGTAGTACAAAATAATATAAAAAGAAGAAAAAAAAACCCAAATCCAAACAGAACAATAATAGAACATGTGGTATAAATAGTAAGAAATGAATAATATAGTAGATTTAAATTTTACCTGGAAAGGTAAAGTTGAATAGTTAAAACACTTCTCAGAAAGAGAAAAGTGGGAAGTATCATTCTACTCAGTTTGAAGAATTATTAGATAGCTGTAGGTAACAAGACTGTGTAGCATTTGCAAAAGGATAGACATGGGTCAATGGCACAGAATAGAGAACCCATAAACAGCTCCACACAAGTACAGCCAACTGATTTTTGATAAAAGTGCAAAAGCAATTTAAAGGATGAAGGATAATTTTGTCAATAAATGTTAATGGAAAAATTGGATATCCATAGCTGTCTCCCCTCCCTGCTAACCTCCACAACCCTGCCTCCACAAAAGGAATCTAAACCTCAGGAAAAATTAACTCAAAATGGATCATAACTTTAAGTGTAAAACTATAAAGCTTATAGAAGATACCATAGGATAAGCTCTTCAGGACTTATGTCTTGGTGACAAGTTCTTAGACATGACATCAAATGCAAGATCTATAAAAGAAAAGTATTCATAAATTGTTCTTCATCAAAATTAAAAACTTCTGCTGTGCAAAAGACTATGGTGAGGAAGATGAAAGGACAGGGACAGACTAGGAGAAAATATATGCAAATCACATATGTGTGGAATTGTCCAGACTCAACATTATGGCAATAAACAATCCAATTAGAAAATGAGCAAAATATATAAAGGGATATTTCACCATAGAGGATACAAAAGTGTCAAATAAGTACATGAATAGATGTTCAACATGACTAGCCATTAGGGAAATGAACATTAAGAGCAAATGGTACATTACTGTACACCTATTAGTATTGCTAAAATAAAAAATAGTAGTAAAATGCTAATAACGTCATTTTTAAAACGGGCTAAAAGCTGAAATGGAAATTTCTCCAAAAAAGACATACTGGCTGGGCATGGTGGCTTATGACTGTAATCCCACCACTTTGGGAGGCCAAGGTGGGCAGATCACAAGGTCAGGAGTTGGAGACCAGCCTGGCCAATATGGCAAAACCCTATCTCTACTAAAAATACAAAAATTAGCTGGGTGTGGTGGCACGTGCCTGTATTTCCAGCTACTCTTGAGACTGAGGCAGGAGAATCTCTTGAATCCAGAGGCAGAGGTTGCAGTGAACCGAGATTGCGCCACTGCACTCCAGCCTGGGCAACAGAGTGGGACTTCTTCTAAAAAAAAAAAAAAGACATACTAATGGCCATCCAATACATAAAAAGATGCTCAACATCACTAATCATCAGGGAAATGCAAATCAAAACTAAAAGTAGATAGCACTTCATACCTGTTAGGATGACCATTATCAAAAAAAAATATGGTGAGAATGTGGAGAAATTGGAACACTTGTACACTTTTGCTGGAAATGCAAAATAGTGAGGCACTATGGAAAACAGTATGGAAGTTCCTCAAAGTGTTAAATATAGTGCTACCATATGATCCAGGAATCCAGTTCTGGGTATTTATCTGAAAGAATGAAATCAAAATTTCAAAGAGATGTTAGCACTCCAATGTTCATTGAAGCATTATTCAAAATAGCCAAGATTAGAAACCACCTAAATATTCATCGATGGATGAATGGCTAAAGAAAAATGTGATATATACATACAATGGAATAATATTCAGCCTTAAAATAGAAAGAAATCCTCCAATGTGACAATATAAATGAACCTTGATGACATTTTGCTAAACATAATAAGCCAGTCACAGAAGGACAACTACTGGATAATTCTACTTATATGAGATACCTAAAATAATAGTGCGTAGAAAGATGATTACCAAGGCCTGGGGGAAGAGAAAAGTGTGAAATTTCTAATCAATGGGCATAAAGCTTTAATTATGAAACCTAAATAATTTCTGGAGATTGATTGTACAACATTATAGAAAACAACACCATATTGTCCACTTAAAAAATGTGTTAAGAGGGTAGAGCTTACATTAAATGTTCTTGCCACAGTGAAACAAAAACTTTAAAAATAGTAACAATATCAAATGTTGGCTAGTATACAGAGAAATAAAATGTCTTACATATGGAAATGTAATCTGGTAAAGCCACTCTGAAAAACAGTTTGGCAGTTTGTAAAAAAATTAAGCATACATTTACTATTCAAACCAGCAATTGCATTGTTGGGCATTTATCCCAGATAAATGAAAATATACGTCCACAAACTACTACACGATTGTTCATAGCAATTTTGTTTGTAATACCCCAAACTGAAAACAACAAAAATGCTGATAGAAGAAAACCAATCTTAGAAGATTGTATACTGTGTAATTTCACTTCAATCTCAGAATGACAAAATTACAAACATGGAAAACAGATTAGTGGTTGTCACAGGTTAGGGATGGCGGGGTGAGGGAATGGGTGGGATTATGAAGGGGTAGCATGAGGGAAATCTTTGTGATGATGGAATAGTTTTGTGTTTTGATTGTAGCAGTGGTTACACAAATATACACATGTGCGGAAGTTACATACTATGCACACACATTGTGCCAATGTCAAATCTTTGGTTTTGGTATGAGACTAAAATTATATAACACATGAACTGAGTGAAGAGTATAGGAGCTTTTTCTGTACTATCTTTATATTTTTCTGTGAATTATTGTTATTTTAAAATATAAACATTTTCCACAAATTTATTAGTAATTACATTAAATATAAATGGATTAAATGCTCCAATTATAAGACAAAGATTACCAGATTAGATTTTTGTTTTTAAAAGACAAATTCTGTTTATAAGAGATTTTTTAAAGCATTAGGATACAGGAAGTTTGAATAAAAAATGATAGAATTGGTAACCAATGAAAGGTGTTATAAAAATATTAATATCAAACAAAGTAGATTGAAGCCAATACTGTTATGAACTATCACATGGTTTGGGAGGTCTGTTTTTTGAGTATTTGCTTAGTGTAGTAGTATCACCCAAATCAGAATATCACTACAACTGAGATAAACACAAAATAAAAATTTATACCTCAATAATGATGGAATAGAACCATTGCATTCTCACACACACATGCACACACACACACACACACTATGTTGCAAAAATTTACTTTAACATCAACTTAATTTAAATAACTTTTAAAAAATGGTAGTACATTTTTGTAGTTCATCTCATGACTATTGCAGGCACTCTCACCAAGTTATTATATACACTTGGTGTGGTTTTGTTTTGTTATCTGATTCTGTTCCCATCTGCCCTATGGACTGAGTGTGCAGTCTTCACCTTTCAGGAATAGTATATATCTTATTGTTCTAAGGTTGCCTATTTATTCTCTTATTTTATTAGTAACCATGTCTAGATTTCATAAATATCTCAATTGATTTTGTACATCACTCTCCCAGCATCATAAAACTCCTCAGAAAACAGGCAGTATTATTAAAACACAGAAAGTAAATGGATCTGTTTGGGAAGAAGAATATACAGTGGGTGGCTAGAGAAGGGAATACAGAGAGTCTTTATAACCACGTGTAGAAATAGAAATAGCCATTTTGCATGTTAAAATCAGCTTATTCCATTTCAATCTCTCCCATGGATAACATTTTTCTCTTGCTGAGAAACTCTTCAATAATGATCCATCATGAGGAAAGCTTATTTGAAAATGGAAGCACAAAACGTTCCTCTGAGATTTAGATACCATTTAAATGTATTTTTATGCCTACACAGTTTGAATGCTAATAGCTGCCTGCCCAACTCAAAGGCAAAGTGTTTACTCCTATTATTAAGAAATTTAAGATAATGATTAATCAGACCATTTTATATTCATTTATATTTCATAAGACAATACTCATACACATTTTTATGTTTGACTTTCACAGTTCTCTGAATTTTTCATAGCAATAATCTTTACTCCCATTTCCACAAAAGGAAACTGAGGCTCAGGAAGGCTGCGTGGCTTACCCAAAAGCACACAACTATTCTACAGCAAAGACTGGTCTCAAACCTAGCCTTCATCATTTCTTCAAAGTGCTGCTTTTACCCTGGCATGCTGCCTTCCTTTCTTTACTGATGGCACTGCAGTGGCCTTTGCCCTGGTGAAAGGGATATCTCAGGAAAAGTATACATACCCACTCCTTGGCACCTTCCTTATTCTGTGCTCATGCCTCAGGCGTCCCTTTCCCTGGAGTCCCACTAACACATGGGGGCCAGGCTGCTGTAGTCGGCCTGCTGCGAATTTGTCTTTCCTCAGCAAATTTATATGGTTGTTTCTGCAACAGTATGTAGTCCCATGGCAAATTCATGGCAGGCTGATTGCTGGTTTTCATTGCCTCCCAATGTCTGTTGAAGCCAAAGAGATTAAATAGAATCCAAATCAGGCTAAGTGCAGTGCCAACCACAGCCCACATGAAAAGCCTCAACTTTGAAAATAAGATTGGCAGCATTATCAGCATTGAATATTCTGATAAAATTTTACTGATAAATGACAACTAAAGACTGCTAAAGAATATAAATGAAAACAAAGTGTTGGTTTTATTCTCTTAATTTTATAAAGGCATTTTTCATTTGGATTCACATTATAGTCTAATTATTGATTTCATCACCGCAAATGAAAAACAGAAAGACTGCAGGAAGGCAAGAGCCAACAAAAATATACCAAAAAGTAGGGAGAGAGTAGAAGGAATGTAGGGAAATTGTATACAAGGGGCTTAAAGAACAGCCACCTTAGGAAGAGCTTTCTGGAACTAGGAAAGATGGAGCCTACAGCCACTTGCATTTCAAAAGCTCCCTTGGATTCAAAGCCCAGTGCCTGTCTTGAAGTAAGCTTGAGGGCTTCACAATGACCTGGTGGTAGGCTGAGCAATTTCTGGCTGATTGGATTCATCTAGCATGGCGACGTGGTCTTATGCACACAAAAACATTTAAAATCATTTTTACTCTAATTTATGCATTAAAAATAAACTGCCTTAGAAGTCTTTGCTTTTTTGATGACTTTTGGAGTGCCTGCTGTTTTAACCACACCACAGCAGAATCTGCTGTGTTATACAAAATTGGACTTTGATATAGTTAGGACGTAGACAAAGTCAACCTGAGAACTCCAAAGAAGATAATCAGAAAAAAAATTTAAGATAGTAGGGAACAAGGTTTAATAAAAGAGGCTGGGATTTTTTTTAAAGGATATTGGAAAAGAAGGAAGATTTTGTTGTGGGAGTATGATGAAGAGTGGGTTAGACTAACCACTAAACTGGCCACTGCCCAGATCCCTTTGCTTAAGCTGTGTTTTCCAAGCTTCAGTCATTCTCACATGTTCTTGATTGTTCCCATATCAGCCTACAACTGTTCAATTTTTAAAATTTTGTTTTAAGCTATGTTTCGTTTTAAACATTTTTTATGTGACACACCATAAATGGAATACCAACAGCACTTGTCATAAATAGAAATAAATGTAAAAGGAAATATAATACAATCAATTTCATTGAATTCTAGCAGTAAATGATTTTGTTTACCCAAAGTTCTAAGCTTGAAGCCTTATTTTTTATTGTTGGAAAGGGAGATTAACAAGTATAGGGAGAGTTTTAAAGTTATGTCATAACAAAACTGGTTCTATCCGATAGTTGAAAGGAAAATTGTAAATTTATGAATATTCTTATTTTGTGAATTAATGCTAATAAATACTATGGTTACTATTTGATTTATTTAGCTGCAAGCAATAAAAACCAATATTAGGAGGAAATGAAGTAGGTGACAGGAACTGATCACTGTAAGTCATTTCCAAGGGTAATTACGTGGTGAACCAGCTTCACTCCCCAGCCCTCCTCACACAGTTTGGAGCTCTCTGGTGGAGACTGAAAGATTCAGAGTAGGAAGCCTAATGGGCTTAGAGCATGTGTCCATTCCTTGAGTGGTGACAGAAGGGTGCTTGAGTTACAGTTCCACAAGAATGTGTGCAATGGGGGAGAGGTCATTTCTCCAAAGGAAATTCTAACTCTGGTACCACCAGAAAGGGAAATGAATGTTGCATAATCAAAAAAATGATAAATGCTTGCTGCCTGTGTTCGACACCCTAGTTGGACACCATCAGTGGTTTACCACCACCCCAACTTCAAGCTCTGGGGGCCACTGTGCAGAGAAGATTACTGTCCTAAGAAACTGTGAACACATGTTTTAGCTCCCAGGAGCCACAGGAATATCTGATACAGGGTGAGACTAGCCTGAAATTTATAAATTAAAAACAATTTCTGGTTTATGTCTTAATCTCCAATGAGACATTTATTAAAAATGAGCCTTAGGGCTCTGGCTAGCATTGACCAATGAGCACAATTTTGACAAAATTGTTGGGGGAAAAGTTGAAGAGGTTCAAGGTCAGATTCTGAGTTGAGAGGAGACATATTACCCAGAGGAACCTGGAAAAAGGCCAGGATCACTAAAGGGTAGCATGTAAGGGAGGGCATCTGTGATAACCACTGTTGGGAGCAGGAGACAAAACAGTCTGGGCACTATAAACCAGATGGAAGGTTTTTAAAGTAATCCTAAGGACAATGAAAGCAGGTTAATGACATAATAAAAATAATCAAGTTCATCTTTTTTAAAAAAAGATCATGCCACAGGAGAGGCTTTCAGTAATGGTGGTCAGGGCAAACAATTAATTCATTAATTTTTCTGTTATAGACAGGATTTTCCTCAGTTACCTAGGCTGGAGTGCAGTGACGTGATCATGGCTCATTGCAACCTTGAACTCCCGTGCACAAATGGTCCTCCTGCCTAAGCCTCCCAAGTAGCTGGGGCCACAGGCATGCAGCACCACACCCAGCTAATTTTTTATTTTTTTATTCTTTGTAGAGATGGGGGTCTCACTGTGTTGGTCAGGCTGGTCTTGAATTGCTGAGCTCTAGCAATACTCCTGCCTTGGCTTCCCAAAATGCTGGGATTACAGGCATGGGCCAACCCACCCAGCCTTCAGGGCAGTTTAGACAAATCCTCCCACTGCTCATAAAAGCTGTATAAAAGTAGAAAAATATCTGACTAAAATAATTGGAATTATGACAAGGCTGTAATAAATTAAGGGGCCAACATCTTGGAGAAGGAAAACTCCATAGAAACATCTGATGATTCTGGAAAAACAAAACCACTGTGGAGTTGAGATACTGAGCAAAGATTTCAATAGATTTACAAGGCAAAAATGACCACGAGAATCCTTAAAGCCTAGAGCCTGAGGGAGCACCCTTCCCCCATACTGCAGATGAAACATACATAAAGCTTGAGACTGATTCTTTCACTTAGCATATTGTTTTCAGCTTTTATCCTTGAAATGTATTAGTGCTTCATTTTTATTGCTGGATAATATTTTCTTGCACAGATAAATGACATTTAATTTATCCATTCATAAATCGATGGACATTTGTTTTCACTTTTTGGCTGTTATGAATAGTGCTTCTATGAACAATCATGTACAAATTTTTGTGTGGACATATTCTTTTATTTCTCTTGGGTATATCCTAGGAATAGAATTGATGGGTCATTGGCAAGTCTATGTTAAACTTTTAGGAACTGCAAGACTGTTTTCCAAAGTGGCTGCACTATTTTACGTTTTCACTGGCAGTATATGAGGGTTCCAATTTCTCTTCATTTTTGCCAACAATTGTTATTTTTCTGTCTTTGTGATTATAGACAAACTAGTGGGTATAATGTGGCATCTCATGGTAGTTTTGATTTGTGTTTTCCTAATGGCTAATGATGCTGAGCATCTTTTCATGTAATTATTGTCTATCTTTTTTGGAGAAATGTTTTTTTCAGAGCTTTTGTCTCCTTTAAAAATTGGGCTGTTTGTCTTTCTATTATTGAATTGTAAAAGTTCTTTATATAGTCTAGATACTAGTCCCTTAGCAACATATGATTTGCAAATATTTTCTTCCATTTTGTGATTATCGTTTCACTTTCTTGATGGTATCCTTTGAAGCACAAAAGTCTTCACTTTGCTGAAGGCCAATTTATCAATAATTCATTATTGCTTGTGCTTTGGGTGCCACAAGCAAGGAGGCTTTGCCTAACCCAAGGTCACAAAAATTTACTCATATTTTCTATGTGTTTTTTTAACTTTTACATTGAGGTTTATGATTTATTTTAAGTTAATTTTTGTGTATAACCTAGGAAAGGGGAAGCTGATTATTTACACTACTATTTGGATCTAGAATGTTTTAAGAGATAGGGAAAATTGCAATGTGTGTGATAACAATTTACATTAAAAATTAAAATATTTTGTAATGTTTTCCAATTATAATATCTATTAAATATAACTCCATTATAATGCTTGAATGTTATATATAAAATCCTCAGATAAATTTGACGATTGTTCTATTTGCCAAAATCTTAGTAGAGCAAAATTTCTCCAAATTGAAATTAAAATCATCTAAGACCCATAATGTTTCATGAAAAACCTTTAAGTTTCTAAATAGACAACTAATTTTGTAAAATTTTTAATTATATTATTATAATAATTATTTTGCTGAAAAGAAGGCAAACATTTATTTTTCTGAAAAAATGTATCACACTTATAAATCAGGGATGAATTAATTTTATTTCTATTCCAAAAATTGTTGGTCCAAACAGAATGTCCAGGTCATGTGCAATAATAAACTTAGGCATCTTTGTATTTTGCTAAATTTCAGTCATATAAAAACCATGGTTTATGGTTTTATAAATATTTTTAAATATCCTTTAGAAGATATAATTTTCAAGTCAGTTGCTATATGTTAGTCAATAGGTAAACAGCTATTTATGATGCATAAATTTTTAATCTGTAGCACCCTCAAATGCTTGGAGTAGAACTATAGAAATAGAACAGCAAATTCAATGCAAATAAAGTAAAATGTGGAAAAGAATGGGAAAAGACACAAATTACCAAAATAGAAAACAGGCATACAATTGAGAGAATCAAGAAAGCAAATGAATAAGAAAGTCTGTAACAGGACAAGGAGTAAGAATATTGGGCAGACACACAGAACATAGATATATGATTGATAATGCCATCAGTAATAAGGAAATGCAAATTAAAACTACAGTAAATAATGTCCAACTTGCCAATGGATACACAGATGGTAGTACATTCCTGCAATGAAATATAATTTAGTAATAAAAAGGAACAAACTACCAATACATACAACAACATGGACGAATTCCAAAAGCATCATGCTGGGTGAAATAAGACAGAAACAAATGACTATGTACAGTACGATTCCATCTCCATAAAATTCTAGAAAGGGCAAAATTGTAGTGACAGCAGATCAATGGTTTTCTGGGTCTGTAGGTTGGGGAGAGGACTGACTACAAAGGAACATGAGAAAACATTCTGGGGTGTTGGAAATGTTCTATGTCTTTTGTGAGGTGGTGGTTACATGACCACTTATTTTTGTTAAAAGTCATTGAATTTATACCATGAAAAATTATAAGAAATGGAAATCAATGAATCGCTGCACTAGCATGGATGAACTTTTAAAGTATGATGTTGAGAAATAATAATAATAAAAGAGTGCATATGATCAAGTTATACAAACAGGCAAATCTAAACGGTAGTGTTCTGAGTCAGGAGAGTGTGATCTCCCTTAAGCAGAAGAGAGGAAATAATGATTGCAAGAGGCCACAACTGGGTGAGGGGTTTGTGGCGAGCTAGCAGTGCTCTGGTTCCTCACCTAGCTGGTGGGTACCTATGTGAGTTATCAAACTTTGTATTTATGTTTGGGGTCACTTTTCTGATGATATATGACCTGAGTCTGGCTTGGGGAGGTGTGGGAAACAGGAGTGTGATAAATGTGTTGCTTTATTTTATTTATTTTTTAGATGAAAGATATTTGAGAAATATTACTTTTCTATAGGACTGATTTCATAGGAAGAGAAGCAATAATTAATTACTAGCTCAAAACTCCTGAAAAGGAGGGAGGACTTAGGATCCTGTTAGAAGAATTGGTTATAAACTAATTGAAGGGAGGAGGAGAGAATGTGGTGCACATGTAGGTTTGCAGGTGGAAAGTGAGTTATGGACTGAATTATGACCCTGATATAGTTTGGCTGTGTCCCCACCCAAATCTCATCTTGAATTGTAATCCCCACAATCCCCACATGTCGAGGGAGGAATCCAGTGGGAGGTGATAGGTCATGGGGGCAGTTTCCCCATGCTGTTTTCCTGATAGTGAGTTCTCAGGAGATCTGATGGTTTTATAAGTGTTTGACAGTTCCTCCTTCACATGCTCACACCCTCTCTTGACTGCCCCAATGTAAGATGAACCTGCTTCCCTTTCTGCAACGATTAAGTTTCCTGAGGCCTCTCCAGCCATGTGGAACCGTGAGTCAATTAAACCTGTTTTCTTTATAAATGACCCAGTCCCAGGTATATCTTTATAGCAGTGTGAAAACAGACTAATACAGAACCTCCCCAACCCAGAACTGTGTATGCTGAAGTCTTTACTCTCAGTATCATAAAATGTCACTGTATTTGGAGATAAAAAGTAATTAAGGTAAAATGAAGTCATATGGTTGGGCCCTAATGCTAACTGATATCCTTGTAAGAAGAGAAGATTAGGACATGGACACACACAGAGGAACACCAGAAGAAGAAACAGGGAGAAGGCAGCCATCTGCAAGAAAAGGAGAAAGGTCTCAGAAGAAACTAAACATGTGAACACCTTGATCTCAAACTTCTAGCCTCCACAACTGTGAGAAAATAAATTCCTATTGTCTAAGCCAGCCAGTCTGTGATACTTTGTAATGATAGCCCAGAAAACTAATACAGATGGCGTCTATTATCTTTAGATTGGAAACAAAGTTCCTTCTTGGGAGGAAGAAGGGAAATTAGCAGATTTACAATTTAATAAACATTGAGAAATTTTAACTATTAATTTAAGAAAGTGGAAGGTCAGACTGAGATGTAATTGTCTGAAGCATTGCTTCTCTATGTTGTGGGGCCCAGAAGAGCATGGTGAATTGAACTCATCCTTATGAGAAGAACTTCTGTTCTGAACTCAGACCACAGCAGTTTGTAGTTTGGCCTCTTTGACAACTCACAATGGCTGAATTCCAGGTCTGAAGACAAACATGAATGACACATGAAATTGCTGTTGCTTTAAATAAGTAGCCACAACTGGCTCTGAGAGTAGGTCACAGAGGTGGAGTCACAAATGAGATCTGCACCTGGTATGCGGAAGGAGACTAAAAAGAGGGACATTTGCCAGTAATCACAGAAATCAGGACAATGGGGTATTCATCTTAAGACACAACAGTACATAAAATTAGAGGAAACATCCACATATCTCAGTTTTTTGTCTAAGTCATAGGATTCAAAAACAAAGAGCCATAAAAGTATGTGAGTATCAAAAATGGTTGGGTGTACATCTTATTTTGCTAAATGCTGATTTCAAATCTAAAATGCAAATTAATGAGACAGTGTGAATGAATCGACATGAATTCATTTCTACTTTTTGAAATTAACTCCAAGTATTTGTCATAGAGAGGATTGCTCAGTAGTAGTAGTTACTTGTGTGTAACCATTAAATATTGTTATTTAATAGCATTTAGGCTAACCTTGTACATTGTAGGAATAGTTGCTTTAAGGATAATTACAGTACGTTGTCAAAATAAAGTGACACACAACTCAAGTTAGGCGTAAATAAGAGAGGTGGAAGTTTGACATACTCCCTTAAAAATGAACAGAAACAAGCCAAAATTGTAAACATCTTGGAATTGAAACATATTATTCTGTATTTTGCTTAATTTTTTTAAAAGCATGTGTATATTTTCTTGATGAATATCAAGAGAAACAAAGTTAAAAATAGGTACTCAGAAGAACAGTAGGCCTTTTCTGCATCTGTTGAGATAATCTTATGCTTTTTGTCGTTGGTTCTGTTTATATGCTGGATTACGTTGATTGATTTGCATATGTTGAACCAGCCTTGCATCCCAGGGATGAAGCCCACTTTATCATGGTAGATGAGCTTCTTGATGTGCTGCTGGAATCGGTGGTTTGCCACTATTTTACTGAGGATTTTTGCATTGATGTTCATCAGGGATATTGGTCTAAAATTCTCTTTTTTTGTTGTTGTGTCTCTGCCAGGCTTTGGGATCAGGATGGTGCTGGTCTCATAAAATGAGTTAGGGAGGATTCCCTCTTTTTCTATTGATTGGAATAGTTTCAGAAGGAATGGTACCAGCTCCTCCTTGTACCTCTGGTAGAATTCGGCTGCAAATCCATCTGGTCCTGTACTTTTTTTGGTTGGTAAGCTATTAATTATTGCCTCAATTTCAGAGCCTGTTATTGGTCTATTCAGAGATTCAACTTCTTCCTGATTTAGTCTTGGGAGGGTGTATGTGTTGAGGAATTTATCCATTTCTTCTAGATTTTCTAGTTTATTTGTGTAGAGGTGTTTATAGTATTCTTTGATGGTAGTTTGTATTTCTGTGGGATCAGTGGTGATATCTCCTTTATCATTTTTTATTGCCTCTATTTGATTCTTCTCTCCTTTCTTCCTTTGACAAAATTCAACAACACTTTATGCTAAAAACTCTCAATAAATTAGGTATTGATGGGATGTATCTCAAAATAATAAGAGCTATCTATGACAAACCCACAGCCAATATCATACTGAATGGGCCAAAACTAGAAACATTCCCTTTGAAAACCGGCAGAAGACAGGGCCCTCTCTCACCACTCCTATTCAACATAGTGTTGGAAGTTCTGGCCAGGGCAATCAGCCAGGAGAAGGAAATAAAGGGTATTCAATTAGGAAAAGAGGAAGTCAAATTGTCCCTGTTTGCAGATGACATGATTGTATATCTAGAAAACCCCATTGTCTCAGCCCAAAATCTCCTTAAGCTGATAAGCAACTTCAGCACAGTCTCACGATACAAAATCAATGTGCAAAAATCACAAGCATTCTTATAACCCCAATAAAAGACAAACAGAGAGTTAAATCATGAGTGAACTCCCATTCACAATTGCTTCAAAGAGAATAAAATACCTAGGAATCCAACTTACAAGGGATGTGAAGGACCTCTTCAAGGAGAATTACAAACCACTGCTCAATGAAATAAAAGAGGATGCAAAGAAATGGAAGAACATTCCATGCTCATGGGTAGGAAGAATCAATATCGTGAAAATGGCCATACTGCCCAAGGTAACTTATAGATTCAATGCCATCCCCATCAAGCTACCAATGACTTTCTTCACAGAATTGGAAAAAACTACTTTAAAGTTCATATGGAACCAAAAAAGAGCCTGCATCACCAAGTCAATCCTAAGCCAAAAGAACAAAGCTGGAGGCATCACGCTTCCTGACTTCAAACTATACTGCAAGGCTACAGTAACCAAAACAGCATGGTACTGGTACCAAAACAGAGATATAGACCAATGGAACAGAACAGAGGCCTCAGAAATAATGCCGCATATCTACAACCATCTGATCTTTGACAAACCTGACAAAAACAAGAAATGGGGAAATGATTCCCTATTTAATAAATGGTGCTGGGACAACTGGCTAGCCATATGTAGAAAGCTGAAACTGGATCCCTTCCTTACACCTTATACAAAAATTAATTCGAGATGGATTAAAGACTTAAATGTTAGACCTAAAACCATCAAAACCCTAGAAGAAAACCTAGGCACTACCATTCAGGACATAGGCATGGGCAAGGACTTCATGTCTAAAACACCAAAAGCAATGGCAACAAAAGCCAAAACTGACAAATGGGATCTAATTAAACTAAAGAGCTTCTGCACAGCAAAAGAAACTACCATCAGAGTGAACAGGCAACCTACAGAATGGGAGAACATTTTTGCAATCTACTCATCTGACAAAGGGCTAATATCCAGAATCTACAATGAACAAATTTACAAGAAAAAATCAAACAACCCCATCAAAAAGTGGGCGAGGGATATGAACAGACACTCCTCAAAAGAAGACATTTATGCAGCGAAAAGACACATGAAAAAATGCTCATCATCACTGGCCATCAGAGAAATGCAAATCAAAGCCACAATGAGATACCATCTCACATCAGTTAGAATGGCAATCATTAAAAAGTCAGGAAACAATAGGTGCTGGAGAGGATGTGGAGAAATAGGAACACTTTTACACTGTTGGTGGGACTGTAAACTAGTTCAACCATTGTGGAAGTCAGTGTGGTGATTCCTCAGGGATCTAGAACTAGAAATACCATTTGACTCAGCAGTCCCATTACTGGGTATATACCCAAAGGATTATAAATCATGCTGCTATAAAGACACATGCACACATATGTTTATTGTGGCACTATTCACAATAGCAAAGACTTGGAACCAATCAAAATGTCCAACAATGATAGACTGGATTAAGAAAATGTGGCACATATACACCATGGAATACTATGCAGCCATAAAAATTGATGTGTTCATGTCCTTTGTAGGGACATGGATGAAGCTGGAAACCATCATTCTCAGCAAACTATGGCAAGGACAAAAAAACAAACACTGCATGTTCTCACTCGTAGGTGGGAATTGAACAATGAGAACACATGGACACAGGAAGGGGAACATCACACACTGGGGCCTGTGGTGGGGTGGGGTGGGGGAGGGATAGCATTAGGAGATATACCTAATGTCAAATGACGAGTTAATGGGTGCAGCAGACCAACATGGCACATGTATACATATGTAACTAACCTTCACATTGTGCACATGTACCCTAAAACTTCAAGTATAATAATAATAATAAAAAAAGAACAGTAGGCAAAAATATAAACAGATTTTTTCTTTTTCTTGTCAGCTCTTTATTGTGCTATTGATAGAGAGATAAAAGAAAAAGAAGTTTTGGAGAAATTTAAAACAAAAAATTTACCTTTGGGCTCAGGTGAAGAACAAAGGGTTGTAGACCCACTTAAGAGTCTTGATACCAACTACATATTTAAGGCCAATTATTGAAGTATTATACTCAAAGCCTGTGTACGTAATTAATGATTAACTATACAGTTAAAGGTCTTAGATACCCAGTGAAATCTTGTTAACCGGATTTGTTTTACTTCACCACAATAATGAATGATTGATTTTTAAATTTAAACAATAAAAATGTATAAATGAAAAGTTAATATTCTTAAGTCCCCTTGTTCTACCTTCAGCTAACTAATGTTACAATTTGTATCTTTTTTTATATATTTCAGGTTTATTCAATTATATGCAAATGTGTTTTTTCTCTGTGTGCGTGTGTGCAAAAACAAAAATAATATCCAGCTAAACAGGTTACTCTGCAATTTGCTTTTAGCACTAAAAAATATGGCATGACCATCCAGTCCAACCAATAGATATAGTATAATTATACTCATACTTATCAGTAGATCAGAGTATTGCATACTACTTACATGCACTCTCATTTACTTAAAACATTCTACAACGAATTGACAACTGAAAATAAATTGAGGTTATTTTCAGTTGTTTGCTACTACAAATATTACTATAACACACATCCTTTCATGTATATCCTTACATAATGCTGCTTTTGGTTTTGAGTGTTGATAGAGTCCTATTATTTTCCCAGAAGTCTGTAGGAATCCACACTTCCACCAGCAAAGGATGAGGGTGCCCTCTTCCTTTTAGCATTGCCTGCACTGGAGGTTTTCAGTCTTTCTCAATTTTGTTAATTTGATGGATGAAAAATAGTACCTCATTCTTGAAGGATATAGTGAGAGGTGTGTTCCATATGAATACTGCCTTTAAGTTAAAGCAGGCCTTTGGGACTTTTAGCCTATTCTTTTGTTTATCATCTGCTAAATAAGATCTCAGAGCACCTAACAGAAAAAGTAAATTCATATTTTTTAGTATTTTGGCCACATGCATTCATTATATGATCTAGTCCTCAAACAAAACTCTGTTATAATCTCTATTTTGTAAAGGAAAAATAAAAGATCCACAGAGTCATTAATTTCAAAACATACAGATTTTGGGGGTAGCTGGGATGAAAGTTCAATCCCACTTTGTCTTAACCCAAAAACCATGTTATTTTTTTTCTTTTTTAATTACAAGGCCTATCAGATGGGAATCCTCACTGTGGTCAATATTGCATTTAAGCATCGGATAAAGCCATGTAGGTAGGTAGGTGCATAGGTAGGTATAGATATGATTTATTTTAAGGAATTGGCACACAGTGTGAGGCCTGGGAAATGTGAAAACTGCAGAGCAGGCCACCGCCTGAAAACCCAAGGAAGAGTTAATGTTGAGTCCAAAGTCAGTCTGGAGGCAGGATTCCTCCTTTCTCAGGTGATCTGCCTTTTCCCTTAAGACCCTCAATTGATTGAATGAGGTCTACCTGTATTCTGGAGGGCAATCTACATTGCTTGGAATGTATGAATTTAAATACTAATCACATCTAAAACATACCTTCATAGAAATATCTAGTCTGATGTATGACCCAAAACTGGCTACCATAGCTTAGCTAAGTTGGCACATAAAATTAGCCAACACACATAATATCACATAATGTTAATATCACATATGTGTATTCCTGTGGGATTTGCTTTTTTTAATTTGACATTTTGTTTTTGGGATTCTTACAGACTACAGTTCTTTCAATGTCTCTGCTAAAGAGTATTCTATTGCATGAATGTATCACTATTTATCCACCTGTTGCTGTTGATAAATATTTGTGTCATTTTTTCCCCTGTTACAATGTAGATTATGACTCCAAGCATTCCTGTGCAAGTTTCTTTAGAATATATCTAGGAGTAAACTTTGAGTCATGGTCTATGCACATATTTAACCTACAAGATAATTCCAGATTGTTAAAAGTGATGTGCCAGTTCACACTTCTACCAAAAGTGGGTGAGAGTTGTGCCCTGCTAGGCCCAATTTTTGTCTTGTTAGACCTTTTAATGTCTGCCAATGTTTTAGTCAAAAATAGGAATTCTGGATTCTTTCATGAGCTCTGTTAAATACTAGCTGTGTGGCTGTTGTTAAATCATAACACTCTAAGGCACCTGACAGCCCTAGATTCTACAGTCTCAAGCTCTTCTCTCAAACTATTCAGATAGATCATGTTAGAAAACAAATCAAATTCACAATTTACTGTGCTCCAACTCTGAAGACATTTATTTGATTTAACTTGGTTCAAGGTGTTCACTGGTCAAAGAACCAAGCAGTTGAGGTGTCAGTTTCTGAGTAAGGAACCTAAGCAGTATGACTGTTTTTGCAGAAGGACAGTTGTGTAGGAATGGATTTACAGTGTGCCTAAGGCAGCAAGCTGATTGCAGCTGAGTTTTTCATGTTAAAGTAGACAGATCTTATAATATAAAGTCACTTGACATAGCACATTCCACTATGAGCCTCTTACTATTTAACATATTTTCTATTAGAGGGTTGTGAATTTGGGGGAACTCAGGGCAGTCGGATGGAGTTGAACATTTGAGAGCTTTTCTTTATCAAATGTTGGTTTTAAAAAAGCTTTTTTTGAGTTCTTCAAAAGCAATTTTCTCCTCAGATCATTATTATTTCAGAGGCTTAATTTAATAACTCTTTTTTTAAAAATGAAAGCTTATGCTGTTCAAACACACAAAAATAGCTGTTCTAAAAGCAACATTTGGCCTGATTTTTTACTTCAAAAAGAAACAACAATTTCATTTCTATCTATTCGCAACAATTTTATTTTCATCCCTTATTAGAGTCAAATAGAATTTGGATTCAAAGGTTTCTGTATGAGTAGTAACTATATGCGTGAACATCAAGAACTCGGTGTAAAAGTTGCTAAAAGAAGTCTACTACTCTCTTAAACCAAGTTCTGTTCAGTGATAGACCAGAGTTGGTACATTTTTTCCTTTTTTCTTTTTTTGAAGCAGGGTCTTGCTGTGTTGCCCAGGCTGGAGTGCTGTGACATGATCATGGCTCACTGCAGCCTCAATCTGCTGGGCTCTAGTGACACTCCCACCTCAGCCTTCCAAAGTGCATGAGGCATAGCACCCAGTCACTTTTTCTTTTAAGGGACAGGCATTAAATATTTGAAGCTTTGTGGGTCTTACAGTCTCTGTTGCATTCACTTAACCCTGCTGTTGTAGCATGAAAGGAAAGCAGCCACAGGCAACATATAAACAAATGAGCATGGCTGTGTTCCAATAAAACTTAACAAAAACAAGTGATAGACTGCATTTAGCTGGCAGGTTGCAGTTTGCTAGTCAAATTTAGACCAATAAGTAAGTTACATCAAGTAGTAAACATAATGTCCAAAACATTTGTTATCATACTCTTGCTTCTCTTGCCTAAAGACTCTGATGTTCCTCTAATATGCAACAATGCCTGCCATCCCTCCTTGTTATCATTTATTCAGAGGACAATCACACTGGGCTTTTTGTTGAGCTATTGGTACTGAATTTAAAAAGGTTAATGCATTCTTTCTAAGGACATGGTGGATTTCATGGGACTGTTCATGGGAAGTTTTGATTGATTGAGTCTGTTTATTTATTGATTGTAATAGTTCTTCCGGCAGGTGGGAGGAAGGGCTGCTGAGCTAGGCTGGGCTGGTTAAGTCTACGGATTTGGCAGGTGTTTAAAGCTTTTAAACCCAGGGCCCACAGGGAGTGGGTGAGTCTTTCATTCTGCACCTGTGGCCTGCTGGCACTCAGCATTCCTCCCACTGCCTATCATGTGCCAGCTCCAGGAGGAGGCAATGTGCACATGTTGTGACACACCACAAGCTGTTCTTCCCTGACCTCTTATGAAATCAGCTGAGCACAGCATGGTACATGGGGTGTGAACCTGAACCAAAAAATCCTGTGTATAGCTAATAACCATGAAAAATGATGCTGGACTTGGCATGGGCATTACACACCAGCCAGTGGCTGTATTCAGGAGGACCATGATGCACATGCCTGGAATGTGGTCGGGGAGGAGGGCGATATTCCCTTTTTTCCTCTCAAGCCCATCATTTTCTCCCCATCTCCACACCATTACTGCAGTGCAAGTTACCATCCTATCTCTTGGACTTCCACAATTTGTTCCTGATGGGATTCCTTAAATCGTCTCACCTCACTCTAATCTGTCCTCCAGAATGACTTAAAAGGTCAGTTTTAAATGAATGCAAAGATGGTCAAGCCACAGCATGATTTCACTTCCTTTAAGGCTTCACATTTCTCTGAAAAGAAAGCCAATATTATTGTCATGACTTTATGTCAAGTCTATGCATAGCCAGGACTCGTTCACCTCTGCAAGCTCAGCTGAACCCACTCTCCCCCATGCTGTGTTCCACTCACACTTGCATTGTTTATATTCTTGAACTGCTCTCCATGCTGCCTCTCACTTGGAAGTCTTGCCTGTTTTCCACATGCTTGTCATTTGTTCTGGAACTCTCTTCCTTTCCATCCTCAGTGGACCCCTGACAGTTAGGTGCCTCTACTCACAAGCTTGTGGATTCTCCATCACTGGAGGTGTTAAAACATTGACCGAATCATTAGAAGGATGTGGGAGCCAGGCATGGTGGTTCATGCCTGTAATCCCAGCACTTTCGGAGGCCAAGGAGGGTGGATGGCTTGAGCTCAAGACCAGCCTGGGCAACATGATGAGACTCTGTCTCTACAAAAAATACAAAAATTAGCTGGGCATGGTCGTACACATCTGTAGTCCCAGCTACTCGGGAGGCTGAGGTGAGAGGATCACTTAAGTCTTGGGAGGTCAAGGCTACAGTAAGCTGTGTTTGCACGACAGCACTCCAGCCTGGGTGACAGAGTGAGACCCTGTCTCAAAAAAAAAAAAAAAAAAAAAGAACAAAGAAAAAAGGTTGTGGGAGAGATGTATCTATTATCAGATTGATAAGTGAGATAAGTGAATTTTAAGGCCCCTTAAGAAAGCTGTGATTTTTTTTCTATGACTCGTCAATTTAACCTTGTCTCTAAAGTATATAGATACAGTAATACAGATATAGTAATTCTCATCACATCTATATTGGGTAAAGGAATATATAGACACATGATATAAAAAGAACTATTGATCTTCTCTTTATAATTTTGATTTCTTAAATGGATAAAAGGCAGTACAATATGCTATAATCTGTTCTATGACAAGCCATATTTTTTGGGGTCTCAACTTGTTCTAACAATTACTGCAAGTCTGACATGTTGCTTATTAAATTTAATCATTATTGTTTTTGGCAGTGGTCTACAAACATAAAGAAGAAATTCAGTGATTTTAATCACAGGATACATACACCTAGTCTTTTGAAATACCAATTAAAGTGTCCTTAAAACAATAGTGTTGCCAGTGGCAATAATTTCCAAAATTTGGCAAATTTGGATATTTCCCTGATAAATTGAATTGAAAAAAATTCTACTTTCATGTAATATAGAGAGAAAATTAAGTCAAAGGTATACACGTAGATGTTGGTTATGATTTGCCCTGTATGTGGCATAATTCCCTTATCCTAGAAACAAATATGTTACCCAAGCTTCTCCATCCCTAAATATGGGGTTCAAGTTACCTTTCAGCAATTCCTTAAGTTCTCTGTAGGCTTTTATGAAAGCCTAGTGATTTCAGCCAACATAATTTCCTGGGCTTCCACTTATGCAAAAGATAAATGGGTCAGGTGCAGTGGCTCACGCCTGTAATCCCAGCACTTTGGGAGGCCAAGGCAGATGGATCAACCTGAGGTCAGAAGTTCAAGACCAACCTGGCTAACATGGTTAAACCCCATCTATACTAAAAATACAAAATTAGCTGGGCGTGGTTGTGCATGGCTCTAATCCCAGCTACTCAGGAGGCTGAGGCAAGAGACTCTCTTGAACCCAGGAGGCGGAAGTTGCAGTGAGCTGAGATCACACCTTTGTACTCCAGCCCCTAGGTGACAAGAGTGAAACTCTGTCTCAAAAAAAAAAAAAAAAAAAAAAGATAAATGATTAATTTTCACCAAGAAGAACTCCCTGTATAGAAATTGATATCACTTATTTATTGTTATGATAACTAGCAGTCTATTCAATTGGAAAAACAAGCTAATAATAAATAAAGGAAATATCTTAAACATGCTTAGGCTACTTTATAAGGTTTCATGACCCCTTAATTTTATGTGATAATAAAATAATAGATTTGTAAAATTCAAAAACTGACATTACTTTAAAAAATATGCAATTATACCAATCCTCAAAGGTAACAAAATTACAAGAGGAAAAGTGAGACATGAAGGTATGGTGAAGAATAGTAATGCTTCCTTTATTCATACATTTAACAACTGTTTTTTTTTAATCACCAACATGTCATTTTACCAATGCAAAAACTCTAGTCTCAAGAACCTGAGATAATTTCTTGCATCATAGTATTTAACTGAAAACCTTCCATGGATTTTGACTGTACCATGGGGCAGAATAAAAAGAACCATGGAGTCTTACTGCCAGCAGGCCTAATTTCAACTCACAGCTTTTACATTTCTTGCTGTTGCCCTCCAAAAACTCAGTTAACTCCTGTAAGACTCATTTTTCCCTTCTATAGAATGAGGACACTCATGCCAAACTCACAGAGTGATTTATAGATTAGCGGAGCTAATGCATGAAAAGTTTCTTTGTAAATTATAAAGTACAACGAATTCAACAAGTTACAACCTCAAAAGAAGCAAAAATGCTAACGTATTTTTTTTTAGATATTATCAAGACTGAAAAAGTCAAAATATTGATCTAAGAATGGTTAGTTGATAATACAAAGAGTAGATAACTCAAGTTTTGCTAAGGTCTATAAAATCTTTCTCCAACATCATGAGATGAATCTCTAATCTGATCAACTCTTAATATCCACATTGTTTGAACAACCATTAAATATTATTGTGACTTTTAAATTGCAAATTCTGTTATGCTATACATCTTTTCTATTGAAATAGAAAGAATAAGGAAAAAAATTATATCGTTATAACTCCTAACCTCTTTGCCCCATGAGTAAGTTTGTGTACAGAATAGCAAATGTTAGGTAGGATTATTTACCTTTCTTTCCATAATTAGAAGACTAGTCCCACACAAGTCCATTGAAATCTGATGTTTATTGCTGTTCTGTAATTTATTTGTTTGCAGTTGAATTCACTTGATCTTAGCCAAAAGTCTAAGAAGCCATGTTTTGCAGTTGACTTAATGCATAATATTTAGAGTTCTTTTAAAAACTCAACAGTAAAGTTTTAAAAAGTGTATTCTTTAACAGTCTAATTTGAAGAGTGAAGAAAGATACAGGAAAAATACAAAATAAGTTCAATGTTAATGGCATTAAGCTTCCATTGGTAAATGAAGAAAGCCATATGACTTTCTAAAATTGTTCTTCTAAATCTCTTTAACATAAAGGAAGAGGCTTAGTGACTACATGTGTTGGAGAGGAAGGCAAGCTTGTTTGTTACAAATTAGAAACTAGACTTTTTTTTTCCCCATGATTGTCATTGACTGTCATAGTCTCTGGTATACATTTAATACTTAATAAATATTTTTCAATTAATTACTAAGTTCAAATCCCACCTACTTTCAGAAGCCTTCCCTGATAAATCCAGCTGGAACTAATACTTGAATTCTCTTGCATTTTTAAAAGTACATGTCTTATTAATTCATTACATAAATATTTAGAGAGTACCAGATATGTTCACAGCACTACATAAGACACTGAAGATACAGCAGAGAAAAAAAGAGACAAAAATCACAGTCTACGGATATTTCATTCTAGTGGAGAGAGACAACCAATAAACTATAAAATATGCTAGTGAGTTATATTGCTGTGAAAAATATTAAGCAAAAATAGGAGGATAGAAAGATCTGATGATCCAAGGACAGCTTACACCTTAAACGGGTCAGGGAAAGCCTCTCTGAGAAAATATTTGGAGAAAATGAGAAAATATTCCCAGCAGGGAAAATAACAAGTGCAAATGTCCTGTGGCAGGAGGGTTTCTTGCTTGTCTAAAAAATAGAAGCCAAGTCAGGAAGGCTGGGCAATAAGCAGAGGAGAGAGAAGCTGAGGTAGGAGAAGTAATAAAGACACAGATCAAGTCGGGTCTGCTGGACTGCTGTAACAACTTTGGCTTTTACTGAGTGAGATGGAAAGAATGGCAAATTTTGGGCAGAAGAGTAACACAATCTCACTTTTTGCAAGTGAGATTTTTTTTTTTTTTTTTTTTTTTAGCAGATCACTGTGGAGGCTCTGTCATTTGTTGGTTGAAGACAAGTCACACATGGAAGGGGAAAGACCGGTTAGAGGGCTGTTGTAACAATTCCAGTAAGAGATGATGGTGCCTCAGTGAAAGTGATGAAAAGTGGGGTAATTCTGGACCTATTTTCAAGGTAGAACCGGTAGGGTTTTTAAAATAACGTGAATGTGGGATATAAGTAAAAGAAAGGAGTCAAGAATGTCTCCAAGGTTTCGGGCATAAGCAACTTTAGTTTCCATTAAATTAGGTAGTAGATATTATTTTACGGTTAATAGTTTACATATTATTTTCTGCATGATTGTCCATGCAGAAAGTCCAAAGAAATATATAGATAAATTAGTATAATTAATACATAATGTTAATGTAGTGCCAAATGCAAGTTAATCTATAAAAAGCAATTGTATTTATACACACCAAAAACAAAAATAAAACTTTCAAAATACTATAATAATTGCATAATTTGTTAGGATTAAATCTAAATTAAATGATCTAAACAGCCAGGGTTAAATCCGTATAAAATAGCTTAGATATAATTGCATTAACTCTAACAGTTTCATGGTCTTTATATAAATATTTTAGACATTATTACAGGTAATTAAAGATGACCTCAATCAATGAAGAGTTATGTCAAATTTTGAGAATTCTCTCCCAAATCTATCTATGAAATTAATGAACCCCCTACAAATCTAAGCAGAATTATTTAATGAAAATGAGTAAATGGATTCTAAAATGTATATGGAAAACAAAGAACCGAGAACAGCAAAGATAATATTGAAGAAGAGAATAAAAAATCAGGACTTAAAAATAGATAAGCAGATAAAGATATAATAATTAAACAAATATACTATTAGTGTGAGAATAGACAAAGACCCAAAGGAACAGAATAGAGAGGATGAAAACTAACCCAAGCGTGCGTGAATACTTGGTTTATGACAAAATAGTTCAGCAGAGCAATGAAGAAAGAAAGTATTTTCAATAATATCATTTGGGTATTCAAATGAAAAAATAAAATTTAACCATTGTTTCGTAACACTAGTTTGAAACTAATGTTTCAAACATTAGTTCTATTTAAACTCTAACTGAGAAAGGTAAAAACAATGCAGACTTTAAAAAGTTACTTAGGATAATATGTGTCTGTTGTTGGGATAAAAAAATGCAAATATAATAATCATCAAGGGAAGGACTGACATTTTGTCAATATATTAAAATTAAGAACCTGTCTTTATCAAAAGATACCACTAAGAAGGTGAAAAAGTAAGTCAAAGAGGGGGAGAGAATATTTGTAGCATATGTAATCTAAAAAAGGACTGTTCTTCAGAATTCCTTCAAATCAGTAAGAAGGTAGATAACCCAATAGAAAAATGGGCGAGAAACTTGACTATTGTTAGAAGCTTATTCAAAAGGTCAACAAATATATGAAAAAAATCCCCCAACTTCTTTAATCATCAAGGAAACACAAATTTAAATCTCCAGGAATTATAACTACATGACCACCAGAATGATGAAAAAAATGAAACAAACTCACCTTGCCAGGCATTGGTGAAGAGATGGAGCATGGGAACGCCCATGAACGGCTGGAGAGAGTGTAATTTGTACACTTACTTGAGAAGATCATTTGTCATTGTCTACTCACAATGTTGAATGTGCTTATCCACGAACCCGCACTTTTCCATTTAGGTATATCTTCTACAGAAATGCTTGCACGTGTCCTCTGACGACCTGTACAAGAATATCAGAGCAAGATTATTTGTGTAGTATCCCCAAGCTGAAGACAATTCAAATGTCCACCAATGAAGGAGTGACTAAAGATTTTTGTGTGTTTATAAAGTAGAATCTTTTTCAGCAATGAAAATAAATGAACTATGTATGTACAAAAACGATGATTTTCATAGCTATGCTGGTACAAAAACGGATGATTTTCATAGCTATACTGGTGAACAATAGCCAAGCACACAATCACATACACTGTATGACTTGATTTATATAAAGTTCCCAGAGAGAAAAAAATAATCTATAGCATTAGAAATAAGACACTATTACCTCTGAAGAGAGAAGGAATTACTTAGAGGAGACACAGAAGAGGCTTCTGGGGTCTGATAATGTACTGTTTCTGATGGAATCTACTTTGTATGTTCACTATGTGATAAGTCTTCAAGCTGCATATTTACAAGGTGTACTCTTTTTAATATTCAGGTAATTTAATATTCAAGTAAAAAGATAAATCTATCAGTATCTGAATCCTAGATTTTGGTATTTTGTATAATGGGTGTCTAATTGTGTACTAAGTAGATGGAATGAAATTGATTGTCCTTGGATGTTCAGTCAAGTGAGGGCACATTCTCTGACATTTGTGCTTGAAGGTTAAATTTGAATTGAGATCTGCATCATAAGCTCAGAAACACTGAGTGTATGCAGGTTTTCAATGTTTTTCTATTATTTATGCCATTTCACTCCTTTTCTATTTCTTTTAATCAATAATTTTATGAAATGATTGACACAAAGACCTAGAAAATCTTCCTGTAAACTGAATTGATGATTCTTTCCTAGCTGTAATAGAGGACATCATTCTTCTTTTATAATGCTAAATGCCAGCTGAAGACAGGAATATTTATACTCAGGAACACAGCAGTCGGTGCTGTTACAGGTTCAGATTATTCCTCTCATCTCTTAAAGGTTATGGTCTGAACACAGGGCTCTTTTTCAAGGCATACATCTTGAACTGTCTGAAACAATTGCTAAACCAAATAATCATTTGCCAACAAATGCTCTGAAGCCAAAAAAAAAAAAAAACTGGTTTTGTTTAGACAATTATAATTTTTTATTTTTTTTTTATTTTTGAGACGAAGTGTTGCTCTGTCACCCAAGCTGGAGTGCAGTGACACCATCTCGGCTCACTGCAACCTCCACCTCCCGGGTTCAGACAATTCTCCTGTCCCAGCCTCCCAAGTAACTGGGACTACAGGCGCCCGCCACCATGCTAGACTAATTTTTGTATTTTTAGTACAGACAGGGTTTCACCATGTTAGCCAGGATAGTCTCGAACTCCTGACCTCAGGTGATCCACCCACCTTGGCCTCCCAAAGTGCTGGGATTACAGGTGTGAGCCATGCACCTGGCCAGACAATGATAATTTTAATTATAAAGCCAGAGTTGAATTTAAATAAAACACTCCTAAACACCTGAATTTTTCAGGGGACAATTATCCTGTAGAGTATTTGATTCCAGATGGAGTATATCATCTAGATTGAACTGTTTCTTCTGTTACAATGCATTTTGTTTTCAAATGATAATATCCAAGATAAGTATCACACAGCCTATGAACTACTAAAACATACTCACTGGTTAACCTCTGAGATATCAGAACTGCATTTCCTGCAATACCTTATAATATTATCTCTGCAAGTCTTCAAATTTTTCAAAAAAGTAATGTACTTGATATTGTCTTCATATGTGGTAATTTGGAAGTATTTGCGGTTGTGAACAAGTACCAGGCATGGGTAAAAGAGGCAACAGCTATTCAGTGTGATTTTAAGAGTGTTGGAAGGTCTCCTACAATTTTTTTTTTTTTTTTTTTCTGAGATGGAGTCTCACTCTGCTGCCCAGGCTGGAGTGCAGTGGCGCAATCTCGGCTCACTGCAAGCTCCACCTCCCGGGTTCATGCCATTCTCCTGCCTCAGCCTTCCGAGTTGCTGGGACTACAGGCGCCCACCACCACGCCCAGCTAATTTTTTGTATTTTTAGTAGAGACGGGGTTTCACCATGTTAGCCCAGATGGTCTCGATCTCCTGACCTCGTGATCCACCCGCCTCGGCCTCCCAAAGTACTGGGATTACAGGTGTGAGCCACCACGCCCGGCCAAAAATATTAACCCAAACTATTAACAAGTTGTTTTTACTTTAAAACAGCATATACAAGGAAGGTCACTATTAAAATATGTTCTCATTTTAGAAGGTAACATATTTGTTTATTTTCCTTATAATACAAATCCAGTTTATAGATTAGAATAAATAAAGTAGGCCAAGGTGAGGCCCCTGTTGTCCCCTCCTGTGTTGGGTCTTCACCTTTCCAGTCTCCCATGGGTTCTTGGGAACCCACCTGCAAGCACTGCAATGTATTGCTGTCCACAGTGGTGTAGGGCAAGGGGAGGGGAGAGCTTTACTTATCTTCTGCTTGTTTGCACTTGCTGGGATCTCGACAAGTGATGAGGGTAATAACATATAAATATGAGACATCAAAATACAGAGAATGAGTTTGAGTAATGACAAGATTCCATGGTTTTAACTCAGATGACTGGCATTGTGCAATTCAGCACATTGGACTAGAATGTTTTGCCAGTGTCTCAGTCAGTACTTGTTTACTCTCATCCTGAATTAATTATTATAAGAGTAGCTGACATTGATTGGGTGTTTTCTATATGCCAAGCATGCTGCTAAGCTCTTTTTCCTTGCCCTTTTTATTTCCTTAAAAAAAACTCTGGGATTATCACCCCCATTTCACAGATTAAGAAATTGAGGACCCAAACAGTTAAAGACCTTTAAAAAGTTTCTACAGCCAGTCATTGGTGGAGCAGGGATTTCAAGCTAGCTCTGCCTCACCAAAGCCTCAGTCCCTAAACACTATTTACTTCTGTCCCTCCTGTTCCTTTCTCAGCACTTCTTTGCCTCCACCAGACCCAACCCCTTGAATGCAGGTGCTGTGCTTCCTTTTTCTTTACATATCTAGCGCCTGACTCAGTGGCTGAAGCAGCTCATGCTCAGAAAGTGACGAGATGGAATCTTGTAGAGAGCCTGCAGCTGTCTGTCTTGTGAAAAACTGCTTGGTTGTGGTTCATCAATCGTGTTCTGTGGTTACTGCGGCTACCCTAACTAGGAAACACTTTGTGAAACATCCCAGTGGTGCAGATTTTGTGTAATGGCTCACAAGCACCAACCAAACACTTCCCCATTTCCCATTCTGCACCAAGGGGTGGTATGGAGGCTCTAGAGGGAATAGGGATCCAGTCTCCTTCCTCCTTATGCCTTTCCGGTGAGGGCAGTGGGGGAAGAAACATGGAGCAGGTGGAGTGGATGGTAACACCCTGAGAACTGTTTGACCCTTGATTTTTAGGCTTGGAAAAGGTCATTTCATAGGACAGTACATGCAGCTGAATTCAGGGCACCTAAGAACACTTGGATTGGCAGGGCTGAGGAGCAGTTATCTAAACAGCTTGTAGTTATTTAAGTCCCAAGTGATCTGGTTACAGACCATTGATGGCTTTTCCACTTCCACGCCTCCTCAAGCTGTGGCTCTCAGAAAAGAGAAATCAGGAGTAATTATATGTTAGAAATACCTGGCCTCACTGTGGGGTGAGATGGAACCTGTGCACTGCACCTTGACCATTTAACCTCCTTTTTCTCTTGGTTGAATGAAGTCATGCTCCCTGGAAGAGTCTTTCAAGCCATTCCCTTTTATCCCCTTACCTTTCTATCCTCAACCTAACAATCCTCTTTTCAGTCTCCGTCCTCTTTGAACTGTGCCTCTCACTACCTCAAAAAGGAATATTTACTTCACACTCAACCTTTCAGAATTACTCTTGGGCAAATAGAAGTTTAGAGACTCTCCATAGGCACAGCGAATACAGGGATATTAATGAGATGTGGTAGAGAAATCCACTGGAATACACAATGGAGATGTTTTAACCTGTGTGATTTAATTCTGTCTTTGAACTTTTTTCATGAAACAATCCTTTATATACAGAATTCAACTGATACTCAACTCCAATAAATATAATGGTGATTTGTTACCAAGTATGACTGGGTGGGCTTATGATCATAGGTGAGATTAAATTTAAAAAATATGTAATAAACGAGATCATATCCGTTGCAGGAACATGGATGGAGCTGGAGGCCATTATCCTTAGCCAACTAACACAGGAACAGAAAACCAAATGCCACATGTTCTCACTTATAAGTAAGTGGGGCCTAAATGATGAGAACACATGGACACACAGAGGGGAAAAACACACACTGGGGCCTATGGGAGGTTGGAGGGTGGGAGGAGGCAGAAGATCAGGAAAAATGACGAATGAGTACTAGACTTAACACCTGGGTGACAAAATAATCTGTACAACAAACCCCCACGACACAAGTTTACTTACGTAACAAAACTGCACATGTACCCCTGAACTTAAAACTCAAAAGAATATACTGCATATATATATATATACACACACATTCATATATACATGTATACACACACACACACACACACACTTCCCCTGTTTCTCAGAGTAAGAAAGGATGTTAGCACACTCAAACCCATGGAAGGCTGGGTCTAAATTTAACTCCTGGGGTAACTCAAGCCCCAAGACCCAAGAAAACCTTGAAAAAATGTGACAGTAGGAAAGAAGCTTCCTAATTTGGATGATATTTTATATAGAAGCCATGACTGAAATAAGGTTTGGAGGCCTCTCCTCCTTCTTCTTAAACTCAATTTGATCCATGGATTTTTGTTTTGTTTTGTTTTCCATGTTGTTATCTTAACCACTCCCCTGCAAGTGAGTGTATGCCTTTCTTAGGTTCCTCAGAAAGCAGGGTCTCTGATGGCAACAGGCATGCAGAAAGTTGACAGAAGGCTGTGCTCAGCAGCAGCACCTGGGAGGAGGCAGCGGCAGTTGCACTGGGCAGTTGAACTGTGACGCAGTTGCATAAAGGCTTCAAGCTGAACCCTCAAGGAGCGTTGGAATGAGATAGCCCTTCAAAGTGATGCTGAAATGATGCAAGCTGCCCCCAATGAGGGGCATAAGCTTGAGCAAGGAAGCTTTCTTTCAGTTTTGGGGAGAGATTCAAGCTGTGAGCCCTCAGAGGGCAGCACCCCCACCTGTCAGGAAAATGAGCTCCCCAGACTTTTGAGAGGAAATCTGGATAGGGCCCCTTGACATCCACCACAGTCCCTCCTGTGCTGCTGGGATCCTCTTGCTTTGATAATCTCACTCCATCTGATCCCACAGTAGAAAAAGAAGTTCAGGGGGCAAAATAGAGTGCGTCTAACAGTCAATGTTCTTACGGCCACAACTGGTACTCAACATTACTGCTCATTTTAGATTTATTTGCCACTTCTTAGGCAGCACCTCCTCTGCCCAGGTGGCTTATCTGGTGGAGTGTCCCAGAGTGTCATCTATGAAGGGCCTGTGTCCTTGATCCCCAGGCCCCTCTCAGGCTATAGCTATTGCTATATCTATCTATCTATCTATATATATATATATTCCATTTAATTACAAAGTAGGGCAGAGAAGCAGCAATAAATGACCATAGATAGTATCTACTAAAGGAAACTGTGATAACAAAAATAGTTCTGTTTCCTCATGAACAACAGTGCTATCTCCTTCTGATGATCAAGGTTTGTTATCACTGGAGGTAACTCCCTTTCTTGCCTGCTGGTCTTTTGGCACCAGGAGCCCTCTGTGATTAGGAGACAGCTATGGCTGGAAGTTTAATGAGACTCTTTCTGTGTGCCCTGCAGAAGCTTTCCCCTGAAAACACATAGAGCCCAGAGCAGCGAGTACAGAGAGGACACATTTCCCAAATGGTCACTGGAAGTAATGATAAGTGAGGCTACACTCACTTTCACCACTTCTTTCAAGGCTTATGTTTCCTACCTATGGGGGACATGCACCCTACAATGGCCAGGGTCCTGTAGAAAGGCAGCCAGTTGTCACAGTTTCTTCTCCAAGGTGATAGCTCAGTTGTGCCTTCAAAAAGCCATTCTTTTGCTCTGCCAGGCCTATGGCTTCTAGATGGTGCTGTATGTGATGAAAATTTTAGATCCTGTGGGCATATGCATACCTCTTTGCTGTGTAGTAGATTCCTTGGTTACATGTGTTGTTAGGCAAGATTTCATGTTAGTGAAGTTAACACTGTAAATCCTCAGAGAGTGGTACTGAATGACGGGAAATGCAAATGGATACCTAGAATATGTGTTGAATCCAGATAAGTGGCTAATCTTTTCAGAGTAAAAGGTTCTCAATGTAATCAACTTGTCACCAAGTGGCTGGTTGCTCTCCTTGAAAAATGTAGCCATATCAGGAACTCTGCATAGATCTCTGTTGTTAGCAGGTTGAGCATTCAGTGGCAGCAGTAGCTAAGCCAAAAGAGTCTATGCTATTTTGCTATATACGGCTTCCATCCCTTACCACGGTTACTGCAATCTTTCATCCATGTGCCAACCCTAGAGCAGCAATGACACAGGTTGGCAAAAATCAACTGGCTAAAACAATGTTTCTAGATGATTGTTTGATAACCCTTCTAAAGCTCTTTCCTGGGTATATGAATGCAAAATAAAACTCTTTACAATTGGTGCTCATTTGCAAAGGTCCATCCACATGACTGTTTCCCAGACCCCAGACCTCCTTGTCCCTGATCTTTCAATCTCTTTCTTTATAGGACCTTAGAAGATGTTACAGGCTGAATTGCATTCCCCAAATTTATATGTTGAAGTCCCAGCCCTTAGTACCTACGAATGGGACTATATTTGAAGATAGGGTCTTTAAGAGTTGATTGAGGTAAAACAAAGCTATTAGGGTGGGCCCTACTTCAATCTGACTAGAGTCCTTATAAGAAGAAATTGGGACACACAGAAATACCAGGGATGTGCATGCACAAAAGCACAACCATGTGATGAGCAGCAAGAGGGAGATTATCCACCAGCCCAGGAAAGAGGTCTCAGGAGAAATCATCTCTGCTGGCACCTTGATCTTAGACCCTTCCAGAACTGTGAGAAAATTCTTTTGTTTAAGCCACCTAGTTTGTGGTATTTTGTTATGGCAACCCAAGCAGACTAAGAAAGAAGCTCTTTAGAGAGGAAATCTGGATAGGGCCCCTTGACATCCACCACAGTCCCTCCTGTGCTGCTGGGATCCTCTTGCTTTGATAATCTCACTCCATCTGATCCCATAGTAGAAAAAGAAGTTCAGGGGGCAAAATAGAGTGCGTCTAACAGTCAATGTTCTTACGGCCACAACTGGTATTCCCAGGCCATTCAGAATACTGCCCATATATGCCCCAATCCATTCACAGGTTACTTGTCTTTCCAAACTAAGTGATCAGATGCCTCACCCAGAGCTAGGTCAAAGGGAAGACTTCCTCTCACTATTGCTAGTCAGGGCCACTCCTGAACAGTTCTTTCTCACTTTGCACCCAATGTGCTGAACCAACACATTTATTAACCAAGCTTAGCATTTTTTCTTCTTCTATTGGTTTGTCATAAGGGATCCTCCATTCAGTCACAGCTATGAACTGAAGTAGATGATTTGGAGGCAGATGTCCTGGGAGTCTGGGTACCTGCTAACAGCTTACTGGCTTACTTGCCTCCTCTGGCCATGCGTATGCCAATCCCAGATAAATCACTAAGTATATCATTAGATTGAACATACTTGCCATTTGCCATTATCCCCACATTGTTTCTTTTAATCTGGGGATTAAAGCCTATTGTCATGCAGAGATCTGCTCCAGCTCCCCTTCCTGCTCTGTATTCCACATAAAGCTTGCAGTCTTTCATGCAGCTTAGTGGGTGGGTGGAGGATTCTTAAGCATAGAATATGTTGCCTTCAAAACTCAAAGCGGCCTACCAGATATTGTGTTTTCTTCTTCATAGTGGGAGGCATGGGATGAAATACTTTGTCCTTAATTTGGAGTGGATTTCCTGGCATGACCCAGACTGCTTGACCTTCAAAATCTTAACTGATTATTGAGACTCTGAGTCTTTGGAGAGTCTATTTTCTATTCTCTGCGTCGTACATGTCATATGAAAGTCTTTACTTGTTGCTTCTTGCCCATCCAGTACAATTAACATGATCTCGAACCTCAGTCCAACAGTCCTTGAAATGTCTGAGTATTGCTATCCCCCAGTGAATGGTTATCCAAATAAATAGCCATAGGTCCCAGTGATTGCTTATCCAAATAAAGAGCCATTCTCTTGAGGAAAGACTAGGGATGTCATGATGATTCAGGGTCCTTCTACTGAAGGACTCTGCTGCTCTTTCAGTCAATGTGTTCTGGGTCTGAACACTGGTTCGGGTTCAGAGACTGAAGTAGGAATTATGACTTTTTATTGGGCTGGCTGCTCTCAATTTCTTCTTTAATACACTTGATTTCTTTTAAGTTTTCCATTAGTACCTTTGTTGATTGTCCATGTGTCCATGCATCTTGCCCCTAGGAATGCTTTGTACCAAATATATCCATAGCTGTCTTTAGTTCAGCCCCCCTTGAATGCTACTCTAATATCTTTATTATAATTGCACTCATTTTGTCTGATGCCTAAGCACTGGCACTTAGCCTCTGTTAGTTAATATACTATAATCCAATAGTTCCCAAACTCTGCCAATATTAGAATCACTTGGTAAATTAAAAAAAAATCCTGATGCCCACTTTGCAACCTGTCCCAATTAAACCACAATATTTGGATGGAAACCAGGCATCAATCATTTTTAATGATGCCCAGGTGCAGCAAAGTTTGTAAACTCCTGCTATAATCCATACTGCTATTTGAAGCCCAGTTTTGTAACAGAATATCCTACTACCAGACACCAGTAAACCTCTCCATGATGCTGGTATTCTGCTTACAAAAACATTGCTCATCCCTTTGGTAAGTAGTACGTCCTCCAGGTCCTCTGATGGAATGTATCCAGCTGATTGGTTTTTCATGTCTTTCATAGACTATCTGCTTACCATGCCCATTTCTCCGAGTAATTTGATTGCTTGTTCTACCATCTACAACAGCTATTCTGAAATTTCTACTTTACTTAGTGTGAGCCATCCCTTCCTCCAAACTTCTAGGAGCTATATTCCAGCAGCATGTTATTCTAATTTTCTGAGGTCCTTGCTAGGGTGTTAAAACCTGTAGTAGAGAAAACTGTTCTCCAATGATAAAATCTCCTTCATTCAACTTAATGTTCTGCACCTTTCCCCCACATTGACTCAACACCTTCAGGATCCAGTTCCATAGATACTTTTAGTTCCTACTAGTACACATTGGCTAGGTCCTGCAGCTCCTTCAACATATCATCCCTTTTCTCCCTTAGTGTGTCCGACATTTCTCTAGCTTGGCTAAATTGTGACATGATCCAAGTTACTGGTCTGGCAGCAGGGAGAAAAGAGGTGGGTAGATCCCAGTTGGGGAGGAGAAGGAGGGCTGTGTTGTCTTGCAAGGCAGAGGCCTCTGTATTGTTTTCAGCCACAGGGGAAGTGCTCAGCTTTGAAAGGGAAAAGTAAAACCACTTCTATATGTCCAAAAGGGTGAGGAGACTCTGGGATTTCAAGGCTCTTAAGTGCATGAATCAGACATTCCTATTGCAGTCTCAGGGCCCTAGCTCTTCCTAACCATTGCCCCTACTTTGGCCAGCAGACTGGCTGGAAATGAGAATTCAACCTTCCCAGTGCTCCACGATACTTAACTGAGCCATGAACCAAAGGCTCAGCTTGTTATGCCCTTCTGGAGATCAGAGTCTTTATATGTTGCCAAAAGGCCCTTTGATTTTCACACTTTGCTTTAAATTGCTGATTAATCATAAACAACTTTTATTTGCGTCTTTCTGATGTATAGATGGCATTCCACAAAAGTGTTCAGATTGTTTAGTAATTAAAGGACAAATTTGTCTTCATAATTATTACTTTCCTCAAATCTCTTCACATCTGCGATACTGCACCCACCAGCGCATTCTCTTTCAAAGGTGTCCCATCCCAACACCAGTGAAAGTTGTAGCAATTGTACTGCTAGAGTATGCTGTGGACTGACTATCAGTAGTACTTCAAATGTCACAGTGATGGGGTCCTCCTTGCCAAGTCAGCACTGGACTCACCTTAAAAATCTAATTTTAGGGTTTGCTTCCTTGAACCACTCCCGGCACCAGCCTTCCTCGTAGTTCCCTGGCAAACAGACTCCAAGAGGAGAATCACACTCATTCTTTCAGGAGGTTTATTGGCACACTCTCAGCCATGATGCTCATGAGGAAGAGAAGGAAGCAGAATTTGACAGAAGTGAAATTAAAGTACGGTTGCAACAAAGGTCTCAGCTGATCCCCAGGATCTGGTTTTGGGCTTTAGGGTAGTCCTGAAGCGAGGCATGAGGCCAAGCTTTCCACCCCTGCACTGGCCAGTTGTTAGAATTATGATGCATTTCCCTTTGGCCAAGGCCTATGCCAGGGGTGGAGCTCAGCCAGCACCATTCCCAGGACGGGAGTGAGTAAGTCCATTTTAAAGTGGGGGATCAGTCAGCTCACTTTGGCCGTGGTTTGGGCTGTTAAGAGACTGATCAAGTCTTAGGTGACTCTCCAGGCCAAAAGGAATTTTAAGCCACCATGTAGTGCTATCTCCCTTACTTTGTAGCCTCTGAATTAGGGGCACATACAGAGCAAAAGTCAGATTCCTGATTAATAATCCAGGACCCTTTTTAAAAAAATTTTATCTCATCATGCTTACACTGTATTCTGATATATTGTGTACCATAAATATAGGAAAGTACAGGGAAAACTGAAATAATTATGTAAAAATATTCTAGCTTTTGCAGTTGCTAGGTATACTTTAATTTAGGCAATAGACATGCTTCTAAAACACCTAAGCAAGAAACACGTTCTGAAACATCCATCTCTACTATCTAAAGAATTTCGCTAAGAGAACCAATATAAAACAAACAAGCAGGCCGGGCGCGGTGGCTCACGCCTGTAATCCCAGCACTTTGGGAGGCCGAGGCGGGCGGATCACGAGGTCAGGAGATCGAGACCATCCTGGCTAACACGGTGAAACCCCGTCTCTACTAAAAATACAAAAAAATTAGCCGGGCGTGGTAGCGGGCGCCTGTAGTCCCAGCTACTCGGGAGGCTGAGGCAGGAGAATGGCGTGAACCCGGGAGGCGGAGCTTGCAGTGAGCCGAGATCGCGCCACTGCACTCCAGCCTGGGCGACAGAGCGAGACTCCGTCTCAAAAAAAAAAAAAAAAAAAAAAAAAAAAAAAAACAAGCAAAAATAAATATGAAACTGGATGCTTTAGGACACACTTTCCAACTTTATTCCAAGGACAAATCGCACCCATTCAAACCTCCTTTTCTCTATTCTTCTCTCTTCTTCTCCCCTTTGTGAAAAATATCTCCTTCAGCACTTGTGAAAACTTTAAAATTTGTGCTCCAATTTAAAATTTGATCATTGTTTGAAAGTATTTAATTTTTTAAAGGAAAATACTTATTGGACTAATAACAATATTAGCAGTTGTTCTTTACTGTGAAACAATTGAGATAGTTGTTCTTGACACGTGGCTGAGGCTGTCTATACTGAGAGAGTGGGACTTTGATTGCAAGAAGGGGCTGCTTATGAGCACATTTTATGGCTAATAGACATGAAAAAGGGTCTAGGAAAAGACTAGAAAGCCCTCACTACAACAGAAGTTGGAACCCAAGGAGACAGATGACCAGTGAGAAATTTCAGGCTGTGGTGGCTGTGGAATATTAGCACTGTGATGTCTAAAATTTAAGTGTCCTTTCTTACTCCTCAGTTATACTAAACCCTCTGTAAAAGATTATTATGTACACTAGATTTGTGTAGGGGTTCTTTAAGAGAAATCAATGGAAAGTCAGAGGAAACAGTGAAATAAGGACAGCAGTTATAGAAGATAAGCCAGGAAGAGAAATTTGGAATGAGTCAGGAGTATACAAGCTCCTCAGAAATTCTGAAAATGTATTGACACACTGGCTTTCCCATAGCGCGTGGGATATGGTCTTGAACCAGTTTCTTTTGGACATTCAAGCAAATCATAAACCCAGGAGGCTGAAGACTTGGATAGACAAGTCACACTTTTTTTTTAATTTTTTTTTTTTTTTTGAGACAGTCTCCCTCTGTCTCCAAGCTGGAGTGCAGTGGCACAATCTCGGCTCACGGCAACCTCTGCCTCCTGGGTTCAAGCGATTCTCCTGCCTCAGCCTCCCGAGTAGCCGGGACTACAGGCGCGCGCCACCACACGCAGTTAATTTTTATATTTTTAGTAGAGACAGGGTTTCACCATGTTGGCCAGGATGGTCTTGATCTCTTGACCTCGTGATCCACCCGCCTCAGCCTCCCAAAGTGTTGGGATTACAGGCGTGAGCCACTGCGCCTGGCCAAGTCACACTTTTAAGTGTTATTTTCAGGTATTGCATTTTCAGCATTAACAAACTGTTTGATTATAAAGCCCACATTTCTCCATTCATTTCCGTTGGCATCTCTTCTCTAGGAAATATTTTCTGAAAGCTGTGGCTTCCAAAATCCAGGCCGCGTGGATTATTTCTCTGCGGTCAGTATGGGCATTTGCTTGGCATTTGCTTAGCATTTGTGTGTCCCATCCTCCACCATGTGGTGAGGCCCTGTATATCTATGCATTCAACCTGACATCCTGCACTCCCTGTCGGGAAAGTCCAGCATGCTGGGAGGCAGCCCAGGCAAGTGGTAAACAGAACAGGCTCTGGAACCAGACAGCCTGTGTCCCTTTCATCTTCTCTACTTATAAACTGCAAGCTTGAGCAAGTTACTTGACCTCTGTGCCTCATCTGTAAAAGAGAATCATAAGAGCACCTACTGCTTAGAGTGAGGATTAGGTGAATGATAAATACAAAGTACATATAAGAACATCAGACATATAGTAATTGTTAGTTACAGTCACCACACAGAAGTTTTATGGAAATATTCGTGGAATGGATGAGAACAGGAGCAATTGCTGAGTTCCAAGGATTACATTCTGTCTCTGTGAAAACTAAGACTGGGCAGGTAGGTAGATCCACAAATATGTTAAATGTTTGTGGATCCACAAAAATGTTAAATGAATGAAGAGATCCCTGAAGTTGAAAACTGCATCTTCCCACAGCTGTTATCACAGGACTCAGGGCTGCTACGCACAGAAAGGAGACTGCCGTGGCATGATGATGCAAGTAGCTCAGCTTCAGCTCATCTTGTTTTGATCTTATGGAATGTGCAGAGATATTACATTATTTATTATAATCCAGAACTCTAGAAAAGTATGATGGAGAATAATATATAGTCCTTAGAGAGTAAGAGGACCACATTTTCAAATACCGTTTCCATATTCCGTAGGCCAAATTCGAGACAATCAAAATTTGGGGAGAATAGAGTATAAAAATGTGGATGTTGCAAAGAGACCTGGATTCAAATTACTCTTCTGCAATTTAAAAATTCTGCATCCTTGTGCCTATCTACCAACCCATCCCCTCATTCAGAAATGACTTAGAAGCAGCTTACAAAGTAGCATTTAAAAGAAGTCAAGGTCAAAAATGAAGGATATACTAGGAACAATTGTTGTGACATAGATGACATACAAATAACTGTCTTCAATAAATAATGCTCTTGCAAATTAATAAAAGAATAAAGAACTCAAAGGGAAAAATAAGCAAAAGACATGAATAATCCACAAGAGAAGATATAACATATAAACTGATAGCCACTCTCAATAATAATAAAAGAAATGCAAATTAAAGCAAAAATGACATTTTAATTTTTCTTATAAATTGGCATTGATTTAATAAATGAGCAAAAACTAATGACATACCCATCTAGGGAGAGGAAATGGAAAAATAAGCACTCACAAACTGCCAGCAGGAATAAAAATTGTTGCAACTTTACTGAAAGATGATTTAATAATATTTATCAAAAGTCTTGAAAATCTGCATACAATTTGACCTGAAAATTTCACCTCTAAGAATTCTTCTAAAGAAACAATAGCGGCTGGGCACTGTGGATCATGCCTGTAATCCCAGCACTTTCGGAAGCCGAGGCAGGTAGATCACCTGAGGTCAGGAGCTCGAGACCAGCCTGGCCAACATGGTGAAAACTGGTCTCCAATTAAAAAAAAAAAAAACATAAATTAGCTGGGCATGGTGGCATGCGCCTGTAATCCCAGCTATTAGGGAGGCTGAGGCAGGAGAATTGCTTGAAATCGGGAGGCGGAGGTTGCAGTGAGTTGAAATTGTGCCACTGCACTCCAGCCTGGGCAACAGAGGGAGACTCCATCTCAAAATAAATAAATAAATAAAGAAAGAAAGAAAGAAAGAAAGAAAGAAAGAAAGAAAGAAAAAGAAAGAAAGAAGAAACAATAGGACTAACATATAAAGCTAATTATACAAGGATGTTCATTGTAGCATTGTTTAATTATTAAATAAAAATTGGAAATAACCTAAATGCACATTATTGGGATATTGGACAAATTATGGTATGTTTGTAAAAATTTAACAACCATGATAGGTATAGATATATAGATATATAGAAGGCCTTCCCGCAATAAATGAAAAAAATATTACAAAGTCATATGTATAATATTGTCCTATTTTTTTCTAAAATGTGTGCCCATGCACAGAAAAATGAAAAAATGTAGAGCTTCTGTTATAATGCTTATTTTTTGGTAATGGGCTTATAGACAATGTTTTTGTTTTTTTGTTTAAATTACATTTTTTACAGGATGCATAGGTTGCTTTAATAATCAGAAAAAATAAACTACTTCTATTTTGATAAAGCAAAAAATGCATTAACTTATAACCCAATGCTAGTTAATAAAAGTTCGTATTACTAACTTGGTTAAAAACCACAGTGGCACCAATGATTGCCACTAGTCAACAGAATCTCTTGAGTATCTTATACCCTAGCATGCATGCTCCAGTCTAGGAAAAAAAAAAACAAAAAAAAAAAACTTTGAGATAAATTCTGAATTTCCCAATGAAGAAGCTGCCACTCAATTACGCAGAAACGCTGTTTGGGTTCATCTTTATTAACAGCACCATTATCCTTCTCTTCAGTCAATTTTTTTTCTCTGCACTTGCTAAGGTAGAGAACAATTCACCACAAGATAATAATTTCTTTGTCTGCAATGGGCTCCTGGGTAATGCGGCTTATTCACAAGAAATGTGAATTCACGTGAAACAGAGGAGGGAAAATCTTTAAAACCAAAATAAATACAACTTATTTCCTGCTGGAATTTTAATCCTCTCTGCGGGGCCATTAGTACATAGCCTTGCTAGAGTCTAGTGGCGTTTGACCTAATTTGGCTGGAGTCCTGAGCTCAGAGACCCTGGATGCTGAGAAATTCTGCGGAGACCTTCTGTTTCTCATTTATACAGCTCACAAATGTGAAATTAGAGCACTTTAAACATGGGTTCAGAAACTGCATATTGAAAATTTTAAGTGCTTAGACAAGGTGATTATCATCTTATTTATTTTAACAAAATAAGAAAGATTCTTAGCATTTTACAACTCAGAAGTCCTCTGTACACTGGAATTACAGCTGAATAGTTTGCAGAGATGAGAAAGCTGACACTAATGCAATAAATTCAGTAGATTTCAGGAAAACTACTTGGTGCACACAGTATTATAATGATTGAATTTTTCAAAGTTTTGCCTTAACTGTGTGATGAAAGAATTTAATAAAGGGAAGGCTGAAAGTAACATGGCTTTTTAAAATGTAGTTTCAATTGTATTCATTTCTAGGACATTGATTGCTATGTATGTACTGAAAGGAAATTCCTCATGCCTCATGAGAAAATAAATTTTGTGTGCAACCAATCTTGGCCAACATTTATTTAGAAATGTCTGTAGCTTAGAGTCAATTCTCTATAAGAACTTACATTAATTTTTAGATACAAATAATTAAAGAATTAGCTTAATTTCAATTATTTTTAATGCAGCCATGCTTTCCTAATGAGCAGATTTCTTTAAAAAAATCAAGCAATTTAGGAAATCCTACAGGATAGCAAATATTTGCTAATTTAAATGTGAATAACATCTGTAGTTATTTGGAATATAAGGGAGATAATAAACAGCGCTTCCAGGAAAACCCAGAGTACAACTACTATTCAAACATAAAACTATTTTTTTAACTAAGCTGTATGCCAGTTGGTGCAGCAGATTTGGAATGCAAAGTTTGCTTGCATTTAGCTTAAAAATTTGTTTTTGAGTCAATTTTAAAATTGCCATTTTAAAATTAATATATACTCAAATAAGCTTTTTCATACTCATTGAATTGAGATGTCATTAGAAAAAAAATTTATTTTGTAAATTCTGTAAGTTTTAAAATACTTTTTTTACATTATAGATACAATGATAACTGCAAAGCTTCAAGTCAAAACAAGAATTTTTTAAATTTGCTAGGTCTGTGAAATGTGTAAGTTTGAAAAAATTTCTCCTCCTTTGCTTAAAATGTAATGTAACCTTGTTCAGCTTTTCT
Organism: Homo sapiens; assembly: GCF_000001405.40. NCBI lineage: Eukaryota > Metazoa > Chordata > Mammalia > Primates > Hominidae > Homo > Homo sapiens. The sequence goes on from NC_000002.12 coordinate 149,908,347, forward strand.
GAATTATACACTGATTCTAATCTTCTGGGATTTGTTTATTTGTAGCAAATACAGCTTCTTTGTTCGGAAGACAGAGTTTATAATGATTTATGAGAAACACGCAGGTTTCTAGATCACAACACAGGGCTATTTTAATGGGTATAGATGAACTGAATTTTCTGTAAAAGCCAATAGAGATAGAGAAAGGAAAGAGGAAAGGGAGGAGATAATGTTTTATATTTTCCTGACATATATATAATTCTTAAAAAATGATTAATAATATCTGATAAGTTCCAATAGAGTGAATTGTTTATCTCCTAATTGGTACATGTTTCCATTAGCTTTGCAATAAACAGGATGTTTTTCTTTTGTCTTTCCCTCATTTGTGCATCATTGTCAGAAATTTTGTTAAACTAGCTAAAGATAAGATAAAAATGAAGTGTCTTCTCTAAGTGAACTGGCTTTGTCTTACCAGGACATCACCATTTTAAAACTGTGTTAGCCAGGATTGTTACAGTTTTGCAAACTGGGCAAAATGCCTATCCTGGTCTTTGCACCAACTGTTAGAAACCCTATCTCTTAGGGTGGAGTTACTGTGGGTGAGCCCATGCATTAATCAGCTGAAGTGGAAGAAACTTGAAATGAGCTTAGGGAGAGAGCAGTCCCATTTATTTTCAAAATGTATTAGCTACCTGCATGATGGGCACATTTCCAAACCTTCAGGAAGGAATCCTTGGACAGGGACTTTTACGAATTGATGCCCCCATGACTGGTAACTACTTTTGAGAGACCATGGTGGGGTGAGGCAGAAGCTTGACTTACTGCTGCTTTTAGCCTTCAACTGCTGGGAAAATGTACTCTGTATATAAAGAAAATACAAACATTTTTTCTGGATCATTGTAAAGCAGTAATGGTTTAATAGTTTCCTCTGTGGGTCACAGACATGCTTCACTAGAATTAAGTTTTCTGTCTACATAAGGGGCTGATGAAACTCTCTTGTTTGTATCTCTCTAGGTCTTTTCTCTCAAACTACAAACCTCAATTAGATATCTGCCATGTACAAGGCAGTACGAGTAGATTTAAAGACAATTACACCATGGTTGCTATCCTAGAAAATGTTCACAATTTAGACAGGGAGATAAGGTAAACACTGTGTTGGAGGTTCCCCAAACCACTCCCAGTTTTGGTGATTTGCTAAGAGAACTCACAGGATGCAGTATACAGTCATATTCACTGCTACGATTTATTACAGTGAAAGGACACAAAGTAAAATTTACTAAAGCAAAAGGTGGGTGGAACAAAGTCAAGAGGCAATCACACACAAGCTTCCATGAGTCCTCTCCAGTGCAGTCACCCAGGATGTGCTTAATTTCTCCAGTGATAAATTGGGACAATGTCCCTGATATGCCTACCAGGGAAAATCATTCAGGACACAGTGCCCAGGGTTTTCATGTGAGGTAAGTCTGGTAGGCACCCCCTGCCTAGCACATTCCAAAATCCCTGATTCCCAGAAGGAAATCAGGTGTTCAGTATTAACTACACTGCTCACACAGTTTGGGCGCAGTGAGCCACTCTTCTCAGCTAGGAATGGTGGCAGTGTTTCTGAAATCCAAGTTTCCAGATGCCAGTCAAGGGCGAAGCTTGCAAGCAGGTTTTTCTAAGGATAGCCATTTCAGGCCTGCTATATTATCTCTTTTCTGCACAAAACCATATTGTCTTAATTTTGGGAGGCCAAGGTGGGCAGATCACTTGAACACAGGAGTTTGAGACCAGCCTGGGCAACATGAAAAAACGCTGTCTCTATAAAATATACAAAAAATTAGCCAGGCATGGTAACACATGCCTGTAGTCCCAGCTACTTGGGAAGCTGAGGTGGGAGGATAACAGGAGCCTGGGAGGTTGAGATTGCAGTGAGCTGTGATCACGCCGTTGCACACCAGCCTGGGCAATGAAGTGACACCAATCTCAAAAACAAAAAAACAAAAAAACAAAAAAACAAAAAAAAAACCCGCATACTTTAAGAGAATTAAAAACAGTATAGGAATTAAGTAAAAGATAAATATATGAGGAAATATTGGCAGTAGGAGAGGTATGTAGATCAATGTAACAGAATAATGACTCTAAAAATAGACCTAGAAGTTTCAGAGTGATTCAATAGGGAAAAGAATAGTCTTTCAATAAATGGTGCTAGAATAATTGGACATTTGTATGGAAAATTACGACCTCCCTTCTTACCTGGTATCATATATAAAAATAAACTCAAAACGAATGAGACCACCATATAAGAATTAAAACAATAAAATTCCCTAAAAAAAATACACACAAAAAATTTTGTGATATTGGTTAGGCAAACATTCCTTAGCAAGAAATGCTAAGAAATGAATGAACTACTAAAGAAAAAAGATAATGTGGACTTCATCAAAATTAAAACTTCAGCTCTTGAAAGACACTGCAAGGAAATTTGAAAAGGCAAACAACTAGAATTGCAGAAAATATTAGCAAACACACAATAATATCTATATTGTGCAGGAAAACTTTCCTTAGAAATTTACAACTCAAGAAGATGATGCGATTAAAAACCTGCAAAAGAGGAAAAGAGAGAAGAATCAAAAAGACACAATAAAAATGTTAAAGGGGATATCACCACTGATCCCACAGAAATAAGAACTACCATCAGAGAATACTATAAACACCTCTATGTAAATAAACTAGAAAATCTAGGAGAAATGGATAAATTCCTGGACACATACACCCTGCAAAGACTAAACCAGGAGGAAGGTGAACCCCTGAATAGACCAAAAACATGTTCTGAAATTGAGGCAGTAATTAATAGAATAGCCTATCAACCAAAAACAAACAAAAAAAGCCCAAGACCAGACGGATTCACAGCTGAATTCTTCCAGAGGTACAAAGAGGAGCTGGTACCATTCCTTCTGAAACTATCCCAAACAATAGAAAAAGAGGGACTCCTCCCTAACTCATTTTATGAGACCAGCATCATCCTGATACCAAAACCGGGCAGAGATATAATAAAAAAAGAAAATTTCAGTCCAATATCCCAGATGAACATTGATGCAAAAATCCTCAATAAAATACTGGCAAACTGAATCCAGTAGCACATCAAAAAGCTTATCCACCACAATCAAGTCTGCTTCATCCCTGGGATGCAAGGCTGGTTCAACATATTCAAATCAATAAACGTAATCCATCACATGAACAGAACCAATGACAAAAACCACATGATTATCTCAATAGATGCAGAAAAGACCTTCGATAAAATTCAACATCCCTTCATGCTACAAACTCTCAATAAACTAGGTATTGATGGAACATATCTCATAAGAGCTATTTATGACAAACCCATAGCCAGTATCATACTGAATGGGCAAAAGCTGGAAGCATTCCCTTTGAAAACCAGCACAAGACAAGTATGCCCTGTCTCACCACTTCTATTCAATGCAATATTGGAATTTCTGGCCAGGGCAATCAGACAAGAGAAAGAAATAAAGGGTATTCACATCGGAAGAAGAAAGTCAAGTTGTCTCTGCTTGAAGACAACATGATTCTATATTTAGAAAACACCATTGTTTCAGCCCAAAAACTCCTTAGGCTGATGAGCAACTTCAGCAAAGTCTCAGGATACAAAATTAATGTGCAAAAATCACAAGCATTCCTATACACCAATAATAGACAAGCAGAGAGCCAAATCATAAGTGAACTCCCATTCACATGTGCTACAAAGAGAATAAAATACCTAGGAATAAAACTTACAAGGGACATGAAGGATCTCTTCAAGGAGAGCTACAAACCACTGCTCAAGGAAGTAAGAGGACACAAACAAATGGAAAAACATTCCATGCTCATGGATAGGAAGAATCAATATTGTAAAAATGGCCATACTGCCCAAAATAATTTATAGATTCAATGCTATTCCAATCAAGCTACCAGTGACTTTCTTCACAGAATTAGAAAAAACTACTTTAAATTTCATGTGGAACCAAAAAAGAACCTGTATAGCCAAGACAATCCTAAGCAAAAAGAACAAAGCTGGAGGCATCACACTACCTGACTTAAAACTATACTACAACAATATAGTAACCAATACAGCATGGTACTGGTACCAAAACAGATATACAGAGCAATGTAACAGAACAGAATCCTCAGAAATAACACCACACATCTACAACCATCTGATCTTTGACAAACCTGACAAAAACAAGTGATGGGGAAAGGATTCCCTGTTTAATAAATGGTGTTGGGAAAACTGGCTAGCCATGTGCAGAAAACTGAAACTGGACCCCTTCCTTACACCTTATACAAAAATTACTCAGGATGGATCAAAGACTTAAATGTAAGAACTAAAACCATAAAAACCCTAGAAGAAAACCTAGGCAATACAATTCAGGACATAGGCATGGGCAAAGACTTCATGACTAAAACACCAAAATCAATGGCAACAACTGACAAATGGGATCTAATCAAACTGAAGATCTTCTGCATAGTAAAATAAACAATTATCAGAGTGAACATGTAACCTACAGAATGGGAGAAAATTTTTGCAATCTATCCATCTGACAAAAGGCTAATATCCAGAATCCACAAGGAACTTCAACAAATTTACAAGAAAAAAAAAATCCCATCAAAAAGTGGGTGAAGGATACGAACAGACACTTCTCAAAAGAAGACATTTATGTGGCCAACAAATATATGAAAAAAACTCATGATCACTGGTCATTAGAGAAATGCAAATCAAAACCAATGATTTTGATGATGAGATACCATCTCATTCCAGTGAGAATTCTGATTATTAAAAAGTCAGGAAACAACAGATGCTGGCTAGGCATTGGAGAAATAAGAATGCTTTTACACTGTTGGTGGTAGTATAAATTAGTTCAACCATTGAAGAAGACAGTGTGGCAATTCCTCAAGGTTCTACAACCAGAAATACCATTTGACCCAGCAATCTCATTAGTGGTCATATACCCAAAGGATTATAAATTATTCTACTATAAAGACACATGCACATGTGTGTTTATTGCAGCACTATTTACAACAGCAAAGACATGGAACCAACCCAAATGCCCACCAATGATAGACTGGATAAAGAAAATGTGGCACATATACACAATGGAATACTACACAGCCATAAAAAAGAATGGGTTCATGTCCTTGCTGGGACATGGATGAAGCTGGAAGCTATCATTCTCAGCCAACTAACACAGGAACAGAAAACCAAACACTGCATGTTCTTACTCATAAGTGGGAGTTGAACAATGAGAACACATGGACACAGGGAGGGGAAAATCACATACCAGAGCCTGTCAGCGGGTGGGAGGCAAGGGAGGGACAGCATTAGGACAAATACCTAATCCATGCGGGGCTTAAAACCTAGATGATGCATTGATAGATGCAGCAAACCACCCTGGCACATGTATACCTATGTAACAAACCTGCACATTCTGCACATGTATCCCAGAACTTAAAGTAAAATAACAACAAAACAAAAAATGTGCAAAAGATTTAGCTTCACAGAAG